>NW_025791813.1:0-336752 GCF_000001405.40 Homo sapiens | reverse complement strand
TCAGTTCACTGCAACCTCTGCCTCCCGGGTTCAAGCCATTCTCCTGCCTTAACCTCCCAAGTAGCTGGGATTACAGGTGCCTGCTACCACGCCCAGCTAATATTTGTATTTTTAATAGAGACCGGGTTTCACCATGTTGGCCAGGCTTGTATCAAATTCCAGACCTCCATTGATCTGCCCACTTCAGCCTCCCAAAGTGTTGGGATTACAGGCATGAGCCACCATGCCTGGTCAACACTCTGATAACTCTAAGCTATTTAATCCTTAAAAGTTACCAGCCTCATTTGCCAGAATGTGTTGTTTTGATGCCTAATGCCAGAGTGTAAGCTCCCTAAAGGTAGTAATATGTGTAGGATTTGTTCACCAGGAATATCCAGTACTTGGAAATGGGCCTGGCACATAGAATGCATTCAATAAATAATTTTAAATAAATGCTGCCATACATGGAAAGAGGATTAACATGATTTAGCTACTTAAACAATCTGCAACTCATCTGAATATTACTGGTTGGGCAAAGTCCCCAGTGCCTCTTGCTTAGGGGTAGCTTGCAAAATGAGAATCTCTCTGACCATGAAAATTATTTGGGAATTCTTCCAAATATGTCAGCTTAACAAAGACACATCAGTGAGTTATCTTGAAAATTCATTGTCTTCCTTATGTCTAAGGAAACATAGCACATTTTGACAGATAGCCACCATTTATGATTTCATGACATAACTGACACAATTGCAGCACTTAAAATAAGATTTTCCTGCTTTTGGATAGGTCTTCTCATGCCCAGTATATTTTTTAAGAAGTTATAAACAGTGAAAAACAAATTCATTGCAATTATATAAAGTATGTTAGCATAGTTCTTTTTAGAGAAAAACATCCTCATTATAAGTATGTTACTGTAAATGTATATTTATATTGTAAAATCCTAATTCATACACACTACTCCTTTTGTTGGTGGGGTAGAAGTAAGACACTAAAGGATCTAAGAGATTCATAGGGAAACTAAGTGGAAAATATTGGGAAATAAGATGAGGCAGACCAGCCAAGCTTTGGGTTTTTTGTCTGTTTTTTGAAATGGAGCTTCGCTCTTGTTGCCCAGGCTGGAGTGCAATGGCACCATCTCAGCTCACTGCAACCTCTGCCTCCTGGGTTTAAGTGATTCTCCTGCCTCAGCCTCCCGAGTAGCTGAGATTACAGGCACCCGCCACCATGCCCAGCTAATTTTTGCATTTTTAGTAGAGACGGGGTTTCACCATGTTTGCCAGGCTAGTGTCGAACTCCTGACCTCAGGTGACCTGCCCACCTCAACCTCCCAAATTGCTGGGATTACAGGTGTGAGCCACTGTTCCTGGCCATGCTTTGGGTTTTTATGGTACCAATAACCACTTCTCTGAAGTTAGAGGTGTAAACTTCACCTGCTTGATGTACTTTTTGGAAGAGCCTAGGTTGAAGAGAGGTATAGGGGATGAGAGAGGTGAGCACCAGAAAAAAACTTATAAAGAAAAGCCTGTGTTTGTTTTGAAAACAAGTAACCTATGGCTGGGAGAAGAGCTACTGTCAGATGCATGGGCAGAAAATCCAGGCAACCTGACTGTGAAAGGCCTACACAGCAGCAGCTGCAAGGCTGCTCACTGAGTCTTCAAAAGAGGGAACTTTATGCTAAGTCAATCTCTTCTCTGCATAAACTAGAATTATTTTACTTAGCAATGCCTGCTTTTCAAAGTATGGGTTGTAGAATGAAATAACCATTGTTCTCATCCCAAGCTTCACCACTGACCAGCAGTGGGACACAGGACAAGGAAAACTCTTTCCAGGCCTCGGCTCCTGTATTAGTCCATTTTCATCCTGCTGATAGACATACCCAAGACCAGTTGCTTTATTTAAAAAAAAAAAAAAAAAAAAAAGAGGTTTAATGGACTCACAGTTCCACGTGGCTGGGGAGGCCTCACAATCATGGCGGAAGGCGAAAGGCACATCTTACATGGCGGCAGGCAGGAGAGTATGAGAGCCAAGCAAAAGGGGTTTCCCCTTATAAAACCATCAGATCTCGTGAGACTTATTCACTACCACAAGAACAGTATAAGGGAAATCACCCCCAGGATTCAATTAACTCCCACCGGGTCCCTTCCATAACATGTGGGAATTATGGAAGCTACAATTCAAGACGAGATTTGGGTGGGGACACAGTCAAACCATATCATCTCCACACCTCCAAAATGGAGAGAGTAATCCCTCTTCCCATGTCTGTAGAAACCTTGCACAGTGTCCGGCGTACAGGAAAATGTCAATTAGTGGTAGGCTGTTATTTTTCATCTTTTGAATGGGAGTTGTAATTTTTTTTCTTTTTACATTTTCTCTTAGAATTTTAGTCAATTTTTAAAATATTGGGTTCTAAGAGTGCTAACATGGAGTAAAAAACTTGATATTGTCATTGCTTGGAGTTGGAAGAGAAAAAGCAAACACCAGGAGTCCTGGCACAGTAGCTGCAGGTCCATGAGGTAACTCAGCATGGAAGGCAGAAAAGCCAAGGAAAGAAGGTTGGGAAACTGGGGCAGGCAGGCATTCCCCCTATCTATTGCCTGGTCTGCATTTGTTGTTCTTTTGTTTTCTGGAACAAGACTGTATATTTTGCTCATTCATTGGCTTAGTTATTCATTCCATTCAATACAAATGCCACAAAAGGCCGGGGGCAGAGGTTCACACCTGTAATCCCATCACTTTGGGAGGCCAAGGCAGGCAGATCACTTGAGGTCAGGAGTTCGAGACAAGCCCGGCCAACATGGCAAAACCTCGTCTCTACTAAAAATATGAAAATTAGCTGGGGGTGGTGGCAGGCACCTGTAATCCCAGCTACTTGGGAGGCTGAGGCAGGAGAATTGCTTCAACCCAGGAAGCAGAGGCTGCAGTGAGCTCAGATAGTGCCACTGCACTCCAGCCTGGGTGACAGAGGGAGACTCTGCCTCAAAAAAAAACAAAAACAAAAACAAAAACAAAAACAAAAAAAGCCACAAAAGACATTGTGCAAAATGTGGAGAGAGGGAACAGAAAATGGCGGAAATTGAACTTCTCTCAAATCTCAAGTCCCTGTAGGAGATCAGACAAGGAAACTGACAAATGCAAAACCGGATGGTGAAGGCAAGGGGTTTAAGCAGATGTTCCCATGCAATTCTGTTCCCAATAAAAGACCACTGCTTTGGGTGCCAATAACCATGTAGATATGGAAAAAAAATTAATGATATTATGTATTATAAATATCTATACTTTTACAAAAAAGCCAATAAAAATAAATAATAACTGGAGGGTTTGTATTACTTTATTAGCAAAGATTGTTTTATATATGCTGGAAGTAATTTTGATTTCTGCAAAGAGGAAATTTTCTGATTATTATATACTGCAATCAGATTTTTTTCCTATCTCAAGTTATTATAAAAAATTCATTGTTGTCACAGATCAGAAACACCCATCCTCCTTGACTTTCCAGAAAGTCTGAAAGTTAAGAAAAATAATTTCACCATCTAAGCTATATGTTCCATGAGAAAGACACTGCTAAAACAGCAAAATGGTCCAAAAAAGATTCACCTGTGGAAAGTGAAGAAAAAAATGTTAACTTTTATAGTCTCTCTTAAAACAAGGAAATAGATGCATTTATTCCTATGTCTAGCTCTTCTCCTGTAATCTTCTACTTCTTGAATCTGCCTTGGACCAAGAAGCCCACATCTCTGCTGATACTGATTCCTACATCTTCTGGTCTGATGCCAAACCACAGTGATTTTGCATCTGCAAGAGCACATTTGAGAGTCAGCTGAAAGAAGAGCAAAACATTTATTAACGCCAAAGCCATCAACTGCAATCAAAAGATGAAGCCAAACAAATCGAGCAATTTGCAGAAGAGGAGACACCGTCTAAGGCAGGAATAAGTGAACCTGAAGGGTGTTAGAACAAAAACAGATCCCATCTCATAAAAGGAATCTTGGCACAGGCCTTCCCAAATATAAAAATCAAAGAGCTATTCTCCCCTGTCTTCCTTACATAACAGCACTCAAGGATAGGAAAGACAGATTTATGGATCAGAGGCTTCTGTCCAGAGCATGGCCTTTCTCATGAAGTTACCTGTCTAGCATGTGAACCTGATGATCGATGGGACTGTTATTCCCCATATTGGCTTTCTTCCCTGTAAGTGATTATACATCCAACCCATTTCCGAATGACTTGTGGTGCCTCTCCATACGTGGAGAATATTTCTCTGCCATGTTTTCAGGCTTGGCAACATGAGGTGTCTGGGCCAGTGAAATGTAAGCAGAGGTGACAGTGTGCCAGTTCAAGCAAACACTTTGAAGCATGACATTTTCCAGCCAATACTCTGTTTTTCTTTCTGCCACAAAAACAGCAGTCCCAAAGCCAGGCACAGAAAGATAAATTTCGCAGGTTCTCACTCATATGTGAGACTTAGGAATCAAAACAATTGAACTCATGGAGGTAAAGAGTAAAATGATGGTTACTAGAGGCTGGGAAGAGGACAGGGAAGGGGAAGGAGTGCAGACAGCTACTGGGTACAAAAATGCAGTTATGAAACAAAAATAGCAAGTCCCAACTATACATGGCTATGTTTCTGATTCCAGGAAAGAGAAGACACTGGGAGCAGAACTGTAGCAATCAGTGCATGACCATCACTATGTAATGCAAGTGGGAAATGAAAATTTGTTGGCGTGAGCCCCTGAGATTTGGAGACTATATATTATTGCAGTGAAACTGACTAATATATATGACACCACGAAGCAGTAACACAACTGCATTGAAATAAGCATTCTTTCTCTAAGGGCATCCCAATCCATGAGAGGCTTGGCTTTTATTCTAAAAATGAGTGGAAAGAGATTAGATAGGATTGGTTCAAGCACTATGTCATCTGTAGTCAGAAGGTACCAGGGATAAAGGTACAATTTTCTATCCTAGATGAACTACGTTGCTGTAAGATAAGCCATAGTTATCCTGGAGGTCACCTGTTGCACAATTCTGGAAGTGGCCATGAAATAGATCAGCCTTGAAGGAGTGTGGCACAGCATAGGTTTATATTTGCCCCACTGCAACCATTTTTTCAAACACATAGTAAGTTCACTTGTCCTCCATCTCAGGAGTCCACACACAGTCAGGGCTATTACAGTCACTAAACAGAAAGTGCTGCTTTTGGCTTCTAGTTCTGCAACTGCTTTTACGGCTCCACCTCTTCCTTTTAATTTGCTTATTAATGGCTCTTTGACAACCCCACAGCTAAGTCAGTGGCCTTGGGGGGGTATAATTACAAATACTTTAAAACTCAAAGTTAGCATGTTTTTCCAATCAATTAAAAGTACTTAAAAATATCTAGAGCAGCCAAAAGCAACCTAGGTCCTAACCACATGCACCAGGCTACAGGAACTCAACAAGGCCTGACAAATTCAGTCTTGCCAGGACCAGCAGGGAGGGGACAAGAACTGTGAGATTCAGAAAATGAGTTGGAAGGCAGTGATGCATGGCTGAGCAAAGGGGATTTGTTCCTAGAATGCTGCTGCCTAATCCAAGAAGGACAGACAGGGCTGGGAAGCAGATCTGAAGCAGAGCTATGGAAGGAACACCGCATTCCTTGGCAAGCTTAGCTCTGATGGTGGGGCCTGGGGCTCATAAGGACAGCCAGCCACATGCTCACTGGCTCAATCAGAGATGGTTCCTCCTGCCTCTGGAGTGACTTATTCTTCAGAAGATTAGGAGCAAAGAGGATACATTCTTTGGCTAGCCCAGCTTGATTCCCTCTTTGGCTAGACTCACCCTCTGGGTCTTACGGAATCTACAAAAGGACGAAAAGGAACTCACTGGCAAGTAAAGCTTAATGGGAACAAAACAAGGATTGTCCAACAAGGATGACCTATCACAAGGATGCTAGAACTCCTGACAGGCCAGTCTTCTTCTTTTAAGGGTGGGGAAACTGGGCCCAGAGATGCAAAATGACCCACCTAAGGCCAAAGTCAATGACAGCATGGCAGAGGCAGGGCTCAGGGCCTGACCGATGAATTCCTGACTGATGCCGAGAGCTCTTCCTTAAGTCTCTACACTAGCCTATTCTGAAATAAATACAAGGACCTTGTAGGAGCCCCTAAAGTCAGAGAGAAGGTGTGACTACAACAGGAAGGGCTTATGTATCCGAAACACTGTTGTTATTGACAATTGATCCACCCAAGACATCGACTTTTCCACATAATGTTTTCACAAAGAATAGGGGTGTGAGATACTGTTGTGTGGATATTATCCACATGTGGAAGGAAAGAAAATCAATATGTGATGTACAAACCATTGAAACTTCATATTTGAGAATTCTGCAAGTCAACCATTATTGTCAATGGACAGGATCCTCCCTAATGAGAATTTCATAAAGCGTAAGTATAATACATCACACTCCATTAGGGGCTGGGGGTAGGGAACTGGAGGAGGTTGAAAAGGAGGGGCTCAGAGAGGAAGGAAGATGAGGGAAGTGATTAAGAAAAAACACTGACAAGTAGTGAAAACAAAGAACTTGCCTGGAGTGGATGCAGCTAAATGAAGTTTTCCTATGAGAAACAAGGTAAAGGACTCATTTAAAATGCCTGCAGGTAGACTGAAAGTTGTTTCCAAACACCGGATTGACAAAAAGATCTTAGAAATAGACAGAAAATGCCAATGCCTGTAGCTCTTTCTGACTCTTGCCAGTGGTCATGCTTTCATTTCCTCCCAAATCAGATCCTAAGTACCTATTCAGCAAAATAGAATACATGAGATCACAAACAGACACTTTCAACCACCAGAAACACAACTTCACTTAATTCTACAAATATTGTCAAGCTCCAGTGGGAGATGTTCTTTCCCCTGGCATTTGGTTGCGTTTGATTTTCACAAAATAGTGAACTTCTCAAGAGGAAATGCTTCTCTAGAGCTTGCTGGATTGATTTAGTCACTTCTCCCGACTGCCCCTCAGGGTCCCCATTAATTGCTACTTGGGGCAGACTATGACCAGTTTCTCTCGGCATAAACCACACAATAACCATGACAGCATAGCTTTGAGGGTTTACTAACCTGTGACACACTCAAACCATGCGAACTAAAGGGTTTCAAAAATCCTGAAGCACCTGAAATGTTTCTGAAAATGATTCTATGACCTGGCTATTAATAGGGATGAAAACAAGTTTGAAAATTAAGAGAGAATGAGAAGTTAGATGGGAAGTTGCATGCAACTTGGGTTCTTTCCCTGCAAAGTAAGGCAAAGCAGACACAAGAGAGGACTTGAGCTTACACTCATTTTGGAGGAAAATTCCTTGTGATGCTACCCTCCCCACATCCCTGGAGCCCCCACCCCACACCATAAACCTGATCCTTGAAATAATTAAAATCCACTTCTACAAAAGGGAAAATACTAAGTAGATTGATTTTAAACCTTCCACAGTAATGCAGTATGTATCAGGGCAACAGTGGTGTTGGATTGATACTAGGAGAGAAATTCAGTCTTTGCCAGAGCAGTGACTTTATAGCCAACTCCTCATCATGTCAACCTGAAATAATCTAAAGGGTCAGATTCCAATTTTAGAGAGTTTATTCAAGCAAAAAGCTGGGAATGGCCATTTCTGGATGCTCTGTCCCAGAGAAATGGGGGTAGTGCTCTGAAGTTAAAAGCTAAATTCTCTTTTATATAGGAAAAAGCAAAGAAATTTAACAAGATTACAACATTTTCAATACAGGGCCAGTTTATGAGTTACAACAAATTAATCAGTTTCTTTTCTTTTCTTTTCCATGCAGCTTGTTTTCTTTTCTTTATCGCTCCTTTTCATTTCCTTTTGATTTTAAAAGAGTGTGCTTAACATTCCATCTTGAGGCATTGAGATGGCCATAAAGTTTTTGTGTGAGAAGAAAGAGGTTAATCTATAATGAAAGTCAATAGTAAGAGGGAAGGGGTCTCCTCTGGCATCCTTCACTGATATGGACAGGAAACAGGGAAATACTGGGTAGAAGGGGGCGGTTCCCCAACAAACGGCCCACCCTCAAGCCTGAAGACCGGCAGCCCTAAAGGAGGACAGGCATTTCTGTTTTCATGGCCAAAATTTGCCTTTTGGCCTGCCATGCACCCCCCATCCTGCCCCCATACAAACCCAAGACCTTAGCGGGCACATACACAAGAAGCTGGACATCAAGACCAGCAGACCAGTGGACCAGTGAACCAGCAGACCAGTGACAGTGGAACAATGCAGCAGAGAAAGAGAGAAAAGGAAGGATGTCTGGACTCATAGGGGAGCTTGGCCAGGGGTGGCTGGAGAAGAGTTGGGCCGCTGGATGCCCGACTCCAGGGAAAGACCACCTTCCCACTCCATCCCCACTTCTGCCTCCCCATCCATCTCACTGAGAGCCACCTCCACCACTCAATGAAACCTTGCACTCATCCTTCAAGCCCATGTGTGATCTGATTCTTTCAGGACACTGGACAAGAGCTTGGGATAAAGAAAGTTGTCACGCTGGCCCCCTGCCCTCACAATAAGGCAGAGGGTCCGTTAAGCTGATTAACACACAAGCCGTCTGCAGACAACAAATCTGAAAGAGCTTTGTAATACATGCCTACATGGGCTTCGAGTGACACAGAGACCCACCCCTAGACTCTGCCGTGGGACAGGAGCCCAAAAGTGCTTGTACTGGCCTCTGCACCTGCCTGTCTGCATGCTCCTCCTTTGAGCTTTGGGGCGACCAAGCAGGTGAGCTACACCTGTCGCACGTCCTACAACCATTCACAACATTTTACAAAATAATGTAGGTAAGGGAAAAGACAATTCAGACAATCAAAAATATTACAAAAAGTTCACAGCTGCCTAGTTTACAGCTGCCTGTCTTGTGACTCAGGCCCCATAATTCACATTTCCTTATGGCTCAAAATAATTTAGAGTTCCAACAGCTTAGATTTTGAATCACTTATTTTCACAATCACAAAGCATAGTAGGAGTCCCAGAGAGAGAGCATAGCTCACACATAATCCAAAAGTCTTTTGTAGCCCATAGTTTCAAAATCACTCTCCCCAAGAAAGGTGAGGAAAGCTGGTATCATAGAAACCAAATGGGCCCGTCTGAGTTTCATTTCCCTCCCGCTGAGAGGTAATGATGAAACACCATACAAGTACTGCTTTGAAAAGCACCTGGATTCCCCAGGTTCTTTTAGATTACCTCATGGGAAATAAAATAGAAACAAATTTAAAACTATAACTAGGTTGGTTTTTTGTTTGTTTGTTTACCAGTTAAGACCTTAGGTAGGTACATGCTATGGGCTGAATTGTCTTCCTGCAACCTCCGCCAAATGTATATGTTGAACTCCAAACCTCTAGTACCTCAGAATGTTCCTGTTTTGGGACATGATAAAAGAAAAACTTCAGTCGGTTTAAATTTAAAGGAGTTTAATTGAGCAATGAACGTTTCACAAATCAGACAGCCCCCAGAATCACAGCAGATTCACAAAGACTCCAGCGCAGCCATGTGGTGGAAGATTTATAGACCAAAAAAAAAAAGAGAAATGACGTTCAGAAATTGGAAGTGAGGTACAGAACGGCTGGATTGGTTAGAGGTTGGCGTTTGCCTTATTTGAACACAGTTTGAGCACTAAGCAGTGTATGAATGGTTGAAATATGGCTGCTGGGATTGGCTAGGATTTAGCTATTGTTACAGGTGCATACTACTAAGTTAGGTTTTCAATTTTATCTGCCTATTAAGTTAGGTTACGGTTCATCCGCAAGGACTCAAATATAGAAGTAGGGAGTCCTTCTCAGGCTATAGTTTGCTTTAACAGACATAAAGGCTTTAAAGAGGTAATTAAGGTAAAATGAGGTTATTGGCATGGGTCCTAATGTAATCTGACTGGTGTCCTTATAAGATTAGGACACAGACACACAGAAGGAAGACAATCTGAAGTCACAGATCTACAAGCCAGGGAGAGGGGCCTCAGAAGTCAACCTGCTGACACATTGATCTTAGATTCACAGCTTCCAGAACTGTGAGAAAACAAATTTTTGTTTTCTGAGTCACCTAGCGTCCTTCTGGCACTTTTTTATGGCAGCCCTAGTGAACTAATATAGTATATTAACTTCTCCACAATTTTAGTGCATATTTAAAAATCCACCCTTAGGGAGTTGCTTACTAATCTGTCTCTCACTTTTAATGCTTTGTTGACGTCCACATTGCATCAGAGCCATGTCAGAATAACTGAAATAATAGCACAGCCAGTCTGGAGGTTTGGGCTGTCAGATTCGTAACCCTTGATCCAACTCTGTGGACATCATCGACATGTACAGTTTGTTACGATCTCCGCTTTACAGATATGAAAAATGGGGCTTGAAGAGGCTACAATACTTGTTCGAGTTCGGCAACTGGAGAAGGGAAGGGCTAGGATTTGAACCTAGATGGCTTGAGTCAGAGGGTGTGCTCTTAACAATTATGGGACACTGTCTCCCTAAGCAGGGAGGAGAGGAACTGTGATATTGAAACTGCCTTTGCAAAATTATGACTGAGACAGTGAAAGAGATCTGACCTAACCAACTCCATCTTCCTTCTAACCTTTAAGCTGTCCTTGTCCCTTCCTGGGCATAGACCGAGCTAACTTTGGGAGGAATTTATAGTTTACAACAAAGACCATAACAGCCCTTTCCCAAAACAAGCCTCCTTCTTGCCTGGGGACTAGACTGCCTTTATAGGACCAATTAGCCACAAGATTTGAAATTATGTTTTAGGACTTACGCAGCTGGAGGCTACAGGATTCTGACCCTCCCTAAACTGCTCATAAGATTAGTGCTTGAAATATTTTGCAGATATTTTGATGGATCAGCTGGCACCACCCAGACTGATAAACTGGCTCACCTGATCTTGTGGCCCCCACCCAGGAATTGACTCAGCACAAGAGGACAGCTTCAACTTGCCATGATTTCATCTCTGACCCAACCAAGCAGCACTCTCAATTCACTGGTCTTCCCCCACCCACCAAGTTATCCTTAAACACCCTGGGCCAGGCCCAGTGGCTCACGCCTGTAATCCAAGCACTTTGGGAGGCTGAGACAGGCAGATCACAAGGTCAAGAGATCGAGACCATCCTGGATAACATGTGAAACCCCGTCTCTACTAGAAATACAAAAATTAGCTGGGCATGGTGGCAGGCACCTGTGGTCCCAGCTACTCGAGAGGCTGAGGCAGGAGAATCACTTGAACCTGGGAGGCAGAGGTTGCAGTGAGCTGAGATCGCGCCACTGCACTCCAGCCTGGCAACAGAATGAGACTCCATCTCAAAAAAAAAAAAAAAGACCTGTGATCCCCAAATGCTCAGGAAGACTGATTTGAGTAATAATGAAACTCTGGTCCCCCACACAGCCGGCTCCGTGTAAATTATTCTTTCTCTATTGCAATTCCCCTGTCTTGATAGATTCTGTCTAGGCAGCAGGCAAGGTGAACCCACTGGGTGGTTACAATATATCTGAGCTTTAGTGACTGAGAGAAAGGTTGAATCACTGGCAGAAACAGAGAAGATCCCAAAGTCTTCTTGTGAAGAGAAACGTGATGAGGTGGATGTTAGACCTGTTAATTTCAATGGAGAGCCTTCACACAGAGCTGGGAGATTCATGGCAGGGCCATGGGTGAAGAACTGGGGCTTCTCCATTTAAGGCATGGAAGCAGAGGAGACCTCTAAGCAGAAAATTGCAAAGAAGAGAATTACAAATCCTTCCTTTGGGTGTGGCCACAGTTAAGATGAGAATGAGGGAGCGGCAGCTGTGAAGAAGCCAGAGAGGCCGAGCGTAACCAGAAAACACAGAGTCCTGGGATTCCAGGGTAGAATATGTCAGGGATGTGGTAGTAAACACTCAGAACAGCAAACTGCTGACTAGTGCTGTCAGCAAACTGAAATAAGCACTGCATTGAGGGCAGGCAATTGGTTTAACTCCAACATACTCAACTTTTCATTATTGAGATATTCTGGGCACCATCTAATAAAAACTAGCATTTTCCAAAAAACTTCTTAATTCTCAGTCCTCACTTACATATTGAAAAAAATTGTAAAATACACAGAAACAGAAACATATGATTGGCTTTATAAATAATCATAATGATCTGAATCAGCAAATACTGTAAATACAGCAAATACTGTAAAATCACTTCTTAAATTCAGAAAATATTCAAGCATTTTAAAAACCAACAGAGATAGCTACATGTTGACAAAATAATGGATATTAGTAACTGTCTAGTGATCTCTAACAAACTGTAAAAAACAAAACTGTAATATAGTAAGAAAGAATTAGAAACCCCATTGTTAGGCTTAATCTGTGAAAAGATATTTTAGTAGTTTTGTTGATAATGAAAAAAGTGCATATAGCCCAGATATTTATTATTTTTTAAAAAAATTAGACTAGCTCTTACTACCCAATGTAGTCTTTGAGTTGGAAAGACAATCCAAGCTAAATCACTACACCAAATATATAGATAGAAATTTTCCCTACAACGTGCCTAATAGATGGTCATGCAATAGTCCTGATATGGTTTGGCTCTGTGCTCCCGTCCCCAAATCTCATCTGAAATTATAATCCCTACATGTCAGGGGAGGAACCTGGTGAGAAGTGTTTGGATCATGGGGGCGGGTTTCCCTCTGCTATTTTCATGACAGTGAGTTCTCACGAGATCTGATGGTTTAAAGTGTGGCACTTCCCACCTTGTTCTCTCTCTCTCCTGCTGCCTTGTGAAGGAGGTGCTTGCTTCTCCTTTACCTTCTGCCATGATTATAAGTTTCCTGAGGCCTCCCCAGCTATGTGGAACTGTAAGTCAATTAAAACTCCTTTCTTTATAAATTACCCAGTCTCGGGTAGCTCTTTATAGCTGTGTGACAACAAACTAATACAAGTCCATATCATTGTCTTTTATTAATTATAGAAAGCTCTTCTTAATACTGAGTTTAAACCTGCCTCCCTATAACATCAATTAGAATACTTCCCTTGGGACAGAATAAGACAATCTATAATAAAATAGCCGGCCCCCTTTTTTTTTTTTTTTTTTTTTTTTTTTTTTTTTTTTTGAGACGGAGTCTCGCTCTGTCGCCCAGGTCGGACTGCGGACTGCAGTGGCGCAATCTCGGCTCACTGCAAGCTCCGCTTCCCGGGTTCACGCCATTCTCCTGCCTCAGCCTCCCGAGTAGCTGGGACTACAGGTGCCCGCCACCGCGCCCGGCTAATTTTTTGTATTTTTAGTAGAGACGGGGTTTCACCTTGTTAGCCAGGATGGTCTCGATCTCCTGACCTCATGATCCACCCGCCTCGGCCTCCCAAAGTGCTGGGATTACAGGCGTGAGCCACCGCGCCCGGCCTAATAGCCGGTCTCTTAATAAATTAACCTTCTCTTCTGTACACGCCTAATTCTTCCATTGGACTTCCTAGTATGTGGTTTTTAGACCCTCCTTGCTGATCTATCATTATTTGTGTGCACTCCAGGTTAACAACTGACCATTAAAGTGTAACAGACAAATTTTAATTTAATACTCCTGCAAAGACCTGATCATTATATTTGTTACTGAACAAATAATAATTAAGAATCTACCAAGCACAATACATTGAGCTGAACATTGGGGATAAAACATGTGGTTTAGAATGCAGATCTTCAATATCTGCAGTGACTATCTCAGCTTTTGGGGGCTGTGTGGTATTTTGGTCTCACAGCAAATTTGTAATTAATTTATTTGTTTATGTCTTATTTTCGTTTTTACAAAAGCTGCTGCCACAAAGATTTTCAGATCTTATATCTTATCATTGCAGATTTGCTCTTTTAAAGCTGACAATAGTAACTTACATATTTCATGCCATTTCATAGCCAGTTGTCCAACCTGGTGAGATTACTTAGAATTTTCATCTTCAACTAGCAGCAAAAAAAGAAAAAAAAAAGAGTTCTTTTCGCTAAGCTGGCAGCTTTTTGCATTATAAATTTTTAAATTTGATAAATGTGGCTTTTATGCTTATATTCAAGTCTCCGATAACATTTTCACAGAAGTCAAAGAACAAAGAAACTTCTTTTAAGGTTGACCTCCCTTGGTTTATACCCTTTTTGTGTGACTGTCCAACTACTTAAAAAATCATCTGGAACATCAGAGGTAGCCATCCCACATGCTTTTATCTCGCTCATAAGATTATTAAAATAGGCTTTATTCATGTATAATACAATAATAAAGGTTGCCAGGGGTTCATTTGTGCTGTTTATTGTTACTTTTATGAAGAAAAATGAAGAACTGCACAGATATCTAACGGATAAGAAGGCTGAAGGAGGAACCAACCACAAAAACAACAGCAGAAACTGTCTGTAAGGAAACCACAAGGCCCAGATAGTGGGACACACCACCAAATCATGTACATCATGTACAAAAGGTCATGACAATGAAGAAATCCTTATCCCTTTGAAAACTCCCATGTTTCTAGGCAATATGCCTCTTCACTCTGCTAGGATATTGTAGAAATGTTTAGGGTGCATGAAAGGATAAGTACATTATAGGATGCAGTAGATACCATACAATGATAATAGAGATGGAGACCACCCACTTGGGTCATGGAAGATGAAGCCTTTGAGGACTTAGAGTTAAGATCTGATCATTCTTTTTGTAGACAGTCTTGAGACTGGTCCTTGCTAATTCATTTGAATTTGCTGATTACTTTATCTTATTCTGTGTGGATTTTGGCCCAATGATGACAACTGGTGGTGGGGGGGAGGGGTGGTCCCAGAACAAATAAGTGAACATTTTGTCTGCTATTTTATTGTGATCATACAATCTAGGAAACTTAGAATAGAAAGAAAATTGGAGTTTACTTTACCTGATCTATTCGAAGGAAACGTGTGTCAGTCCTGATTGATTGCCATCTTCTATTCCAAATGTTCAACAACGATCTAGCTAATAAAAAATTCTGAGAAAAGGATTTCTCAGATACACTTTTTAAATATTTGCACATTTCCAAGCTTCTTTCATCTCTGCAGTTCCCTACTGTCTCTGATAACACATCCAGGAGACCTTTATACCCTGAAAAGTAATTTACCTAATACTGGGGGTATGAGCACATTTAAAACACCTTCAGGTTCTCTTACCCTTTATTCTCCTATTCTGGGCTTGATGTTAGAGTGGGAAGAAAACAGCTTTAAATTAAGACCACATACCAGACTCCTGGTTCTGCCACTTATTAGCTGAGTTACTTTGGGAAAATTACCAACCCTCCCAAGCCTCACTTTGTTTCTCTATTCAATTGAGGGTTCCTGTTAATTCACAGAGTTACTATAAGGACAAAATGAAAATATGCAAGCAAACAAAATTAATTAAAGATATTATTCTCACATTACAATTGTTAACTTTTCCAGTTGGAATTTCATATCCCTTAATGCAAAAGATTTGAACTTCACTCAATAATTATTGAGTACTTACTATGTACCAAGATAAATATGAAAAAGATACAGTCTCTGCCTGAAGCGGGCTTAGACAAGTAAAATGTAAGTGTCAAACAGCGTGTACAGGATATTTTGAGAGTACACAGGGGACTGAGATGAGGAAGGTCAGGGAGGCCACCAAAGGAGCTTATTCTTGAATCTTCTAAGCATGTCTTAGACAGGAGAGGAGCTGTGACAAGGGAGAGCACCCCAAGCATAAAGAACAATTTGTGTAAAGTCACAGAGATGAATAAAAGCTTGGTGAAATAAACGCAATGGCTGGAGTACAAAAACAAGAGAGTGTCAACATGTGAAAATGGACACTGGCAGGGATCTGATCACAAACAAACAAACAAATAAACAAACAAAAACACAGAAAGAGCAAATGTGCCTGGGAGTTTATTCTCTATCTCAACCACTGCAGAGGGCCTCTGCTATGTTCTGTTTGTGTCCCCCAAAATTCATATGGTGAAATCCTAACCCCCAACATGATGATATTAGGAAGTGTGACCTTTTGTGGAGTGATTAGGTCATGAGGGCAGAGACTTCATTAATTGGATGAGTGCCCTTGTAAAAGAGGCTTCAGAGAGCTAGCTTGAGCCTTCCACCATGTGAGGACACAGCTAGAGGACGTCTTCTATGAACCAGAAATAGACCCTCCCCAGACACTGAATGTATTGGCATCTTGATCGTGGACTTCTCAGGCTCCAGAACTGTGTGAAACAAATGTTTATTGTTTATAAGCCACCTAAGTTTATGGATTTTTGTTATAGCAGCCTGAAAGACTAAGGCAAACTCTAAAGGATTTCCATGATAGTGAGGGGTAGATAATATTCCTAGAATCATACTTTAAAAATATGGCTTGGCTACAACATAGAGAATAGTTTAGAAGGAAGCTAAAGCCAAAGGCGGAAAAATCATTTAGAGGCTTCTGAAATAATCCTGGAAAGAAGTAAAGGGAATCTGAACAAGTGCAGTGCAGATAGGCTAGAGAAAATGGAATGCCTCCTAGAGATATTAAAAAGGCAAACTTTCAAAACTAACACACCAGTTGGGGGATTAGGGAAAGGGGATAGTGAAGTACCCCAGTTTTTGTCTTGGATAAGTGACATTTGAAAAAGAAAGGTATGTAACAGGAAAAGGAATTGGAAAACAGATGATGAAATTCATTTTGAACATATTAACTTGAGATACATCGATTTCAAGATCTAGAGGTCTTATTTTGTTTTACTTTGAGATAAAATCTAATTTTCTTGGAATTCTTTGAGATAAAATCTAATTTTCTTGGAATTCTATCAACTGAAAATTTCTATTATTTGGAACTGACTTGGCAAGATCAGGAGTGAAAGAGAATATATGACTACAAACCCCATGGATGTGAAAAAAAGATAATATATAATGGCTACAAGTAATTCTATACACATACATTTGACAACTGAGATAAAATGGACCAATTTCTCCAAAATCAATAAATACCAAAGCTTACCTAAGATGAAATAGATAACCTGGATAGTCCTAAAACTATTAAAGAAATTGAATTGATAGTTTAAACATCTGAAAAAGGTATCTCTTGGACAAATTATTTCACCAATCAGTTCTACCAAACATTTAAAAAAGAAATAGCACAAATTCCACATAAGCTCTTCCTTAGAAGAGGAGGAAACACTTCCCACTTTATTTTACAAGACCAACATTAGCTAGATACCAAATAAACAACCTAATCTTAAGGGAAAAAAAACTAAAGCAAACAAGAAACAGAAGGAACATTTTCTTTAGTTTTCTTTTTAAAAAAATTCTCTTGTATATTTTTGTTGTTTATTCATTTATATGACTCGACTGCAGTAAGAAGGAACATTTTCAAAAAAGCTTTGAGTAATAGGACAAGCTTACAATAGCCACTTGAATTTGACAAAATGAGAGCAAAAAGATTAGAATATAAAGAATGCTGTAGTATGAAACAGGAAATAAGAACCAAAATAATGTCATCAAAATTAAGCAAGCTAAAAACACAAGTTAAATAAGATCAAAAGAGCAGAAAACAAAATCAATATACTTACATTTAGAAAAAGATTGTGATAATTACAGTAATGCAAATAACATGAGGTGCTTAAAGAATCATAAAGAAACTACTAGATATGGAGGACAAAAATAGAGAGCCCAACAAATGTTAACTGATGTCTCAGAAGAAAAAATAACTCAACAGTGGAATAAGAAAAGTATTACAAAGATATATCACAAAATAAGTAACAGTCCTGAAATGAGAACTCAATTGGCACAGTGAATGAACATGAAAATTAAGTATGGACCTCTTTGATATGTATCTTTGTTAAGTTATTGAATTGTAAGAATGAAAAATAATTGTTCAGGTATCAGAAAGCTAATCACCTACAAGGAGAAAAAAAACCATACGGACCTCAGACTTCTGCAAAGCCAAACACCCAGCTAGAAATGAGAACTATCTGCAGTGTGCTGTTCAATATGACAGCTACATCTGTGTTTTGAGCACTTGAAATGTGACCACTTTAAACTGAGTTTCATTCCGAATATAAAATACATCCTGAATTTTGAAGACTTTATGAATAAAAAGGTAAAAATCTCATTAACATTTTATGTTGATTACATGATGAAACATTTATATATATTGGGTTAAATAAAATATATTAGTAAAATTAATCCAATTTAGAAATGGGCAAAGGACATGATTAGATTATTTTCTATGCCACAGTATTAACAATATGACTTAACTGTTGCTCTTTAACTCTTTAATAACCATATACCACAAAACTGGCAGAATTGCTTTTCTTTAAAATAGTCATTGAAAAATATTCTTACCCAGCAAGATTTCATTTAGAACTGAAAATTTTCAGGGTATAAAATAAGCAATTGTGTTACAATTATGATCTGCCATATGAGGTTCAAGCTTCTCCAGATGTTGACCGTGTTTGTGCTTTCTCTGCCTTTTCTCCAAGTTACTTACTGCTTTCCTCTATAGCATTAGCTATTTTTAAAAATAAGCTACTATTTTTGTTTTTCAGCTTAGGCTCTTTGGTCAACTGAGGTCAACTATCCTGGTACCGTGAGATCCCCATTTATATCATCTCACCCTAAAAATATATCCCTCCAAAGTCAAAAGATGTCTTTTTCTTTCTGAGTCATTGTATATTAGTCCGTTCTCACAGTGCTACAAAGATACTACCTGAGACTGAGTAATTTATAAACAAAAGAGGTTGAATTGACTCACAGTTCCTCATGGCTGGAAAGGCCTCAGGAAACTTACAATCATGGCAGAAGGGGAAGGGGAAGCAAGGTATGTATTACACGGTGGCAGGAAAGAGAGGAGCACGCAGGGGAAACTGCCACTTATAAAACCGTCAGATCTCATGAGAACTCACTCACTATCATGAGTACAGCATGGTGGAAACCGCCCCCATAATCCAATCATCTCCCACTAGCTCCCTCCTTCAACATGTGGGAATTACAATTCAGATTATAATTCAAGGTAAGATTTGGGTGGGGACACAGACCCAAACCATATCACACTGTGACAAGTATCTGACTCTTGAAGAATTGTTAACTACTAGAATTTCAGGCAGTAAGAAAGCACTGGGATGAGAAAATCCTTTTGTCAAAATACCTGTATTTCTTGCTGTTTCTGCTTCAGTTTTTCTCCCATGGTTAGAAAAGAGATTTTCCAGTCTTCGGGGTGGAAAGCTGTTCACAGAACACAACAAAATTGAAAGGGGCTTCCCAGTTCTCTGAGAAAAGCAACAACTGGAGCTTTATAAGAAAGTGCCTGTAACTCAATAAACAACTCAGATATTTTTTACAAGGGAGCTTAATTTCCAAAATGATAAATCCATTGCCTGATACTGATTCACATATGAACATAAAACATCTGAACTCTTTATTAAATACTATCTTTCAGTATAATTTCTTTTCTTTTCTTTTTTTGAGTACAGGAGACTTTATTGATGGTACACAAGGTGGGGCTCCCTAGGCCCCTCCCACTTCAGGGTGTTTGCCATGGAACCAGTGAGGCAGGGAGATTCTCACTGTCATGGGGGACTGGGTGTGGCATGGACTCCCCAGCAGCTGAGGGCCTCTCTTTTCCCTCTCGTGCTCTCGCTGGGGCTGGCAGTCTGGGGGCCTTACTCCTTTGAGGCCTACCACCCTATTGCTGTAGCCAAATTCACTATCATACCAGGATATGAACTTGAAAAAGTGGTTGTTGGGGGCAATGCTGATCCAGCATGGAAAGTGGAAGAGTAAATGTCACTGTTAAAGTTGGAGGAGACAGCCTGGTGCTCAGTGTAGCCCAAGATGCCCTTGAAGGGGCCCTCCAATGCCTGCATCACCACCTTCTTGATGTAATCATATTTGGCAGGTTTCTCCAGATGGCAGGTCAGGTCCATGACCGACATATTGGTGGTGAGGACATGCCAGTGAGCTTCCTGTTCAGCTTGGTAGATGCAGCACCAGTAGATGCACAGATGATGTTCTGGAGAGTCCCGCGGCTGTCGCACCACTGTTTCCCAGAGGGGCCATTCCCTGGTCTTGTAGGTGGCAGTGATGGCATGGACTGTGGTCATAAGTCATGATGCCAAAGTTGGCATGGATGACCTTGACCAGGGGTGCGAAGAAGTTGGTGGTACAGGAGGCATCGCTGATGATCTTGAGGCTGTTTTTGAACTTCTCATGGTTCACCCCCATCACGAACATGGGGTCATCAACAGACAGGGCAGAGATGATGACCATTTTGACTCCCTACTCTCAGTATGCCCCAGCCTTCTCCATGGGAGTGGGAGTGAAGATGCCAGTGGGCTCCCCAACATAATGAGCACTGGCATCACCCCATTTGCTTTTGGTGGGATCTTCCTCCGGGAACACGGTGATAGGATTTCCACTGATGACAAGTTTCCCATTCTCAGCCTTGCCAATGCCATGGAATCATACTGGAATATGCAGAGCATGTAGTTGAGGTCAATGAAAGGATCATTGATGACAACAATATCTGCTTCCCAAAGTTAAAAGCAGCCTTGGTGACCAGGCACTCAATATGGCCAAATCCGTTTAGTCTGACCTGCACTTCCACCATGGTGTCTCAGGGACACGGCTGACACTGCATGAGAAAATGTGGCTGCCAAACCGGAGGAGCAGAGAGCCTAATTTCCTTTTAAATACCTTAAGGATCTTGCTTATGAGCCCACACGTGGCCAAGATATCTTAAGCAAGGTTGCCAATCATTCATTAAGTGACAAACATTTCAATTTTACTACTTTTAATAAGTTCTACCATGTGTTTAAATATTGACCTAAATATAGTACTTTGGGCTTAAAAAGAAAAAAACACAATCCTTTTCAACTGAATGATCTACACTATGCTTCACAAGTAATCTCATGTCAATAACCATCCATTTTCTGAAACTCACTAACACTGTAATGGAGCCAGTTTATTGCCAAAAAGGAAAAGAAAAATGAAGCCCTTTGTACTCTACCAATTATTTCAATTTTCTTCTGATCTCAGCATGGCTCTGAGGCTGTGCCATCTTGGTGGCATGGTAAATTATTAGATATTTTCATGATACATTTTACTCAATGTCCATTCAAACATTAAAAAACTAATTTTCTCTCGAAGAGAAAAATCTGTTCTGGACTTCAGATAGGATAATTCTCCAGCATTCCTTAAATAGTGAGGTGCGTCATCAAACCCAAAGCGCCACACACTCAGGGTCCCTACAAAAATAGTCATTTTGTTTGCTCAGCTGCACATAACCCCACATATCTCAGCCCCATGCATGCTTGGTATATTTAGTAACCGCTCAAGTTGCTTATCTTTCTTTAGCATATTCTTTAATAATCCTAAGTAAAAAGTTTCTGCTGCTCCAAAAACACATTCCCATTTTGCTTATGGTCAATGTGTCTTGTGGTTTGAGATTCTTTCGCCCACTCTTACATTCAGGGAAGGTTATCACTTCTCCACAAAATTCCATTAAAGGAGCTTCGATAGGAGATGAGATCATATTTGCAATGCAGGAATTATTGGGCCTCTGCATCCACAAGTATAAGCATTGTGGTTACCACCTGCAGGCAGTATGACAGTCAAAATGACTGGGCAGATGGAGCCTGTTGCTTTGCTCCATCCAGTATGTCTTGCTTCTTACTTCTCAGTCGGTGATAAGGAGAATGAATGAGCAGGGTGATTTTCTATCAGTATATCCAAAATAGCCTGGCCCAGTGGCTCACGTCTGCAATCCCAGAACTTTGGGAGGCCCAGGCAGGTGGATCACTTGAGGTCAGGAGTTCAAGACCGCCCTGACTAACATGGTGAAACCTTGCGTCTGCTAAAAATACAAAAATTAGCTGGGTGTGGTGGCGGGAGCCTGTAGTCCCAGCTACTTGGGAGGCTGAGGTGAGACAATTGCTTGAACGTGAGAGGTGGAGGTTGCAGTGAGCCAAGATTGTGCCACTGCACTCCAGCCTGGGTGACAGAGTGAGATTACATCTCAAAAATAAAATAAAATAAATTCAAAATATTCGTGGTGCTTTCCGGATTTTAAGGAAAAGGGATGTATACCAAATGATTTCTAATAAGGCTTCAACTTATATTTCTAGGAAGACCAAAAGGAGGTGGTTGTATTTGTTCTTTTTTTTTTTTTTTCCTGTGAATAAGGAAGGAAACAGAAAGAAAGGTGTTTAAATAACAACATCTGAAATCTAGGTTCAATTGTGGAAGGATTTTTAAACCTATCAGTTAAATTTAGAGGTATTTTACTGAGTGAGACTTTTATCTTCCCGCATGGCAGGGTTCTAAAAAGTACCTGAATATTCATCAGAAAATAATGATTCACTTTAAACTCACAAATAATTCCTTTAAAAAAATGGACCCAGAAACTTCCTTCTGTCTTCTTCGTTAGTACTGATAGGTTATCTAATATTATGGTTAAAAATACAGACTCTGGAGCCAGACTACCTGAGCTCAAATCCCAGCTCTATCATTTTTGAGTTTGGTCAAGTTATTCAACCTTTTGGTGACTCATTTCCCTCACGTGTAAAAAGAATATTCATAGCACCTACATCAAAATGTTGCTGTAAAAAGTAGATATGTGAATTTAATGTGCCTGGCACATGGGGGGCACTAGATGTGATCGCTGCTAGTTTCAATAAACATCTTACATTTCACTTCTTTTCAGGATAAGATAGTTTAAATTTGACTTTCTTAATTTATTTATAGATGTGGCCTAGAAACACAGCATAAAGACAGAGAGAGAGGAACTTTTCTCTCTTCTTTTTAGGGTCTCACTCTGTTGTCAGGCTGGAGTGCAGTGGCGTAATCATAGTTTATTCCAGCCTGGCACTCCTGGGTTCATGTGATCCTCCTGCCTCAGCCTACTGGATAGCAAGGACTACAGGTGCACACCACCATGCCTGACCTAGGGGAACTATGAAATTCTACTATTGCTACTATTCTGTCATTTCTTATTATCCACCCATTTTATGTATTCACTCATTCATCCATTATTTGGCTTGTATTAAACACCTGTTATGGACCCTGCAAAGCGCAGGACCCTAAGGACACAAAGATAAATAAAATATAATCTTCAAGAAGGAAAAAGGACTCATGAACACAATGTAAGCACATCAGCGTCACGGGTCTTACGGTTTAAAACTAAACAGTGTGTGGTGGAAGTACCAGTGAGGGAGAGACTAATTCTAATCTGGAGAAAGGTTTAAAAAAGTTCAATAGAGAAGGGGATGCTCGGCTGAGTATGAAGAGCAAGGTTGCCCTGCAGTCTGGGTTGGTTTGATGACAGAGTCTTCCATGTAAAGGAGAACGTGGGAATAACCACAGCAGGTAACACAGAGGCCCTCCAACAACCTATTGGACTACACTGACACCAATTCTCCCACATGCTAGATAAAACAGCGTAAGGAAAAATGATTGAGCTTGAAAAAAGAAAACAGAAACAAACCCATAGGTTTAAGCAAGGAAGAGGGAAATTAAATACAGGCTAGTAAATAGAGCTGATGCAACAGCCTCTCACGGGGTTGTCAGGCCTGCTTAGCAATACAGCTGAGTTTTAATGTCCAGGCAGGAAGAGGGTAAGGACACTGACCCATGTGAGATCTGACATGGAGAGCTAGAGCTGAATCCTCTACATTTAGCCAGGCCCATCTGTTAAAAAGGAACTAGAAATACTCCACCCAAAAGCCTAGAGAGGTAGCAAGGAAGTTTGCCATCTACCCGCGACTCAGTAGGGAAAAAACGAGAAATTGCAAACCTAAGGCACACAAGCATGTAAGGCTCCAATTTATATTGTCCCCATGCTATCAAAATCCCAAGCTGGGACATTAACATAGAGCTGGTCTAGGACCCATAAAACCACTAGGAAACTGGCAAAACTGGTACTTCTACTACCTGGGAGTGGGAAGCGAATCAACCCCTGCTGAAAATGATCTCACAATAAAATAAGCAAATAAAACAAAACTCACCCACACACAGGCACACTAGGAAAAAATCCATCTCCACCACCATGAGAGTCAGTAAATGTAACAAGTCTGTAAAATATGGTTTAAATAATTAGGGAGATAAAAAAAGAAATAGAAACAACAATGAAAGAACAGGACAATGATGGAAAATGGCTACAGAAGTTCCTGCAGTGTGGTCCATTTAGATAATTACTTGTAATTCAGCATCTATAAAGCAGGTAGGTGGGGTGGAAAGTGCAGGGTTGTGAGGTAGTTGTGTGTATTGGTGGGGGACTGAGGGGAGAATGGAGAAGATGCATCAAGAGATAAGTCATGGAAGATCGAGAGGATTAAATTAAGTAAGGTCTTGGATGCCACCCTAAAAAAAATTTTATCCTTTAGCAAGGGGAAGACTTTGAAGACTTTTAATTAAAAAGTAATAAACAGATTTGTTTTGGAATATTCTCTTTGGCAGGAATTGGAAAATGATTGAAAGGAAACATGAATAGAGGAATAGAGACCATTCAGAAGATTTTTATAGTAGACCAGATGTCTTTAGTTCCAAGCTGCATTTATAGGCCCGAGAAATATTCAAATATATTTGTTAGAGTTCCAAACCTGGGTTTCACTGAGAACGTCAACAAAATCCCAAAGCTGAAGGACTACTCTCAACTTTACATTTAGGAAATATTGAATACACATGGAGCACTTATGCTGTCAGTTGGTGCACACGTTGGGCATACAGACATGAATAAAATATAGGCTGTGCATTTTCTCTTCTCCAAGTGCTCACAAACTAGCAGGATAATCAGACATGTAAATAAACAATCATTACACAATGTGATGTGGATAGGAGAATTATGAGCAGAGCACTGGGGAGACTGGAGGAAGTGGGATGTTGACAAAGGCGTTAAAGAGAAGAAGGCATTTGAACTGAATCATGAGGGGAGAATAACAACATTCAACATAGGAGGAATTTTGTAATTGCAAAGGCGCATAAATGTGTCATCAATATGATGTAATTCCAGGAAAATCTCATAAACCATATCCTGATGATATGCTGTCATATGAGTCATTACGTGAGATGAGAGGAGTCCAAAACTTGATCCTCAGGGAGCTTTTAACATATAACAATTCTTTATTTTGGAATATCATAATAATTTCAGAGGCATTCCATACTTGCTTTTTTTTTTTTTTTTTTGGAGACAGAGTCTTGCTCTGTCACCCAGGCTGGAGTGCAGAGACTCAATCTTGGCTCACTGCAGCCTCTGCCTCCTAGGTTCAAGAAATTCTCCTGCCTTAGCCTCCCAAATAGCTGGGATTACTGGTGTGCACCACCATGCCCAGCTAATTTTTGTATTTTTAGCAGAGACGAGGTTTCGCCATGTTGGCCAGACTGGTCTCGAATTCCTGACGTCAAGTGCTCCACCCGCCTCAGCCTCCCAAAGTACAGGGATTACAGACGTGAGCCCACCGCACCCGGCCCACACGTCCTCTTATTTTATCCCCACAATAACTCCGTGAGGTTGATCTTATTCTATCTACCTTGAGAGGAAGGAATTTCTTCATAAAATAGTAACTAAAAACAAGACTAACCCATGAGAAATAACAACCATTAAAGGCGAAGCAGTGCGGGTAACAGCAGTGGTAGGTCCAGAGTTGTTCCATCTCACAGGGAAATTCCCAGCTGTTCTGATCAGCTGCATGTAGGCCAGGATACCATGTTTTTCTTCCACGCTTTCTGCCCTGACAAGGCAACCAAGAAGCCTACCTTCTGTTCAGGGGACAAATAAGGACCCAACACTTTTAGATGGTGTGTTGTCCACGGGCATTGAGTCACTGAGGGCAAGTTGATTTCAAGCACAGTGTGGCATTGACTCCTTCCACTTCCTGGCACTCCTTCCATTTCCCGGTCCTCCTTCTACTTCCTGGTCCTCCTTCTACTTCCTGGCTTCACTCCGAAAAATCTGTTGCCTCCACACTTTTCTCTCATATCCCAATCACCCCTCTTCCATCTTCTCCTCACAGTCTCAGCCCCAGGTTC
This sequence comes from Homo sapiens, assembly GCF_000001405.40. Lineage (NCBI taxonomy): Eukaryota > Metazoa > Chordata > Mammalia > Primates > Hominidae > Homo > Homo sapiens. The sequence goes on along the minus strand of NW_025791813.1, from coordinate 310,797 downwards.
AGGTAGTCTTTACAAGCAAGTATCTGAAATGCTTAGATCAATGTGTGATTAGAGTTTACGGGTGCCCCTGGATTCACTGAAGGTAAGAAACAGAAGGAGAGGGAATTACACAGAGATCAGATTAATAGCCAAGATAATCCTGCCATATGTGTTGCAGCAACTTGAGGTCAGAGAAGAAACAGCTAATTTAAACTTAGATAATGTTTCAAGCCAAAAGGGGCTCGCATGGAAAAGATGCATTTGAAAAGAGATAATAGCTAATAAATTTGAGGACTGCTTGGGACCTTGGAGATCTTGGAATCTATCCTCTAACACCCCCACATCCTGGTGGGAAAAGCCATATATGCAAAGATCCAGCCTGGACCACATGGAGCCCTGTGAGGAGATAGACCTACCAGAGGAAGTCTTTAATGCCAAGAAATGGTTGGGAAACAGGCATCAACTCAGGAAGATGCTGATAAATATACACCTGTGAATAATGAACGCTTCCTTTGACAGGCAGAGCCAATATTACCATTTTACTGAGCACATAATTCTTGTCCATTAAAGAGTCCATTCTCTTGATGACCTAGGAGACCATAGGGGAACAGATTGTTCTTAAACGTGTACTATTTTCTTAACATGATATTCATTGTATCTTTCCACTCACAAGTACATTAGAATTAGTGAGGCTTAACTTGCTTCCTCTTAGTAGTAAATTACACATCTTTGATTGAACATCAGATCTTTAGACCACTAGCAAACTATTGAGCAGATTACTATTCCACCACAATATACTATCATTCAACTATGTAAAAAGACTTTGAGTTTTGCCATACACAAATATACTCTAGATGTGAAACTAAGTCAGTAAACCACTCTTAGTTTAGTAGAGGAGAAGCTGCAAACTAGAGCCTTAGAAGCAAATCTGTGTGCCATCTGTTTTGTAAATAAAGTTTCATTGGAACACAGCCGCACCCAGTCATTTACAGATTGTCTATGGCTGCTGTCCTGCTACAACAGCAGAGTTAAGTAGTTGTGAAAGAGTCCAGATGGCCAACAAAGCATAACATATTTACTCTCTGGCCCTTTACTGAAATAGTTTGCCCATTCCTGGAGAGCGTTAGTTTTGTTGCTTGTAAAATGTGATCAGAAATGGATCCTAATCTTACCTATTTCTCTCTATTCAATAAACATTTATTGAGCACCTACTATGTGATAGGCACTTTGGAAGAGGGGTAACAAAGAAGAGTAAGACATGGTTCCTTCCGAGAACATTGTAAGGACTGAGAAAGAGGTAACACGGATAATTTCAAGGTGCATATGAAGTACCGAGATAAGGGTATGCATTAATACTATCAAGTCAAAATAGGAGAACTTAGTAGAAACTGGCAAAGGCATTATGGAGAGATGAGACCAGAGCCAAGTGATAAAAAATGAGTAGTATTTTTTATGTTGCATAACCTAACAATATTGTATTGTATACTTACAAACCTACTAAGAGTATTTTTCATGTTAAGGATTCTTATCACCAAAAATATAATAATAATAAATGAAGAGGGTAGATGGAAACTTTCGGAGGTGACGAATAGGTTTGTACCATAGATTGTGGTGATGGTTTCATGGGTATATACTAATCTCCAAACTCATTAAGTTGTACACATTAACTATGTATGGCTTTTTGTATAGCAGTCTTACCTCAAGTAATTTTTTTTAACGAGTAGGAATTAACCAATGAAAGTGCTGAAAAAAAATTGGGAGGATTCAAGGGACTTTTTTGCAGCCAAAGGCCAAAAATGGACTCTTTTTGCATTTCTGCTGAAACAATCTTTACTAAGTTCATGGATGCCTCCGGCTGCAAGGGAGCGGGAGGAGTGTCTTGTATATTACACGCTTTGCATGGTTTAGTTTATAATGAGAACTTGCTGCTTAAAGACTAATGAAGACAAAGAAAATAATGAAAAGCTTTAAAATTAAACTTGTGTGAAAGCTTTAGTCTCCAGGAAACTCTAGTCATTTTTAAAAAGCCACTTAGGATTTACTGATAAATAATTCTACTTGCAAAGAATAGAAACATCGTTTATTAAATCTGGACAATATTTACTATATAATAGGGTATGAAATAAAATTTTTCCGTTATCTTATTTTTGGCTGAGCCCCCAAAACCAATTCAATAGATGTCAAATAACCTCCTAGAAGGAATTCTTTATAGGCTTGTCTATGTGGTGTGAACTGAAGAGAGCAAAGAAGGTGTACATTTGGTGCCTGAGAGATACCACATAAGAATGTCTTTTTACCCCCAACAAGAACACTATCGGGAATTACTTTTTCTTGGCAGTGAGTAGAAAGTGAAGCCCAAAGGTCTAGGACAAAAGACACACAAATGTTGTCAGGATTTACAAGGCATGGGAGATCCAGAACATGGTAAACGGCATTGGAAGGTTGAAATGGAGTATACGGTATAGAAGAAGGGTCAGGGGACAAATAGGAAGTGGAAAGACTAAGGGCTTGTTTTCCCATACACAGGTGTGTCTAAGTGTCTGTATGTGTGTCTCTGTGTGTGTCTATGTGTGTCTGTGTGTCTGTATGTGTCTATGTGTGTATCTGTGTGTATGTGTCTACGTGTGTGCCTGATGTGTCTGTGTCTGTATGTCTGTGTGCATGTGTGTGTGCCTGTGTCTGTGTATATGTCTGTGTGTCTGTATGTCTGTGTATATGTCTGTGTGTCTGTGTGTGCATGTGTGTCTGTATGTGTGTCTCCATATGTGTCTGTGTGTCTGTGTGTGTCTGTGTGTGTCTGTGTGTGTCTGTGTGTGCCTGTGTATATGTGTGTGTCTGTATGTGCCTGTGTCTGTATGTATCTGCGTGTGTGTCTGTGTGTCTGCAGTGTCTGTACTTGTGTCTGTGTGTCTGTGTGTGTGTCTATGTGTGTCTGTGTGTGTCTGTATATATGTCTGTATGTGTTTGTAGTGTCTGTATTTGTGTCTGTGTGTCTGTGTGTGTCTGTCTGTGTCTGCATGTGTGTCTGTGTGTCTGCAGTGTCTGTACTTGTGTCTGTGTGTGTGTCTGTGTGTGTGTCTGTATGTTATATGTCTGTATGTGTGTTTGTATTGTCTGTATTTGTGTCTGTGTGTGTGTCTGTGTGTGTGTGTGTGTGTCTGTGTCTGTATGTGTGTCTGTGTATGTGTCTGTGTGTATATGTCTGTGTATGTGTCTGTGTGTGTGTCTGTGTCTGTATGTCTGTGTCTGTGTATGTGTCTGTATGTGTCTGTGTGTGTCTATGTGTTTGTGTGTTTGTGTGTGTGTGTGTGTGTGTGAGAGCATGTATCTATGCCTCCATGTGTGGCAGCAGCAAGGAATGCAGAGGGTTGCAGGGGCAAAGCAGGTGGGATATTGCCAAAAAGAGGAAATCAACTATTTTGCATGAGTGTGTAAGAGTTCAACTTTTCCACATTTCAATGTCTCTTTATCCATTTTCCAAAATCATCTTAATTCTATAATTGAAAGGTAAATATATTTAAATCCCATGAAGGTACTTCCACATATTAGTGTACATCGTGGGCTATTCTGAGGTGATTCATGCTTCAGAGAAGATGAATATTGGTATTTTTTTGCATCTTAGTATGGAGGGTTAGGAAAAATATTTTAAATGTATTTATAGTCCTTGTTCTTTCTAAATCGTGTACCTCACAATTTTGAGATTTTTCCAACCAGAGACAATTAATTAGTTCAGTGGAATTATCATGGTGCACCAGTTTCAAAACTTAAAGAGAGTTTTAGAATATCTGTGTATGATTTGCTAGGAGGTGACTTGAACCTCATCTACTTCACCTTCCTTCAGTTTCCATTCAGGAGGAGTACAAAGATTAATAGGGATTTCTTTGTATGTTTGTCCCACCTCCCCCTGGGAGAGTAGCTGGAGCGCTTCTCTCCCATTCTCATATTGCCTTAGTTAGTTCAGACTGCCATAACAAAAATGTCATAGGCTGAGTGGCTTAGGCAACAGAAATTTATTTCTCACAGTTTTGGAGGCTGGAAGTGAAGACCCAGGTGCAGGCTGAATCAGTTCTTGGTATGTCCTCACATGGTGGAGAGAGAGGAAGCAAGCGCTCTCCTGTCTCTTAAAAGGGCACCAGTCCCATCATGAGGGCTCCACCTAATTACCTCCTGAAGTCTCCACCTCCTCATACCATCATCTTAGGGATTACAGTTTCAGCATATGAATTTAGGCGGGGCGGGGGACACACGTTCAGTCCATAGCGCATGCCAAATGAGAGTCTTCAGAATAACTGCTTATAGAGACTGGGGTGTCTGGCAGGAAGGGAGTAAGACAGCTTACCACTACCACACCCTTCCCATCGTCCCCCACCCCTAGCCAGCTGGAGCCAGCTAAATTGGGGCAGGTTCTGGGCCCCAGCAACAGCACGGGCCCTGAGAGGAACTGGAGTTTCCTGGACTTACAGGGACACAGGACAGGTGTCTGATTCTCATCTGACAAAGTCTAATGAGAGGCCAGCTAGAGCTCCCTTCTAAGCAAAGTGAAGAGAAGCGGCCTACACCTTCATACCCTGTCTGAGGCCAGGTGCTGAGTGCTCTATGGGTTAAATGGAGACTATGGAAGGTAACCGTCTTGGGAACACTTGAAAGGGCCATATAGAAGGCATCTGCCTGGCAGGGCAAAGCAACCCCTAAAGGAGAGGCTATGGGATCTGATCAGATGAGGTTGCTAAGCAAGGCTCATAAGCAGTCATCTGATCACATGGCTTACTTCACAACCAAGTCTTTCATACTCAAAGCCAGAGAACAAGGTAGTGAGAGGACCCTTTGGGCATTTTCAGAAACTACTTCATGAGAGAAAGTGTGGAGGGTGCATTTGGGCATCTGCCTCCCAGAGGGCTGGAAACAGCCAGTTGTAACAGTGCCAGCCAACTAAGACTGTGCTATGCCTCTAGTCTTCCCACTCTCCTGCATTCTACCCTAGAGGCGTGAGGAACCGTGGATGAGAGAAAAGGTGGTCAGGAGGACCAGAGAAGCTGACCGCAACACCCCTTCCCCACTGTAGGCTTCCAGGACCCAGGCACCTGAGCTGTGGGGGGATGGGAGAAGGTTTAAATTGGACAAGTGATTGAAAGTTTGATGTTACCCTAGGTTGGACTTTTTGTTTCCAATTTTTTAAATTGTGTTAAAATACATATAACTAAAATTTACTGTCTTAGTCATTTTTAAGTATATGTTCAGTGGTATTAAATACATTTATAATGTTGTACAACCATTATCACCATCGATCTCCATAACTCTTCAGTAAAACTAAAATTCTGTACACATAAACCACTAACTCTCCACTTTCCTCTCCCCCTTGCCCTTGGGAAACACCATTCTACTGTCTCTATCAATTTGCCTACCCTAAGTGCCTCATATAAGTAGAATCAAACAATATTTGTCTTTTTATGACTGGTTTATTTCATTTAACATAATATCCTCAAGTTCATCCATGTTGTAGCATATTTCAGAATTTCTTTCCTTTTTAAGGCTGAGTAATATTCCTTGTATGTATTTACCACATTTTGCCTGTCTAGCCATCAATCAATAGATAATTGTGTTGCTTCTACATATTAGCTATTGTGAATATAATGCTGCTATAATCATGGGTGCACCACTTTCATTTCTTTGGGTATATACTCAGAAGCATAATTACTGGATCATATGGTAATTCTATTTTTTAATTTTTCGAGGATCCACCACCATACCATTTTCCACAACAGTGTACCATTTTGCATTCCTACCAATAGTGTACAAGCGTTCCAATTTCTCTACATCCTCACCAACACTTGTGATTTTCTGTGTTGTTTTAAATAGTAGCCATCCCAATGAGTGTCAAGCGGGATCTCCTTTTAGTTTTGATTTGTATCTCTCCAGTGACTGTTAATGTTGAACATCTTTTCACATGCTTATTGATCATTTATACACCTTCTTTGAAGAAATGCCTATTCAAGTTCTTTGCCCATTTGAATCAGGTCATTTGTTGTTGTTCAGTTTTAGGAGTTCTCTATATATTCTGGATACTAATCAACCCCTTCTGTGAGTTGCAAATGTTTTCTCCCATTCTGTGGGTTGTCTTTTTAGCCAGCTGATATTTTCTTTGATGTCCAATTTTAAAATTTTTCATGAAGCCCAATTTGTTTATTTCTTCTTTTATGGCCTTTGCCTTTGGTATAACAGCCACCAAAAGATTGTTTTCAAATCCAATGTTGTGAAGCTTTTGCCCTGTGTTTTTTCTAAGATTTATATAATTTTAGGTTTTACAAATGGATCTTTGATATACCTTGAGTTAATTTTTATATATGATGTTAGGTAAAGATCCAACTTCATTATTTTACATGTGAATATTGTTTTCCCATGGGCTGGACTTTTTAATACCTGAAAATGGGATCTTTAAGACAAATTTATCCATAGACAGGAAAGAGAAATCTGAGAGGGGGTTTGAAAGAACAAGGCTGACTTCTACTTGGCCTCCTATGTCCAGCCCATTCAAAGAATTGGTTCTATAACCAAAGCACAATTATCAGGTAATGAAACTGGTTTCCTGTGTGGTATATAAACCAACCCTGAAGGAAATACTCCAAGAAAAAAACAGTTTTAAGAAACTCCATTAGCAAGACATTTAAAAATAAAGAAAGAGCTCAAAGGGAGCATTTTGGAGGCTATCACATGTACTAGTTCATTATCTAAAGGCTTTGCCAGTGGTATGATGACAGGTGGGCAGTGTGTGCCTCAAAAAAATGGGTCACCTTATTTAGACTAATCTCAGATTTTAAACATCAGAAAAGGACAAAATATTTAATCTTTATCACAAAATAAATCAAAGGGCTCAGTAAAGTCATTTAAAAAGAACATAAATCACAATAGAAGAAAACAGAAGATCCAGACATATGGCACCAGCAATGATTTTACCTCCTTCCCTGTGTTCATAATTTCCTCCACCTTTTTTCTATATACAAGCCTGCCTCACAGACCACATGTGTGAGGATATTTTGGACTTTATATCAAGCATTTCTATGACTCATATAACATCATCTAATGGACCACTTATGTCATTATTTCCAAGAAAATAATCTTTAAGGAATGGCACTAAAAATTTGTTCTCATCTAAGGTATTAAAGGTTTTTTTCTATATACATAAACTAGAAAATAGTATTAAGACATAAAAATAATGCTTTAAATTATATGTTAACACCATAAAGAAAATATTCCTAGGGTTGCATTATCCAACCCTGTAGCCACTGGCCACATGCAGCTATTTAAACTTAAATTTTAATTAATTAAAGTTTTAAAAAATTAAATATTCATTTAGTAATGGCCACCACATTGGACAGCATATACACAGAAAATGTTTATCATTATAGAAAGTTTTTTTTTTTTTTTTTTTAGAGACAGAGTCTCACTCTGTTGCCCAGGCTGGAGTGCAGTTTCATAATCTCAGCTCACTGCAATCTCTACCTCCCAAGTTCAACTGATTCCCCTGCTTCAGCCTCCCAAATAGTTAGAAATACAGGGATGCACCACCAACCCCAGCTAATTTTTGTATTTTTAGTAGAGATGGGGTTTCCCATGTTGGCCAGGCTGGTCTTGAACTCCTGACCTCAGGTGATCCACCCACCTTGGCCTCCCAAAGTGCTGGGATTACAAGCATGAGCCACCACACCTGGCCTATTACAGAAAGTTGTTTTGGACAACACTGTTCTAGAGTTTCAGAGCCAATCACTTTGGAAAATTTAAAAAACTAGTGTTTTCTGTGCATGACTAGGTTCTTAATATCTTAATGCTCAAGCAATTTGAGCTTTTGTAAAGTAAGAAGATACGTGATGTCACAGGCTTGTAAAGGCAGAATATTATTCCTCAATTTAGAGACAGGCTGAGTTCCCTTGATACTTTATTTTTAAATTGCTGTATTAAGGCCAAGAGACAGGCAAAAATTCAAAGTTGCAAAACTTCTTCCTAGAAGCCTGAATGCCCTTCAGATTGCTTGCAAACCATGAAAATTCAGCACTGAGGGATTTAAAATGTTGAGTAGTGATCTCATGCACTTAGCTTTTTCACAGAAGTTTTCATGGTTTCTCGAATAAACACATAATGCACTTCTTTGTGTCACATTTTTTCCCATATTTGTCATTTTCACTTCCCTTTTACATGATTCATCTTTTAATGTATTAAGGTTACATTATTTACTGGCATGCATGGATATTTGTGAGAGTACTGAAGAAGGGAAAACTTACGGGAACTTTTTTTAAATTCTGTTATCTAGAAACTCATTCTTTACTTGGAACAAGGAAAATTAGGAGTTTTGAATCGTTGACATTTTACTATTCAGCTTCCTTTCCCCACCAAAGAACAAGCTGAATAAATCTTTGTCAGAATTTAAATTTGTCTTTAACTGCTTCCTCCGGAAACATGCAGAGTATTAGATCATCAAAAATTACATTCATTTGTCTAATGAAAGCATGTCCAAATCTCAGAAGCTTTATCTAATGTCTAACCAGAATATGTGATTTCATCTGCCTACAGTGGAAAAATCTATATGTAGCCTAAAAATTCTCATTATGATATTCTTAAAACTTTATCATAGGGAGACTGGAAGGAGCAAGTACAGTCTCTTTACAAGCAATGTGGCTACCAATCCCCAGCAACACCTCAACCCCATCCTGGAGCAGTGGCGCCGTTAAGGAAGCGTCTTTGCTAGAGAAATCTATACATGGGCTTTTTGGTGCTTATGGTAGCTCTCACTATATGGTTCTGACAGTCTGACTTCTGAAACTATTGTGTGTCTACAGCCATACCACTCTGCACGTGCCCGATCTCATCCGAAATTAAACTATTATGATAATGAATGTTATTTTTTGTATAGGCAGAACTTAGATTTTTAACTCTTAGCAACCTTTATTAAATGGAAAGGGATTGTTAACACACCCAGCCCCGTACCTTGTCCCTTCCTATAACTAAAGAAAGACCTAGAGAGACTGACTTTGGAAAACTAATTGACAGTTGCTATGTTTTGAATGTCCCCACAAAAACTCATGTTGACATTTAATTGCCATTGTAAGGGTATTGGAAGGTGGAACCTTTATTTAAGAAGTTAACACTATAAAGAAAATATAAGGGCTCTGCCCTCGTGAATGGATTAATGCCAGTATATTGGAAGTAGGTTAATTATCACAAGAGTGGGCTTCTGATAAAAACCTAAGTTCGGCCCCTATTTCTGTCTCTGTCTCATGGGCTCAATCCCACCTTCCACCCTTTCACCATGGGATGCCACTCACCAGATGCCAGTGCCATTTGGACTTCCTAACCTCCAGAACCATGATCTAAATAAACCTTTCTTTATAAATCATCCATTCTGTTATAGCAGCAGAAAACAGATGAAAACAAGTGTTGAACAATTTACGGAATTTTTAAAATTTTGTAAAGTTTACTGTGGTCTTCTGAGAAATTTCCTAGGTCCAGGCATACTATTGGCATTCAAAAAAACCACATATAATATTAGAATTCAGGGAGGGAAAAGAGGAACAAAATTTTGATGGAAGTGAATGGTAAAGATTATGAATTTCCAGGAAGAGAAGTATTGCAAAGAATTCCAGATGGGGCAGGCACCGAAATGAGGTAGAAGAAATGAACCTAAGATATGTCAGGAAGAGGAAGAGTACAAAAGGCTGTAATCAACGCTTTTCAGACTTTAACATGCCTAGGAATCACATTTTGCTACAATGCAGCCTTAGATGAAATAAATCTGGATTAGGGCCTGAGACTCTGCATTTCTAGCAGGCACTCAGGTGATTCCAATGCTCTGCTTTCATAGGCCACATTTTGAGTAACAAAGCTGCAGTCAACTCAGTTACCATAATCACGAATAACTCACATTTATATTGATCCTTTGTTGCACAGGACGGTCTCTCACATAATTTACCTCTTTCGATCATTAGATGAATAAAACAGGATTCTGTGAATATCCAGTCTTATTTTATCTCTGTTATGGAAACACAGGGAGGCTCTGAGGACTCAGCATTGCACCACACTCCTGGATTTTTAAGAAACTCTCCTTTTAACAAGTTCTAACGATCATCTCAAATATTCTACACATCCTTTCCCAAACTGGATGTGATTAGATATGCCAGTGGTAAAAATGTTTCATGCTCAAATAAGTTTGAAAACGTGAGTTACACACAGTTAGATGTTTCTTTACTATAAGACTCTCAGAGTGTTCGATACGAATGTACATCAGAAGTCTTTGAGAGATTTGACCACAGACACAATGCTTTCTTTGTAGTAAACCTATTAACACCTGCTGGAGAAACTTCCCTACATTGTGAACAGTGAGGTTTTGACTACTAGTTCTGAGGTCTCATTGTTCTTAACTTCATAGATATTACTTTGACCAATGTAATCAGTGACCTATGCTTAAATATAAGTCATTGCTAAGAGAGTTTTCAAAGCTGGCCAGGGCATCCACTTAGAAACAATGATCACCTTTGCACGAGTTGATTAGATGGGGTTGAGCAGAGAACAGCTACTGTAGAAAACGCTGGAAAGAGCATCATGCTGAGAATGTACAAAGGACACATCATACAATTAGGATACTGAAAACCATCATTTTAAATGGTGCACCATAGCTGTAAACCGTAAGGAAATGATAGTGGCAAACAGGACCAGTCTACTGTGTACCAAACAAACAGAATAGCTCATCATAAGTAAGCAGAGAAGTGCCCAACCCAAGGACTGAGGTTTATACAAAAGTTTTCCAAGCACAGCCCATAGTGTCCTGTAATCACTGCCTTTGTGAGTGAAGAGAAAGACCAAAAACTTTCCAGCACAAGACTTCGGAAGTCTGACCTCACCCTTCCCCACTATGATAACTAGGAGAGAAGTTTCTAACTATATAAAATATATGAAACTCAAAGCTACAAAAAATACCTCTCTGACCTTTCTTTGGACTGGTTATGTTAAAATAAATTGTGAATTGAGGTTTTGCCTACAACAAATGGACATAGAGCAATGATAAGCTACTCTCTATAATGAATTCTGAGTAAGAAGAAATGAACTCTTTTTATTCTTTTTTTTCTTTTTTTTTTTTCGAGACGGAGTCTCACTCTTTCACCCAGGCTGGAGTGCAAGTGGTGCGATCTCGGCTCACTGCAAGCTCCGCCACCCGGGTTCACACCATTCTCCTGCCTCAGCCTCCGGAGTAGCTGGGACTACAGGCGCCCGCCACCACGCCCGGCTAACTTTTTGTATTTTTAGTAGAGGCGGGGTTTCACCGTGTTAGCCAGGATGGTCTCAATCTCCTGACCTCATGATCCACCCACCTCGGCCTCCCAAAGTGCTGGGATTACAGGCGTGAGCCACCGTGCCCGGCCGAACTCCTTTTTTTATATAAAAAATAAAAAGAGCTTTAACCAAACTGACTTTTTCCTTTTACACACAGAAATAATTGATGCTTTCAAAGTTTAGGAGAAAATTCTAAATATGCTGTCATGATAGCTAATGGAGTTTCCTTGATATCTGTATTAGTCTATTCTCACGCTGCTAATAAAGATGTACATGACACTGGGTAATTTATAAAGGAAAGAGGCTTAATTGACTCACAGTTCCACATGGCTAGGAAGGCCTCACAATCATGGTGGAAGGCCTGTGAAGAGCAAAGTCACATCTTACACGGCGACAGGCAAGACACTGTGTGCAGGGGAACTCCCATTTATAAAACCATCAGATCTCGTGAGACTTATTCACTACCACAAGTACAGTAGGAGGGAAACTGACCCTATGATTCAATTATCTCCACCTGGCACCCGGCAGGGGTTATTACAATTCAAGGTGAGATTTGAATGGGAACACAGCCAAACTATATCATATCAATATCAAATTTCCATCTCATAGAAAATTGATATACAATGGTTCTCAAAATTCAGCTGCATCAAAATCACCTAGAGAGCTTGCTGAGATCTACACTGGAGTTTCCAATTCAGTAAAACTGGGATGGGGCCTAAGGATCTGCATTTCTAACAAGTTCTCAGGTGATACTGATGCTGCAGTTCTGGGGGCCACATTTGAATACAGCTGGAATGGGATGAGCCTTAGCAATCAGCTGATCCATATCTTTACCTTACAGATGAGGAAGCGGGGCATAGAGAAGAATTTATCACTGAAGGCGAGGCCAGCAACAGCTACCTTGAACACCCCTGCACTCTGCTCTGTCCTTTTCCACTGTTTTAGTCACATGTCCAGGGTCTCAAAATGTTATACTGCTTTTCCCTACACTCTCTTCTCCATTCCCTTATCAGGAAAAACTACAAAAACTTTATTGTGGGGAAAAAAGATTACCAGGACTCTGTCTGTCTATCCTTCTAGTGTATCTTTGCCTTGTACTCCCTTTCAGCTGCTTCACTACTCTCAATATTGTCAAAAACTAATAACACAAATGATGCTTGCCTGAAGAAATGAAAGTGAATTGGGCCCTGTGAAATACAATTGATTATTGGGCTGTAGGTATTAACCCAATATGCCTGTAAAATGATTTCAGCATTCTCAATTCCCTCTGTGTGTATGTGTATTTAATTCTCTTTTGAATGTATAGTATCTTAATATGCTCCACAATAAATACAGAGTTAAATAAAGTCTTTGGCGTGTGTTCATTTACTATTTTTATAATTTTTGTGTCATGGTTTATGTTTTTTAAAAAAACTTACCTTTTAACATGCTAAAAAAGACAGTACTTCTTGAATGGTAGAATAAAGACCATCAAAAATCTGCTCATCCATAAAAGCAATGAGATCAGTGGCAAAAATTGTCAAAATTAACTTTTTCAGAACTCTGGAAATTAACTAAAAGATTGCAAAATGTCAAGGACTGTTTAGTCAGGAAAAAATGGCTGAATCTTGGTAAGACCAGTGAGCTATTTTGTGGCATTTTAACTTGACCTAATCCCTCTCCCCCACCCCAATGCCATGGTAACATTGAAAACCAACAGCCTCGCAACTACGGTAGCTATGAAAACCAGCAGCCTGGCAGCCACTGGAGAGGGTCAAATGGATATGGATATAAAACTTCCCCCAAATCTCATAATTGTTAAGACTTGACCTGTGTGGCAGTTCACTGAAAATATCCGTTCTCAGGGCTTTTCTGTATTTGACCTAACCCAGAATTTGCTCTGTGCCAACAGCCCTATTCCTAGGACATTTGTTTAAAAAAAAAAATAGGTGGCAATTATTTCACATTGCAGCTGCCTGAGACAATGTTACTGGTTGGAGCTAACAGGAAACCGACCAAAACACAACCACCAAGGAATTAAGATGTCCATAAGAGACTTTGGAAAGCAAACACATATTCCTGCAAATACAGAAGGTCATTCACATGTGCAGGGCTGTGTACCTGCACAGGAAAGACCTGAGAAGATCCTAATTCCTCACCTCTGGCTTACCTTAAGATTACATACAAGCAGGAAGAAAGTTTAAGGCAAAATTGTAAACTGCCTGTAGGAATATTAAAGATATACCCCAACCCACACATATATCCCATCACCCAAAACTGGGAAACTTATTGGTTCAAGGAATGTAAGGAAATCTCTGTCTAATCATTAGCTGACTACCAATCTAACCAGGCAGAGACTTCAATGGCTGCATATAAAAGAAGAATATAGACTTTACAGAATTAGTGCAGGAAAGTCACTAAAAAAACGAATAAACAAACTAATAATAGTAAGAAAAAATAGCAACAATAACAACAAACTTTGGGGAGAAGAGAGCATCCAATTTCCCGAATAGACATATTATTTAAAATGTCCAGTTTTTAACAAAAACAGAGAGACACATACACACACAAAAAAAAGAATGTCCCGTGCAAAAGAAAACAAGCAGTAAATTCTCCTTGACAAAGTCCAGACTTTGGATTTAGCAAACAAAGATTTTATTTTGCTTTTTGTTTTATAATTTGATGTTTTATTTTAGACTCAGTGGGAACATGTGCAACTTTGTTGCATGGGTATACTGTGTGATACTGAGGTTTGGGGTATGAATAATCCTGTAACCCAGGTAGTGAGTATAGTACCCAATAGTTGTTTTTTTTTTTTCACCCTTGTCCCCCTCCCTCCCTTCCTCTTCTAGTAGTCCCCGGTGTCTATTTCTGCCATATATATGTCCGTGAGTACTCAAAAAACAATGACCTTTAATCATCTAATGAACTAAAGGAAACCACATCTAAAAAATTAAAACAAAGTGTGAGAATAATGTCTCATCAAACAAAAATATCTATAAAAAGATATAAATTATTGTTTTAAGAGAATAGAAATTCTGAAGTTGAAAAGTATAACTGAAATTAAAATCACTAGATGGGATTAACAACAAATTTGAACTCATAGAAGAAAGAATCAGTGAACTTGAAGATAGGCCAATTGTGATTATCCAGGACCAGAAAGAAAAAAGATTAAAAAAAAAAATAACAAGCTTCAGAAACCTGTGGGACACTATCAAGCATACAAACATATGGCAGTCCAAGAGAAGAAAAGATAGATAAAAAGACAGAAATATCATTTGAAAAAATAATGGCCAAAAATTTTCCAAATTTGGTCAAACATATTACACAGTCAAAAATCTAAATAAATTCAAGTAGAATAAACTCAAAGAGATCCACAGTGAGTTACATTGTAATCTGACTGTAAAAAGACAAAGAGAAAGCAAGAATCTTGAAAGCAGCAAGAGAGAAATGGCTTACCACATACAAAGGATTCTTAGTAGGATTAACTGTTGGCTTTTCATCAGAAACCATTGAGATCAGAAGGAAATGGGAGTTAATATATTCAAAGTGCTGAAAGAAAAAGATTGTCAATCAAGAATTCTATATTAAGCAAAAGTGTCTTTCAAAAATGAAGGAGAAAGTAAGATATTCCCAGATAAACTAAAACTAAAATAATTCATCAGTAGCAGACATGCCATATAAGAAATACACATCACTCCAATCACTAAAATCAGAAATGATAAAGAACATCATTAAGTTGTTTAAAGAAATAAAAGGATTATAAGAAAATACTACAAACAATTGTGTG
Organism: Homo sapiens; assembly: GCF_000001405.40. Taxonomy (NCBI): domain Eukaryota; kingdom Metazoa; phylum Chordata; class Mammalia; order Primates; family Hominidae; genus Homo; species Homo sapiens. Next base: position 295,733 of record NW_025791813.1, on the reverse strand, counting down.
CTAACAAATTAAATAACCTAGATGAGGTAGCCAAATTCCTAGAAAGATACAAACTACCAAAACTGACTCAGAAGAAACTGAATATTCAAATAGACCTATAATAAGTAAAGAGATTGAATTAGTAATCCAAATACTTCTCACAAAAAGTCCAGGCTCAAGTGATTTCAATAATGAATTCCACTGAATAATTTAGAAAGAATGAAGATCACTCACAAACTTTTCTGAAAAGGTGGAAGAGAAAGGAACATTTCCCAGCTAATTCTATGGAGGCCATATCACCATAATACCATAATCAGATATAGATATCAAAAGAGAAAAAAACACAGACTAATATCTCTTATGAATATAGATGCAAAAATCCTCAACAAAAGTGTAGCAGGCCATATTGAACAACATATAAAATGGATTATACACCATGACTAAGTGAGATTATCCCAGGAATGCAAGGTTGGCTCAACATAAGAAATCTATCAATGTAATATAGCATATTAGTAGAATTAAAGATAAACCCACATAATCATCTCAATACATTTTCTTAAAGCAATTGATGAAATCCACCCCCATCCCCATAGCAAACTAAGCATAGAAGAGAAGTTTCTCAACCCAATAAAGGCCATCTATGAAAAACCTCTAGCTAACATGATGCTTAATGGTGAAAGAAAGTTCAGGAACAAGATAAGCATGTCTACTCTCACCACTTCTAGTCAACATTGTATTGAAGGTTCTAGCCAGAGCAGCTAGGCAGAAAGAAAGAAATAAAAGGTAAGCACACATATATCCCATCAGCAAAGACTGGGAAACTTAGTGGTTCAAAGCATTTAAGAAAATCTCTGTCTAATAATTAGCTGACTGCTAATCAGACTAGGCAGAGACTTCAGTGGCTGCACATAAAAAAGAATACAGACTTGACAGATTACAAAGGAAGAAGTAAAATTGTTTCTATCTGCAGATGATGTAATCTTGTATATATAAAATCCTAAGGAAAATCTACCAAAAAACTATAAGAATCTAACAAACCAGCATAATAAGGTTGCAGAATAGAAGATCAATTTACGGAAATGAATTTTATTTCTATAAAATAGCAATAAACAATAAGAAATACAATAAAAAACAATTTTGTTTGCAAAAGTATAAAAGAAAACCTCAGGAATAATTTTTTTTAAGTAAAAGACTTGTACACTGAAAATCTGTAAAAGATCATTGAAAGAAGTTAAAGAAGATCTAAATAAATGGGAAGATACCTCATGTTCATGGATCAGAAGACTTACTTCTGTTAAGGTGGCAATATTTCACAAATTAATCCACATATTCAACTCAATCCTTCTCAAAATCTCAGCTATGTTTTTTCAGAAATTGACAAGCCAATCCTAAAATTTGTATAAGAACTCAAAGGAACCACAATAACCAAAACAACCTGGAATTGTAGGACTTAGGCTTATCAGTTTCAAAACTTATTAGAAAACTGCAGTGACTAAGATAATGTAGTACTGGCATAAGCATAGACATATAGATCAACAGAATAGAATTGGATTCAGAAATAAACTCTTACATTTATAGGTCAAATGATTTTTCAGCAAAGATGTCAAGAAAATTTAATGAAGAAACAGTAGTATTTTCAACAAATGGTGCTGGGACAACTAAATATCCATATGCAAATGAATAAATTTGAAGCCCTACTTCACACCATATACAAAAATTCATAGACCTAAACATAAGGGGTAAAACTATAAAAGTCAACCATAGACCTAAATATAAGAGGTAAAACTATAAAAGTCTTAGAAGAGGCCGGGCATGGTGGCTCATGCCTATAATCCCAGCACTTTGGGAAGCCAAGGTGGGTGGATCACCTGAGGTCAGGAGTTTGAGACCAGCCTGGCCAACATGGTGAAACCCCATCTCTATTAAAAATATAAAAACTAGCCAGGCATGGTGGTGGGTGCCTGTAATCCCAGCTACTCAGGAGGCTGAGGCAGGAGAATTGCTTGAACCCAGGAGATGAAAGTTGCAGTGAGCCGACATGGTGCCACTGCACTCCAGCCTGGGTGACAGAGTGAGACTCTGTCTCAAAAAAAAAAAAAGTCTTAGAAGAAAGCATAAGAGTAAATCTTCATGACATTGGGTTAGGCAATGGTTTCTTAGATTTGTGAATCCAAAGGTACCTGAGACAGGTCTCAATAAATTTAGAAAGTTTATTTTGCCAAGGTTAAGGATGCACCCGTGACACAGCCTCAGGAGGTCATGATGGCATGTGCTCAAGGTGGTCGAGTATAGCTTGCTTTTATCTATTTTAGGGAGACATAATACATCAGTCAATACATGTAAGATGTACTTTGTTTCGATCTAGAAAGGCAGGACAACTTGAAGTTGGGCTTCCAGCTCATAGGTAGATTTTAAAGATTTTCTGATTGGCAATTGGTTGAAAGAGTTAAGCTATTATCTAAAGACCTGAAATTAATAGAATGGAATGTCTAGGTTAAGATAAGTGATGGTGGAGGCCAAAGTTTTATCATGCAGATGAAACCTCCAGGTAGGAGGCTTCAGAGAGAATAGATGGTAAATGTTTCTTGTAAGACTTAAGGTCTGTGTTGATGTTAGTGCTGGAAGGCTTTTCCTGAATTCCAAAAGGGAAGAGGATATATAATGAGGCACTTCTGACCCTCCCTTCCCATCATGGCCTGAACTAGTTTTTCAGGTTAACTTTGGAATGCCCTTGGCCAAGAGGAGTGGTTCATTCAGATGGTTGAAGGGCTTAGAATTTTATTTTTGGTTTACAGACTGATACTGTTTGGCTGTGTCCCCAGCCAAATCTCATCTTGAATTGTAGCTCCCATAATTCTGTTGTGTTGTGGGAGGGACCCAGTGGGAGACACTTGAATCATGGGGGGAGCTTCCCCCATACTATTCTCATGGTAGTGAATAAGTCTCATGAGAGCTGATGGTTCTATAAGGGGAAACCCCTTTTGCTTGGCTCTCACTCTTCTCTTGTCTGCCGCCATGTGAGATGTGACTTTCACCTTCTGCCATGATTGTAAGGCCATCCTAGCCACATAGAACTTTCGAGTCCAATAAACCTCTTTCTTTTGTAAATTACCCAATCTCGGGTATGTCTTTTTTTTTTTTTTTTTTTTTTTTTTTTTTTTGAGATGGAGTCTAGCTCTGTTGCCCAGGCTGGAATGCAGTGGTGCAATCTCAGCTCACTACAACCTCCACTTCCTGGGTTCAAGCTATTCTCCTGCCTCAGCCTCCCAAGTAACTGGGATTACAGGCATGTGCCACAATGCCCAGCTAATTTTGTGTGTTTGTGTGTATTTTTAGTAGAGATGGGGTTTCACCATCTAAGCCAGGCTGGTCTTGAACTCCTGACCTCAAGTGATTCACCCACCTTGGCCTCCCAAAGTGCTGGGATTACAGGTGCAAGCTACCATGCCTGGTCATGGGTATGTCTTTATCAGTGGTGTGAAAAGGGACTAATACACAGATATAACACCAAATGTACAAGCAACAAAAGAAAAAGCAGATAAATTGGATTTCATAGAAATCAAAAACCCCGTTTCTAAGGACACAATCAATAAAACAAAAAGACAACGCACAGAATTGGAAAAATATATGTGCAAATAATATATATAATCAAAGACTGAATATACAATGCAGAATATATGAAGAACTCCTAGAGATTAACAATAAAAAGACAACCCAATTAAGAAATAAACAATTTGATAGACATGTCTTCAAATATGTCCAAATGGCCAATGAGTACATAAAAACGTGCTTGTCATTAGGGAAATACAAATAAAAATTACAATGCGACACCACTTGACACCTACAAGTGAGGACAGCAAACCAGTCCTCACTCTCCTAGAAGGTATGACTTTTCATTCTGTTCCTCACCAAGACCATCACTTCCCACTGCCCCACATTTTCTCCTGCCTCTCCTCTATTTTCCCATCCCTAGTGACAGAAATGACCCAGGCAGTTGCCCCAGATTGAAACGGGAAAGTTTCCTGATCCCTCTCGCAGGACATGCAACAGAGGTATGGCTCGCCTGTTCAGTCGACACCACTGCTCTTCAGTTGTCACCATTGCTCAAACCCCTGATGGGAGGGGAAACACACAGACTGACAGGTGTAGGAGCTGGGGCAAGTGCCTTGGGCTCCAGCCCCGTATCTAGGGGTGGGTGCCTGCGGCCCCTTTTTGCAAGGGCAGAGGACCAGTATGGCAGCTTTCTGTATCCCTAGCTCTTGCTCAGCATCCCAGAAGAATCAGGTGACCCACGGGCTTGAAGGATGAATGTGGGGTTTTACTGAGTGATGGAGGTGGCTCTCAGCAGGATGGATGGGGAGCTGGGAGGAGGATGGAGTGGGAAGATGATCTTCCCCTGGAGTTTGGCCATCCAGCAGTCAAACTCCCCTCCAACCACCCCCAGCTGAGCTCCTCTCAGCGTTCAGATGTTCCTTCTCTTCTCTCTTTCTCTGCTGCGCTGTTTGTCTGCTTGTCTCCTCATCTGCTCATCTGCTTCTGGAGCCTGGGGTTCAGGGTTTATATGGGTACAGGATGGAGGGGCATGGCGAGCCAAAAGGCAACTTTTGGGGCACATAATGCCTGTTCCCACTTACGGCCACGGGTCTCAAGGCTTGAGGGTTGGGACTTTGCTGGGGAACCACCCTCTTCTACCCAATATTTCCCTGTCTTCTGTCCATATCAAAATTACCTTCTCTCCTCCACAACAGAAATCAGGGTTTTCCCCTCTTCCTTCCCAGATTTATCTCTGTGGCAAGTATTTTTGTCTCCAGAAGTCCTATTCTCATTGCCCAGCCAAATGGCTAAAGGAACATCACCCCACCAGCTGTTAGAACCGTGGTGAAGGATGGGAAAATATGTCCCTGGTAACCAAACAGGAAAGCCAACTGAACCTTCCCCACAGAAACAATATTACACGCACCTCAGCCATTTGGGTGTAGGATAGCCTTGAGTGGATAGTCTAGCAGTCCTAACAATCATCGAGGATGTATATGTAAAAAATGGAAACTACGTTTTCACTTTCAAACAACCAGCTCATAAATGAATGTTTGGATCAGACCCATTCTTCTATTTTTCAGTCAAATAATTTTTTATTTTTATTTTTTGGTATCTAACCTTGTTTTGATTCTTGTTGTTGTCAATCAGTTCGACACTGCATTCCTCCAGAAACTCATGAGTATGTTTTGAAAACTTTGCTCCTGTGACCCAGGACCTTGGCTAGAAAGAGTCATCGTAGCACAAGAGGAAGATGGAGCAGGGGTTTTCCTGAGGGTGTGGCAATAGCAGTGACTCATGCTACTTCCTTTTTCTAACCCTTTCCATTAGTGGGGTGGGGGAAAGTCACAGTCAGACCTGGGGAAAGCCGTCTTTATTTAGAGGGCGCCCCTAGTGTAGTGATGGCTTTTTGCTTTCTTTCTGCCACAGTGCAAAGCAGGGAAATAAAAATGCACAGCACGATAGCGAGAGTTTAGAACTCTAAGACAGCCAAAAAAAAGTCATTTATAAAAGAATGCAACATACGCTAAAATTAGTTCCCTAGTGTATGCAAAAAAGAAAGTCAAACTCAGCACATTTCTTTTTGTGTAGTCAGGTACTAAATGTCTCTTGCAGCATATGAAGTGGATAAAGAGAACAGAGACGAAGAAGAAAGGAGAGAGAGGAGTGCAAAGAAGAAAATAAGTGTGGACATAAATTCGCTTTTCAGTGTGTGTAGTCTAGATACTATCTTAGTTCCCCAAACAATGTTTGCTTTGTGATTTCACTGCATAACTCTTTCAGATGTTTTCTCTCTGAATGGCTAGAAGTCAACAGCTCTAGACCCTAACTCTGTAAAAGCAAAGGACTCAAGTCCTCTTCAAGTCTTTCCACTTATAAAAAGGGGAATAAATGAGAGTTTTATATCTTGTGAGCTTTTTAAAGCATTTCACAGAAATTAAACATCAGTGATTACATAAAGTTATATATAACTTCTCAAACTGAGGGGAAAGAAGCCAAGTTGTTGAGGAAACCATAGCCAAAGAAGGATGGCTGTTTAGTTCCCTGAACCACGCTTTTGAAATACTATAATCGAGATCATTCAATGAAACTTGTTTGCTTAAATTTTTTTTACTTTATTGAAAAGAGGGGCTGAGAGGAAGGAAGGCATGAACTGCTATTTCACAAATTAGCATAATTACATCCACTGTATATGCTATTATGGAAATTCAATTTAAGAAATTATAGCTAAAACACCTAGCACGGCGTCTGGCACCTGTTAAGGGATCAATAAGACTCAGGTGTCACAGTTTTTATTATTATTGCTGTTATTATCATTGTGATTATTATAGAGGGGGATCTGTGAGTTACAAGGAGATTGCTGGTAGTTGGATAACTGACCCAAATCATTCCAAATTCTCATGTTGTATTTCATGGACCATGTACAGAAAATAGAATGACAGTTCCATTTTTGTGTCAAATTGTAATTAGTTAACGCCATGCCCTCAAAAGAAACCTTGATTTTTATATTATTATCCAAAATGAATTTCATTCCCAAACTCTTGAATGTGAATATCTTTGACCTGTAGGAGATGAAAATATGCCTGTTTGGCATAAGGATTATTTTGAGGTATTTTGAGAAATTGCAGACACAGGAGAAGCTCTGAAAACAGAGTAAAAGTTACCCTTTTGTAAGAAAAATGTATATCTGTAAAGGAAATCTCCATTTGTAAGTGTCTTCCTCTCTGTACCAGGATGAGAAGGATGACTAAATCATTAGAGACTCAGTGGAGAAGGCACCAACTTAGATCTGCATAACAAACTTGACCTTTGCTTACTGTGTTTTCCTGGGCGTCTCACCATAACTGGCCTTCCCCTCACCCTTCTGTCTTTGTTTCAGTGGAAGATAGGATTTAAGCCTGAATTCAAAGCCATGTCTTTGAGATTTGCTCATTTCTCTAAGTTTCTCCCAGGTATACAGAAGATACACGTTATGAAACGTCCTTTTTTCCCTCGTTAATCAGTCTTTTGTTGCGGCGGTCTGCCCCAGCTAAAAGATATGCAGAGTAGAGAGAAATGTTTTCCCCCTACAGTCCCCAATACTTAATTTTATTCACTAATTTCTGGATCTTGATTTATTAATCATTGAAAAGGTGTCAGATGCACCAAAATCACCCTGGTAAAGAAAGAATACGTAGAGAAAAAAGGTGAAATGCTTTGTCTAGCTCATCCGTCTGGGTTATCTGTGCCTTTGTTTGCCTCTGATTGGGCTATTTCACAACTCTTTAGACACAGAAGTTACCTTGGAGAAAATTGATTGGAATGCAAATAATCTCTGTCCATGAAAATGCAAACTGGGTTTGTGTGGATATTGACCAGTTTTGCCAGTTTTGCATTTGTTTGTAAATTCATTTCACATTCCTTATTTAACCATAAATGTGTGGTTCTCTTTTGAACTCCTTGCAACATCTATTTATCACCTTATTAATTCCTGAGTTAAATCCGACACATTTATTTTATATTGTATGAAAGTTGTAATTTTATCCTCATTTAAAACGTATTCTTTAATGAATATAAACAGCAAACTTACGTGATTCATTGAGGAACACATCTGAAATTCAAACATGTTCCTTTCCTTGCAAGTTTTCTCTCCAAGGCCAGAATTGCATCCTTCCTGTGTCATCCAGATAGTCATTGTCAAAGAATCAGTCAATCAAAGATGGCTTTGTAAGCTTGCTGAATAAATAACAGAGTCCTGGACATTTTTGAATAGCTTCTTCTGTTCAACAAAAAACAACTTGCAAGGCTAGGCGCGATGGCTCACGTCTGTAATCTCAGCACTTTGGGAGGCTGAGGTGGGCGGATTGCTTCACCTCAAGAGTTCAAGACCAGCTGGGAACATGGTGAAACCCCAACTCTACTAAAAATACAAAATAAAAATTAAAATTAGCCGGGTGTGGTGGTGCATGCCTGTAGTCCCAGGTACTCGGGAAGCCGAGGTGGGAGGATCACTTGAGCCCGGGAGGCAGAGGTTGCGGAGAGCCGAGATTGCGCCACTGCACTCCAGCCTGGGCAACAAACCTGGGCGACAAAGTGAGACCCCGTCTCAAAAAAACAAACAAACAAAAAAACAAAACAACCTGCAAAGCTTCTAAGGCAACCTGTTGTTCCCAGTGGTTACTCCAATGTACTTGTGGTGAATCCACAGGCGTCTGCAGCAACTTCAATTCTTGCCTCCTCAGATGAAAGAATTCGACTGAGGGGCATAAAGCAGAAAAAAAGACTAAGGCAAGTTTCAGCACAGGAGTGGAAGTTTATTTAAAAGGCTTTAAAACAGGAAAGAAAGTTCACTTGTAAAAGACCCAAGAGGGTGCCTGAAGGTCAAAAAGAGAGCGTTTAACCTTGATCCTCGGGCTTTACAGGCTTGCCTCTTTCCCATAATTCCTCCCTTAGGGTGGGCTTCCCGCATGCGCAGTGCCCTCCTTACTTCTGGGAATTGAGCACACAGTGAGTTTAAGAAGTTGTATACAGCCGCGTCTGATCCTTCCTTCCCTTTTTTCCGATGGAGTGTCCCCAAAAGGTCATACTCCGCCAACTTGTCTTTTACGGTACATGCCCAGGAGGCTGCTTTCCCTGGCATCTGCATTCAATTAACACTTTAATGTTAACAGCTGTGGATCATCAGGAGATTGTCTCTCCCTGGCACAGGCTGCTGAATTATCATTGCTAGAGAGGCAGTGTGATAATTGTCAAACCATCCCCGGACATTCCTAGTGGGTGGGGGAAGAGCGCTCTCCTGCCCCACTCATGCCTATCTAACTACCTGTAACAATACGAATAAGTTGCCAACAGATCATAAGTAAGCATTACCAAAAGGAAAGTAAGATCTGTTTAGGGGGCTTCTTGGAGAGAAGATTTGCAAACAAAATTTGGTTTAAAAGGGGATGATAATATTAGTTCATCTCATCGGAGTGTATGCAAAACAAACTCTTCAATGTTTTTATTAAAATTTGGCTAATGTCTTTTGAGAAAGCAAAATTTTGAAAAATTTTGTTTTTAGTTTTTATTTTTACAATTGTATTTTAAAACTTATAGAAACACAACTGTTTAGCAGCTTTTCTCTAGAGAGTATGTTGCTAAAATTTTAGGCCTTTCTTTTTACTGAATTTAATTTTATGTAACTACAGACTTGAGTATTTTATAGCTATAATACCATTCCAGTTATGTAAGTAATATTTTATGTAATTGAAATAATTATGTGGGAGGAATTTAGTCAACTCAACTGTATAACCATTCATGTAGTTTATAGAATTATAAAAAAGTTTTAGACATATTTCTATGTGAATGTGTAGTGTCTTTGCAAAAACAGCACCAAACTATAATCATATAAGTAGCTGAAGGTTTTAATGATTTAATGAATATTTAATTATTTAATTTAAATTAATAAATAATGACCATCTAATAAATATGACTAATGATGTTTGTGGTAGCAAGTATAAGAATTTGTGTTTGTTGGCCGGGTGCGGTGGCTCACGCCTATAATCCCAGCACTTTGAGAGGCCGAGGTGGGCGGATCACCTGAGGTTGGGAGTTCGAGACAAGTCTGACCAACATGGAGAAACCCCGTCTCTGCTGAAAATACAAAATTAGCCGGGCATGGTGGTGCACACCTATAATCCCAGCTACTCGGGAGGCTGAGGCAGGAGAATCGCTTGAACCCAGGAGGTGGAGGTTGCGGTGAGCCAAGATGGTGCCATTGCACTCCAGTCTGGGCAACAAGAGCAAAACTCCATCTCAAAAAAAAAAAAAAAAAAAAAGAATTTGTGTTTGTCATCAATGTGATCAGTGTGGAACATTTAATAAAAGGTTACAGAAACCTAATGAGAGCTTATTAGGATGAAATACATGTGTTTTTAAAACTATTAATATTTATCTTACTTGTGAATATGTTTCATGCATTGCCTGTTATTAAACTTATTAGAAAATGAGATCATTGTCATCAATCACCACTCAAGCATCATCTCCTTCCAAAGCCACCCTTGATGTCCTCAAGACAGAATTAAATGCTCCCTCTTGTCTGTTCCCACAGTGTATCTGCCATAACTGCACCATAATTATTGTTTATCTGTGAGTACCTATCTATAGGTGTGGTAAATGGAAACAATATAGATGTTGAAGTCAAACCAGATTTGAATTTCAAAATAACCAATTGCTAGTTGAGTGATCATAGATGAGCAAATAAACATTGTGAAATTCAGCAAGATGCACATTAAAATCATCATAATATATACCATAGTATTATAGTATTGTTATGAAGATTAAGAGAAATAACATATGTTGCCACCTGGAACACAGTAGGTGCCCAACTTTATTATCTAAACATTTCCCCCTCTTCTTAGATTACAAATAAGCTATTTGTATCTGTTTTATTCTATATTTACTATATAATGCTAAACATATGTTATAACAGAAGAGAAAGACGAAAATTACAAATGCTGTAGAAGTTAGTAGCATTTCCCACACCATCACATCTTGTTTTGATAAGTCATCATTAGTTTTCACTTTTCCCTCAACTTTGCTGGACATGCTGTTTTGACACCAGTGTTTTTGAAAAAATGCAAACATTGAGCAATGTATGACCCTTGCAAAATGCTCCTGGTGTTTCTTCTTCACTATTTCCAGAGAGAAACTAATGTTCAAGCCTAATTAACTAGGTAAGGATGAAACATTTGCCCAGGCAGCAAGATCTAGTTCTGCTTGTTCACAAAACGTGGCCAAGGCGAAGGGGGCAGGGTGCCCAGGAGACTGAGGCTTTGGAACATATGGAGTCACCAGGCCCTGCCCAACCCTGTAGTTGGGTTTCTCACCACCCTTTCACACTCTGGCCAAACCAGATGTCAGCCAGTCTCTGATCCTGCCACAGTATCACCTTTTCATCTGAGGTTTCTTCTACCAGAACTGCACCCCCTCACATTTTGTCTTGTGATCTTTGCAACTCAACTCTGTTCCTATCTTTTCCGGAAAACATTTCCCAAATCATTTACCTTTCTCCAAGACCTCCATTCCATCCCTGAAAAAATGAAAAAACAAAAACAAAAGCAATCTCTTACAGCTCCAGTTCTTCTCACTGAGGGTTGCTAAAATATAGGCTATCCAATCAAATTTGAATTTTAATAAGCAATGAATAATTTTTAGTATTAGTATCTCCCAAATAGTCCATGAGATATATACATACTATTTGTTGCTTACCTGAAATTCAAATTTAACTGGGCATCCTGTATTTTTATTTGCTAAATATGGCAATCCTATTCTCTTGTCTTGTGTTGTAGTACTGTATTATGTCATGTGTCTTGTATTACACCATTATTCACAATTGTTAATAGACTACATGTTCTCTGAAGCCAGGAACAGTGTTCAATTTTTTGGTTTCACTACCACCTCTACCTCACCCTTCCTGATGCCTCCTTACTGAATACTCAGCACAGTGTCTTAAATGTTGTTGGGAGTACAGGAATCAAGTCCTCATTCATTCTTTCATTCCTTCTTTCACATAGCAAATATCTACTAAGCTTATAGTTTCTGGGGATACGACTTTAAACAAGAAATAGCTATTGTCATTGAGGAGCTCCCAGCTCATTCAGGAAAATAGACATGTCAGAAAGCGATTTCTTTTTTATTTTATTATTTATTTATTTATTTTGAGATGGAGCCTCGTTCTGTTGCCCAGGCTGGAGTGCAGTGGCGCGATCTCGGCTGGATGCAACCTCCGCCTCCTGAGTTCAAGTGATTCTCCTGACTCAGCCTCCCAAGTAGCTGGAACTACAGGCCCCCACCACCATGCCCAGCTAATTTTTGTATTTTTAGTAGAGACGAGGTTTCACCCTGTTGGTCAGGCCGGTCTCGAAATCCTGACCTCGTGATCTGCCTGCCTCGGCCTCCCAAAGTGCTGGGAATACAGGTGTGAGCCACCGCGCCCTACCAGAAAGCAATTTAAATCAGTGACATAGTTCTAGAGTAGGGTGACTTGAGAACACAGGAGAAAAGCACCAAGCCCAGTCTTTAGGGGTTAAAGGAGACTTCTGGGGAGGAAGTAACAGCAAGGCTGAGACCTAAGAGTTAATAGGAGTTATTAATAATAAGGTGATGGCAGAGAGCGAAGACATTCTACACAGAGATAATAGTTGGAAAAAAAAACACTTGAAATAAGAGAAAATGTGGCATTAATATTTGATTCATTAATCAAATCTTCCTTGTAGTTCAAGCTTGTTCTGACTCATGCATGCAATGTCTTTGAGGCCTCAAGCCTCTTCTTCACATTTTTTTCTCAAGGAATTCAACAATGACAATTCTTATTTCCCGTGCCACATCCACCTTCTCTGAGCTCTAGGCTGGGTTTTATCCCCCATCCTTGGTGTAGTCTAAACTACTTCTTCAAGAATTTAGAGCTGAATGTGACCAGCTGTCTCAGCCCACCTCACCCTTCTCCCATTCAGTCTCACTCTGTCTGCTCCATCCAGTATTCTACTGATTTTTTCCCTCAGTTTACTCCTTCCAACTCCTGTTGCCCCACTGAGGCTGATGTCTATGACCATAACTGCTTTCTGATCCACTTTTGAGTAATTCCACTCACTCAGTCTTCTGCATTTCCTACATAACCAAACCATATTCCACATAGTAGTGCTGACGGCATTCATAGGATTCCAACTTTAAAAGTGCAGTCACAAGAGAAAATACATCACATCTCTGACAAGGACTAAAAGTATAGGAAGAAACTCTCAGGTAAAATCCACTTAATAAAGCTGTTTCTAAATCAATGTCCTGCCAGGTGCGGTGGCTCACGCCTGTAATCCCAACACTTTGGTGGGCCAAGGTGGGTGGATCGCCTGAGGTCAGGAGTTCAAGACCAGCCTGACCAATATGGTGAAACCCTGTCTCTACTAAAAATACAAAATAATAGCTGGGCATGGTGGCGAGTGCCTGTAATCCCAGCTACTAGGGAAGCTGAGGCAGGAGACTCACTTGAACCGGGAGGCGGAGGTTGCAGTGAGCCAAGATAACGCCATTGCACTCCGGCCGGGGCAACAAGAGCAAAACTCCATTTCAAAAAAAATAATAAAAATAAAAATAAAATTACTACAATGTCCTTTGTAGTAATCAGCCATTTGTAGTCATCTTTGCAGTCCTAACCTGTGCCTAGCACAAAGCAACCACTTGATGCAAGAATTTACATCTAATTACATCTTTCGTTCTAATTAAACTTTGTTATAATTAATCTTAAGTTATGGCCACGTGTAGAATTAAACAAATGATGAACAGTAGCTAACTTTCTGTACCAAGCATGAAACCAGGAATTTTAAGTGCTATACAGAGTTTGTGACAATAGGATATCTGTGGTACCTTAATTTCATGTGTCAACTTGACTGGGCCATGGGGTCTCCAGGTATTCGGTCAAACATTATTGTGGGTGTTTCTTGGGAGTGTTGTTGAGTGAGACTGGCATTTAAACAGGCAGACCAAATAAAACAGATTGGCCTTTCCAGTGTGCGCAGGCCTCATCCAATCATTTGAAGGCCTGAATAAAACAAAAAGACTACTGTCCCCTAAGTAAGAGAGAATTCTTGCTGCCTGGCTACCTTCAAACTGGGACATCAGCTCCTCCTCAGTCTTGAGCCTGCCAACTGGGTCTCTAGCCAAGCTTGCTGACTCACCTCCAGATCTTTGAACTTGCCCACTTTCATAATCATGGGAGCCAATTCCTCACATGTAATTCCACTCACTCATCCTTCTGCACTTCCTACATAACCAAACCATATTCCATACAGGAAATTTATATACATCCTATTGATTTTGTTTCTCTGGAGAACCCTGACACCGATAATAGAGTATTCCAGGAAATAAAGCAATCAGAGGTTACTTTGATGAGAATACATGCCTTTAATTTGCCTTATAAGTCTTTTGTGATCCAGATATATGCCATCTCCCTTGGTAATTCGTCCATCTGTGCTACATGTGGATGACTTAATTCTTACAGGTCATTTTTTCATATTCAATCTCAGGACCTTTGAAGAATCCTCTCAACTTATGGATACTAATCCATCAGCTGCAAATAGCCACACAAATGTTCACCACATGCATATACAGGACTATGAAGCTTTGTACGATATGGAGTTGTATTAGGGTAAGTCAGAAAATAGGGAAAAGGGCTATGAGTGCTGATATTCAGAAATAAAAATGAAAAAAAACTAGGTTAAAGCCAATTAATACTTTCTCATCAGACCCTGTCATGTTTCATAGTGTTGTACACAAGTAAAGTTTTGGAAAAAAACAGAAGAGCTGGGGACTTGGGTGGGGAGGGGAGGAAGTAAGAGTTTTGTAAGGAATTCAGGGACATCAAAGTACTAAATGTATAACATTGAGCAGCGTCTGCATCCTAGCTGTGCTACCTGTGTAGTTACACAGAGTCCTGCACGCAGGAGGAGCCTGAATTGGCCTTAAAGCTCTGTCACTATCTTGAGATTCTTAATATTTTTTGCAAAAATGGACCCCAAATTTTCACACTGCACTGGGCCCCGCAAATTATGTAGTTGGTCTTGCCGCTAAGTAAAACTTTCTGAAGTAACCATTTAAAAGTCAAAAGTAAATGTTTATTCAACTTTCTACCTAATGATTAGTTTGATGTCCTGACAATAGCAAACCAAACTGAGGCTCCATACTCCCATGCTCTCCCTGCACATGGAAAGAACAGCTGGCAAGAAATGGCTGAGCAGTAACCATCAAGAGCTATGGATAAGTGGTTGTTGTACAGAACTTGAGAAGAGAGACAAGTTCCTATCATCAGTTCTTATAAGAGCTTGGATAGCTGCTTCTGAAATCAAGGACTAGACCTCTTATATTATAGTGACATCTGCCCCTAGATTGAAAATCCCCAATCTAGGAACTGAGGAAGGTAATTTGGCACTATTGTCAAAACTTTTCTTTATCATCCTTCACCTTTGACTCTGTCTAGTATAAGAAAAAGGAAATGCCAACCATTTGGGAGTTTATTACTTGCTATACAAAAGTAATCACCATTACTTCCATTCCAGGGATTAAGGTAGACCAAATATCCTATTTCCATGTTTTGCACGTGCACACACACACACACACACACACAATCATGTAAACACAAACATATATCAATGGACAAAGTGCTATTTATAGAGATACTGTATTTAAAATAATCTGGATAGATAGTAAAAATGAAGGAATTTGGAAATGATTAGTATCTTTCATAAACTTTCATCTGGTAGGACAGAGGAAGGCACTATACTCAATTTGATAAATGGAAGACATAAACTGCTAAAATGACAATACTTTTAATTGACTCCTGAAATAAAATACTGCACCAACATTATTGCTGACTCATAACTGCCCTCAATGACTTGAACTCCTCTCCTGCAGCAAAGTCTTTTAGCTCCACTCCTATACATTTCACCCCATATACTCACTCTCTTTCTTGCATACTAAGTTCCAGACAATAGGATTGTATTAGTCAGCATTGTCCAGAGAAACAGAACCAATAGATAGAGAGGTTATCAATGATAGATAGATAGATAGATAGATAGATAGATAGATAGATAGATATCAATATACAATAAGGAATTGACTCATGAGATTATGAAGGCTGACAGGTACCAAAATCTGCAGCCAGCAAGCAGGAGGCCCAGAAGAGCCATGGTGTAGTTCCAATCCAAAGGCTGGCAGGCTCAAGATCCAGGAAGAGACCAATATTTTAGTTTGAGACTGAAGGCAAAAAAGAGCCCATGTCTCAGGGTCAAGGCAGTCAGGCAGGAGGAGTTCTCTCTTACTTGTAGGAGGGTCAACCTTTTGTTCTCTTCAGGTCTTTAGTAGATTGGATGAGGCCCACCCACATTAGGATGGAAAATATGCTTTTTTCAGTCTGCCGATTCAATCGTTATCCGCATCCAAAAATACTCTCACAGACATATGCAGAATACTGGTTGACCAAATATCTGGGCATCCTGTGGCCCAGTCAACTTGATACATAAAATTAACCATTTCAAGCATGTAACTGAAAGCATCTTGTGCCAGCTTCCAGGACAGCCAGCCACCCCACTGCCTCAGCCACTTCTTTGTTCCTTCCTTCTCTGGTTGCCTGGAATATATATACCGCCATCTTGGACCATGAGATTGAGAAACATTGCTCAATAATGGCAAAGAAGTTTGAAGCCTTGGAGATTTGATGGAGAAGAGCCTCTATTTCAGCCCAGGACTACACATCCCAGTCTTTTGCATGAGAGAAAAGGAAACTTCCACCTTGTTTAAGGCACCGTTATTTGGCAGGTTTCTGTCCTTCACAAGCAATTCTAATCCTAATTCATGTACCTCCCTTTCACTCCCACTGCACACAACAGGGTAGAATTACAGACTGGACAACAAATTAGATAAAATACCTATGACCAGAAAGGGAGAAAATTGTGAAAATCCCATCCACTCTACAGGGAGGGTAATTTGTATCCTTGCAGTAATATTTGCACAGCCTTTCACAACATTACTTCATTTCTTTCCAAAAATAACCTTGAGAAGCAGACAGAGCTAATGTTTTTATCCTCATTTTTCTCTCTGAATAATCTAGGATTGTCCCTGCTTAGATGATAATTTAGTTTTAATTGATTCTTCATATTAAGCTTAGCAAAACCAGTATCAAGTGAACAATTTAATAGCTTATTAAATACAATGCTATTACTTTGCAAACATTTATAGAGAGCTTTAAAACATCTTTATAAATATAAATTTAGTCTTAAAGCAAGATTGAGGTAATAGTAAAATTTTACTTTGGTAATAGTAAAATTTTACTTTAACATAATAGACACCAAAATGACTTTTTAAAATTTAAACTGCATTTCAATGGAAACCTATGGTCACACTGAAACAGAAGAATATTGGGCTGTTTCTTTGTTGTGATGGTTTTCAAATAAAGCAAGGAAAAACACTATCATTGTTGTCACAATGCATGTTAGCATTAAGTCCCAGGAGAAATCCTAAAGCTGTGAGAACTATTTAACTTTATTTTAATCCACTGTTTTTTTAACTTCTTTGACTATGAAACAGTGTTTAGCTTGTTTTTTTGTTCATTTGTTTGGAAATACTTAACATTTCAAAAATTGGTGTTGAAAGAACAAGGTTTCAGGAATGCTATACCATATTCAAATTCTAATTCTAGTATCTTTAGTGAGAAGGAAGTGCCCTTAGAATTACCATATTTATAAAAATACGGGATGCCCAGTTAAAATTGAATTTCAAATGAACAACAACTCTTTAAGTACCTCCCATGCAATATTTGGGATATACTTATACTGAAAAAAAAAGTTTATCTAATTTCTGAAATTCAATTTTAACTGGATGCCTGTCTTTTCCCTGGCAACCCTACTGTCTTAGTCCATTTTGTCTTGCTATAACAGAATACATGAGACTGGGTAATTTACAAAGGAAAGAAGTGTATCTAGTCC
Organism: Homo sapiens; assembly: GCF_000001405.40. Lineage (NCBI taxonomy): Eukaryota > Metazoa > Chordata > Mammalia > Primates > Hominidae > Homo > Homo sapiens. The sequence continues at coordinate 278,232 of NW_025791813.1, read as the reverse complement.
ACGGTTCTGCAGGGTGAGAAGTTCAAAAGTATGGCCATGGCTTCTGGTGAGGGCATTCTTCTGTGTCATAACATTGCAGGGCAGAGTAGGTCAAAGGGGAAGCAGACAAGTGAGAAGAGAGAGGATCAAACAGGAACAGGAACTTTGCTTTATAATAACTCACACTTTAGGGAACTAATCCATTCCCACAAGAACTAATGCAGTCTCATGAAAGCAAGAACTCACTACCTGGAAAACTGCATTATTCATAAGGCCATGCTCCTGGCCCAAACACCTCCCACTAGACCCCACCTCTCAACACCACCATATTCGTGATCAAATTTCAACATGAGTTTTGGTGGGGACAGACAAGCCGTATCCATAGGACCTACCTTTGATCCATTCCTAGGGAAGAACAGTTGCTGATCCTTCTGATTCAGATTTTCAGACATTTAATGGGGCTTTACCACTAGGCAAGATCCCATGATTAAAATCACAGGCCTGGCCGGGTGAGGTGGCTCACGCCTGTAATCCCAGCACTTTGGGAGGCTGAGGCGGGTGGATCATCTGAGGTCAGGAGTTCAAGACCAGCCTGGCCAACATGGTGAAACCCTGTCTCTGCTAGAAAAAAATACAAAAAATTAGCTGGGCGTGATGGTGCACGCCTGTAATCCCAGCTACTAGAGAGGCTGAGGCAGGAGAATTGCTTGAACCCAGGAGGCGGAGGTTGCAGTGAGCCAACACTGCGCCATTGCATTCAAGCCTGGGTGACAGAGCAAGACTCCATCTCCACACACACACAAAAAAAAAAACCACCGACCTGGCCATCCTGCTTTCTTTTCTGAAGCATTTCCATCTCTTTCGTTTGTCAGTGGTCTGTGCCCGACACTATCCATGTTCCCCTGCAGATCCACTCTTCACCCATTCACCCTGCTCTGCACCCTGAAAGACTGGCTGTATGATGGACCCCAGCAACCAAGCTCCCTTGTTCTGTCGTTTGTAGTTGGGCTTGGCCAGTGGCAGCCACCAGGAGAGGATGGAAGGACAGAAGGAGAGAGAGATTTTCTGCTAAGCCCTAGGTCAGCTGTGGCCCGGCTCCCTCACCAAAGTGCAAGTTTGTGAGGAATGTCAGTGGTCCTTTGCTTGCCCTTGAAAGCCTAGAGAAGACTTCCCTGAAGCAGCCACCCCAAGGACCTCATCAACCCTTCTTATTTCCCTTAACTCTTCCTCTAACTTTATAATAATCCCTTCATTACTTTCTCTTTTTATCATGCCTTCTTAAGTGTGCTTCTCTTTCCTCCCAAGACCCTGATAATACAGTGTAAGACTGAGATGCAGGGTAAATGGAGATTCCCTACTTGAACCTTAATCCTGAATCTCAAACTCACTCCTAGTTTTGACAAACAGTCCTACTTGGGGAGTTTTAGTACTTGAGTAATAATAGAGGTCACTCGTTTCCCATTTCTAGATAGGCTAGTTAAAGATCAACAAAAGCCGTTCAGTAGGCTTAATATAAATTATTGTTGTTACCAGCATTTGTGTTATTTGGGGGTGGGGCTCAGCGTATTTAAGTGATGTCAACACTTATCTCTCTCCACTTTATAGAAAAGGAGATCATATAACCAAATCCATAGTTGCCCGCAGATCACAGTGACTCCATGGTGAACCTTGTGTCTTGTTGTCTTTTGTTTTTTGTTTTTTGGGTTTATTTGCCTGGGATCTGAGATCTGACCAGCACGTTCATATTGTTAGTTTCCAGAACTCATAAATCCCTAAGATTTGTTTGGCAAACTAGATGTTGTCAGAATACTTAGGGTGAGATACAATAACAATTTAAATGATAAACAAAAACAAACAGAAAAGAATTCATCCTAACTTACCCAGGACCAATTTCTTGCTGTTTTTTTCCCCAGCTATTTTTAAATAATCAAATCACTGTAGTAGCTATGGCATTTTAGAGATTGCAAGGTCTGTGAGTCATATCCTTATTTACAGGAATGATGGGAGAAAGTCAGCTTGTTCAGCATTTACTCCATTTATGAGAAATGTACAGGCAAATAAGAAGCTGGGGAAACGCTGTTTCGTGTATCATTTCACCGTGTCCTACAATCTCTTTCTCTTTCCCTTTTCAGGACTCAGACCTGGGAGAACAGCCACTGCCCAGACACGTTCAGCGACAGATAAAACAGTATAACATTTTGCAAAGGCAAATTCCTCCTCTTCTGCTGTAGAAAAACTTGGTTTCTTCTTCATACACACTGAGTCCTTCTGCTCATAATGCTGGTCCTAAACACCTTAATCCAAAAGCAGCCAATAAAAAGTTTTTAAAAGTCCAACTCCTTAGGGAAAAACTTTGTTTTCCAGTTTGTGTGACTCAGGTCATCAGCTCACGGTCATTGTCAGAGCCCCAGTCATCTACGTGTGTCAGCACCGCCCCTTTTATCTCTCTGTCTTCAGTACTGCCTGAGAAGTACACACAAAGGACTGAACAGAGACATTTTCAAAGTTTCAGAGAAAAATGAAAGGATATGATTTTAACACTGGAACCGAATACTCTCTTAAGCATAAATTTTTCTTCTAGGGAGCATTTGTTTGTAATTATGAGAAATTAAGGAATATATTCCCAGTGAATTAAAACATAGGAAATTAAAACTGGAAGGGTATTCAGGGAATCTAGAAGTTCATGCTATCAGCTTTGTGAGTGATTTCATCTCTCACTTTGTGCATTTCCCTTTCTATGTTCATGTTTGATGTGAGCTGCATTCCCAGCTCAGATTATTCTCATTCTTTAAAAATAAGAGGGGCTGGGCACAGTGGCTCACACCTGTAATCCCAGCACTTTGGGAGGCCGAGGCAGGCGGATCACCTGAGGTCGGGAGTTCGAGACCAGCCTGACCAACATGGAGAAACCCCGTCTCTACTAAAAATACAAAAAACTAACTGGGCATGGTGGTATATGTCTGTAATCCCAGCTACTCAGGAGGCTGAGACAGGAGAATTGCTTGAACCCGGGAGGGGGAGGTTGCAGTGAGCTGAGAACGCACCAGTGCAATCCAGCCTGGGCAATAGAGAGAGACTCCATCTCCATCTCAAATTAAAAATAATAATAATAATAAAATAATAATAATAGACCAGGTGTGGTGGCTCACGCCTGTAATTCCAGCACTTTCGAAGGATAAGGCAGGAGGATTGCTTGAGCCCAGGAGTTCAAGACCAGCCTGGGCCAACAAGAGAGACCCTCATCTCTACAAAATATTTTTTAAAATAACTGGGCCTCATGGTGCATTCCTGTAATCTGAGCTAGTTGGGAGGATAGCTAGAGCCCAGGAGATCGAGGCTGCAGAGAACCGTGATCACACGACTGCACTCCAGCCTGGGTGACAGAGCAAGACCCTGTCTCAATAGATAGATAGATAGATAGATAGATAGATAGATAGATAGATAGATAGATAAAAACAGAGAGGTGAAAAATATGGTTTTAAGGGTTCTGTTTAAGAATACTCTGTTCCAACATGGAGTTTGTCAACTCTAAAGTGGTAAAAAACAAGACAGATTGTAGACATTTTCATAAAAGGCAGGATTATTTGGTGTCACCAAATTAAATATGTTAATGGTCACAGCGGAGGCCGACTCAATCAGCCTTTTATTCTGCCAGGCTATTTGATACTGCTGAGGGCTTACCTATTTCCTGAGGAGAAAAATAGTCATTAAAATGACCTTATAAAGACGACGCTTGCAGGGATTGTTTCTATAGCTCACTACCAGATAAGTTTCTCCGAACATGTAGAGCACCAGAAACCACATGCAGCGGTGCAGCGCTCTCTCGGGAGCCTGACACTGGCTCTGGGTGCTGCTTCACTGCAACTTCCATTTGCCATTGAGAACTGTTCCGCTCTTCCTCTGGGAAAGTAAGAGAGAGAGGGTGCAATCTGAGGGGTTTCCCTTCTTGTAATACAAAATAATAACAACCACAGAGGACATCGCAAGTAAAATGTGTATAACAACCCCATCTAAAGAACCCTATCATCTTTCTACTATCTGTCTACCTAAATATGTATAGTATAAATAACCCTATATAGCACTCTAAGCAACTTAAGTTAGGTAACTTAGAAAACTCTTTTTTTTTTTTGAGACTGAGTCTCACTCTGTCGCACCCAGGCTGGAGTGCAGTGGCGTGATCTCGGCTCACTGCAACCTCCACCTTCTGGGTTCAAGTGATTCTCCCATCTCAGTCTCCCAAGTAGCTGGGATTACAGGCACGCCACCATGCCCTGCTACATTTTTTTTTTTTTTTTTTTTTAGTAGAGATGAGGTTTCACCACATTGGCCAGGCTGTTCTCGAACTCCTGACCTCAGGTGATCCGCCCACCTTGGCCTCATGAAGTGCTGGGATTACAGGTGTGAGCCACTGTACCCAGCCAGAAAACTCTTAAAAAACATGCTATTCTAGCAAAAAACATGTTACCCCTGTAATATGCTTAAAATTCTCCAATGGCTTCTCTTTGCTTTTAGGCCAACATTCTTAATGTGATCTTCAAGTTCTTGACCTATTCTACAACCTTACCTTATACTATACTACCTAATACTATATTCTCCCTACCCCTTCATGCTCAGCCATCCTGGCCTTTCTTCAGGTCTTTGAGCATGTCACAGGGCCTTTGCATGTGTTTTCACTCTGTCTAGGTTGTCTTCCTCCACCTGCCTTCTTTGCCTCTTTAGTTCTTACTCATCCATTAGATCTTAGCTCAGTAGACACTACACTAAGCAGCCATCCCAGACTCCCTATCTCAGTAAGATTCCGTGTTTGTTTGTTTGTTTGAGACAAAGTTTCACTCTTGTTGCCCAGGCTGGAGTGCAAACTCACTGCAAACTCTGCCTCCCGGATTCAACCGATTCTCCTGCCTCAGCCTCCCGAGTAGCTGGGATTACAGGTGCCCAACACCACGCCCGGCTAATTTTTGTATATTTAGTAGAGACAGGGTTTCACCATGTTGGCCAGGCTGGTCTTGAACTCCTGACCTCAGGTGATCCACCCGCCTCAGCCTCCCAAACTGCTGGGATTACAGGCGTGAGCCACCGCACCTGGCAAGATTCTGTTTTTAAGGTGCATTCATCAACTACATTTTGTCACTTATCTCATTTTTGTGGTTATCTTCATTACTTATTGCTGCAAAACAAATCACCCCAAACTTAGCAGCTTAAAACCAGTATTATTGCCTCAAAGTTCCTGAGAATCGGGAACCAGGGGCAGTTCAGCTGGGTGGTTCTGACTCAGAGACTTTCATGAGGCTGCACTCAAGATGTCAGCCAGACTGCAGCGTTTGAAGTCTTGCCTGGAGCTGGCAGATCTGCTTCCAAGTTCACTTACGTGGCTGTTGGCCGAAGGTGTCAGTTCCTTACCTGTGGGCTTCTCCGTGGCAGCTGGCTCACCCCAGGGCAAGTGATCCAAGAGACAGCAGGTGGGAAGGAAGCTCCAATGTCTTTCATGACCTAGACTTAGAAGTCAGATGTTGTCACTGCTGCTTGACTCTATTTGTTAAAAATATGTCTTTAAGTCCAACCCACACTAAATGGGAGAGAAATTAGGCTCTACCTCTTATGGAAATTTTTTGATATGTTTTAAAACTATCCCATTTGGGTATTTAGATAAATATCTACCTCCCTTACTAGACTAAGGGTTCCTTGAGAACCCAATAGAACCCTTGTTTCTAGTGTTCACTTTTGTGTCCCTGGTATCTTCCAGGATGCCTGGCAGAGCGTGGACATTCAATAAATATTGACTATATGAATTAATGAGTGAATGAAACTTTGCACTTGAATCCCAGCTCTGAGAACTTTCTACAAATTATACAACATTGGAGAAAAGGGACAATCACAGCTGTCTCTCAGGTGTTTAAAATAATACAGCCTATACAAAGCACCTAGTATAGTCTGGCACTGAAGGAGGTCATTAAATGTTCTTTCTCTTCCTCTTCCTTGCCTCAATCACACATGCAATCCATCTGAAGCCCTGTGGAGTCTACCTCCCATTATGTCTTTCCCATCCCTCTTAGTCTGTTACTCTCTTTCAAATGCTGCTGCTCTTAGACTTGCCTTGCACATGCTTTTCTATTAGCCTTGTATCAGTTCCCTGTGCCTCTATTCTCTAGGGCAATCTAGTGCAATCCATCCCTAAATGTGCTAGGACCACATTATCTTTGTCATTTTTGCATCTTCTATTGCTGTTGCTCGGCCCTGCACCAGCTAAGTGTATAATAAATTTTTGTTGAATTGAATTTCAGTTCCAGATCTCTTTTATTTAGCTCCTTACTTGCACTGAGTTAATCATACACTCAAACTCAGGTACCAGGATGAGAAAGAGAAACATGCCCTGCCCATATGAAAGGTTATACATTTTCTAGCTAGGTGTAACCACATTCTTTTCATGTCTACACAAAATAAATGGCCCATAAATGACAAATTCTTTAGTAGAGCAATTAAAGAATATAATGTGAGTTACATTTTATTTTAATTCTATCTCTAAAGCAAGCACCCTCACCCTAATGCTATAGTACTAATAACACCATAATACTTCTGTGCTCGTTTTTATGCTCTATAATATTGTCATTATTGCTAATAGCAAGAATATTGCAAATATATTTGAAGATAGAAAATTCTTAAATGGTCATTATATAGATAATATGCAGTGGTAAATAAGATTGGTGGAAATTTGTCAAATTATTGAAAAAAAAGAGACAGATAATATAAGAAATTCCACCTTCTCACATAAGATTTCTCTGACATGCTATAAAAGTAGATAATATTTTCATGTTCTAATTAACAAAAATCTTCTTACAACATATACACCTAGGGAAATGCTTGCTTTTGAGTCACAAATATATAACTTTTGGAAATAGTAAAAAGTCAAGCTAACACCAGCAAAGATAAGAAAACCATCAGTGACTCCTTAATGTAATAATAGTTGTGTTCAAATACTTTTACTTTGTTAAATTATTTTCATTCTGGTAAAGCAAAGAGATTTTGGAACCGTATTTCCCGGCTTCCCATTTTCTAGAAGGGACTGTGACTGCTTGAATTTTGTAAATATATGCAACTGTCTTCAGATGAGCAGTGTCCAAAAACTAATCTTTATATTTAAAGATGAGTAACTTACCTTTCTTCCTCCCATTCTGCTAACTTTGTATTTGTATTAACTTAGTGAACAATTCCTCCTTTATACTGGTGTTTATTAGCCTTATACTAAAAAGAGGAGGTGGGTTACTGAAACAGAAGGTTCTTCCAGAACAGTAGAGACTTTCACCTTCAGTCAAATGTTAAAGCAGCTTAAGGGTGAATAGGCTCACATAACATGAAAACTTTGAGGTCTATCAAAAAGCTTCATTTCACAAATGAGGAAATTGAAGATCAACATGCATAAGGGCCTCCCAGCTCTTATGCTCTTTTGCATCACGTGGCAAAAAAACCTGTGGCCCTGCACCATGCCTCCCTTCACATTTGCCCAAACTGTCCAGAGACTTGTCTATCCCAGGGCACATCAATCTCAGTGCTATTGTCACACTGAGGTGGACAACTCTGTTGCAGGCACTGTTCTGGGCAGGATGGTTAGCAGTATCCTGGACTCAGTCCTCTAGATACAAGTAGGACTCCCTCATGCTAGCTGTGGCAACAAAAACTATTTCCAGACATTGTCAAAGGTCCCCTGGGAGCAAAATCACGCCCATTTGAAAACCACTCATTTATCTGAGGTCATCTTGTTTTAATGAATTATTCCTTTTTTTCTGTTTTTGGGGCAAATATCTCAAGATACAAATGCATCACATTCAATATTGAAGTTCTGAGTTGTTTATATGTGAAATCACAGTCTTTCTAAGAAATGGGACTTCAGGCCAGGTGTGGTGGCCCACGCCTGGAGTCCCAGCACTTTGGGAGGCCGAGGTGGGCAGATCACCCAAGGTCAGGAGTTCCAGACCAGCCTGGCCAACATGGTGAAATCCCATCTCCACTAAAAATACAAAAATTAGCCAGATGTGGTGATGGGCGCCCGTAATCCCAGCTAATTGGGAGGCTGAGGCAGGAGAATCACTTGAACTCAGGAGGCAGTGGTTGCAGTGAGCTGAGATCTTGCCACAGCACTCCAGCCTGGGTGACGGAGCAAGGCTCTGTCAAAAAAAAAAAAAAAGAAAGAAAAAAAGAAAGAAAGAAGAGAGAGAGAGAGAGAGGAGAGAGAGAGAGAGAGAGAAAGAGAGAGAGAGAGAGAGAAAGAGAGAGAGAGAGAAAGAAAGAAAGGGAAAGAAAGAAAGAAAGGGAAAGAAAGAAAAGAAGGAAGAAAGAAAGAAAGAGAAAAAGAAAGAAAGGGGACTTCACTTCTTTTTTTTTGGCACATGCAAATACAGCTAAGAATCAGTTTCCGACTAGGGCTAGGTCATCGCAACATCTAGCACAAAGGAGGTTAAGAAAGGAGCAAACTAGAAACTGTCAGTTTTGATCCATGTTTAATGAAAAAGAAGTTACATGAATAGAAATGGACATATAACAAAGAGTTCAATTTGAGAAAATGTGGTGATAGGTAGAACAAGGAGAAATTGTTTCAATTCTGAATTTACTCGCATATTCCTATTAGCTGTTACTGATCTAAAACATCTCCTTAAATCCAAAACAAAACAATAGTTACAAGTTCACTGATGTTTTCATGGGCACTCACCCAAGTAATGTCCAAACAATATTTTTCCATGTCCCCCCTCCCCCAGAACACACACAGGCAAAGGCAGAGATGTTTACTGTGAGGTCACATGGCATGAAGCAAATGCAGCCTTATCTGTTTATTATTACAACAGCCAGTTAGCATTGGCAAATGTGCTTTGGTTACAAACATGGTTTCTGCTAATAATTTCATGAAGAAGCTTTTAGGATATGTGACCATTTATTCTTAGTATAATCAATCATTGAAGGATAAAAATCAGAGTATAAAAGTTTATACTCTGGCAAATATAAATACATGCACAGAAGTTTCTGACAGTTTAAATTTGAGCATATTTGAAATATTAAAGGCATGAAATTTAAAAATACACATACGTGAAACTATGGTGAACATGTTATGGGTTTGTCCCATGGTTTAACTCTGCTCAGCCCACGATTCTTAGCTGGGTCAGTCAATAGTCTATTTTTATCATTTTCTACCCTGTTGTACAGCATGATCATATCTTCCTAAAAAAGAAAAAAACATATATCTTTGGAAAAGAATTCTGATCTCCAAAAACATATACTAGTAATAGTTTCACGTTAATGATCTCATTTAAAATATCCCTTCTCTCAAGCTAGAAGCTGGCAAGCAGTAAACTCATTATAGACAGTTGTCATGTGGGTAATACAGAGAAGCAATAGATCTGACTCACTATTCATTTAAAATAAAAATCTTTTGGCCAGCACAGGGCAGTCATCAGCCTCGTATGCTCACACTGAAAAATTTAAAGTTAGGACGAGCCCTGCCTCTTCTGATACTGTATTCGAAGTTTCTCCAGTTGTTCCACACATTGAGACTGGGCCAACCTCAACGTCCGATTCTCCTCCGTCAGAGCCTCGAATTCCCGAACCAGCTCAGCAGCATCCACCTTCTCCTTTTCTGCCTGATCTAACTTGGCAATGAGCTCCTTCCTGAAGATTCGGGGTAAAGGGCAGGAAGAAGCACAGAATTCAATGCAAGCAAATTAAATTATTCAGTAATAGCATGATGGAAGTAGAATGATTCATTCTGCTGTTCTGAATTTTTTCCCATCTCTACTTGCCTCCAATGACTTTTATTTGTCCAGCTTTGCAAATTTTATATCCCTTTATTCTAGCACCTCGACTAGACACTTCCAAAATACTAACCATACACCAAAAGTCCCATAGGTTCTTTAGTAGTCAAAAACATGATCATTTTAAAAATACAGAAAATTGTAAAAATAATTTAGAAAAATATCTGTGTAAAATTTTTCATAATTTAAGATGCTGCCTATTGTCTTGTAGAGAGGACAACTATAGTTTTCTCTTGGCTGAGTCTTTGTCCCCCAAATTCAGTTGTTATCTTCCTTTGTTTCCTACATCTGAGTTGAACAAATCTCCAATAGACTTCTTTGAACTACAGAATCCCAACTCTGTCCTTGTAGATATTACCTCCTATGTCTTTCCCTAATCCTTACATATATATTGCAGCCCAAATTAACAAAACTGTGTCCACATTTGATGCTGACGTGACTCCAGAATTGAGGAAGCAGGCTGAAGCTACTGTAGGAAAATTGTAATGAAAACACTTTAAAGAAACTTAGTTCTTAGTTAATAGTTGTAAATAATTCATTGATTTAAATACACATTATAAGGAGCTAAAGGTTGGGCACAGTGGTTCATGTCTGTAATCCCAGCATTTTGGGATACCTAGGCAAATATCTCTTGAGTCCAGGAGTTTGAGACCATCCTCGGCAACATAGCGAGACAACATCTCTACAAAAAATTGGGAAATTAGCTGGGTATGATGGCTGACAACTGCAGTTCCAGCTACTCGGGAGGCTGTGGCAGGAGGATCACTTGAGCGTGGGAGGTTGAGGCTGCAGTGAGCTATGATTGTGCCACTGCACTCCAGCCTGGGCAAAAGAGTGAGATCCTGTCTCAAAAAAGGAAAGAAATAATGAGCTAAAGATCTTCAGTCCATGTGTAGATTTAATAAACATGATAACCCAAAGGATACCAGGTCTGTCTCCATCATGGAGGTCAGGTAATCCTAACCTAGACAAAATCTAACTGAATTCTCCTTTGCCTTACATTTCTTCCTCCTCTGTAGGGCAAAAAACAGTTGGTAAATGACCTTCAGATACATAGTTTTCTAGATGAGCTTTCCAAAGGGAAGGCTTTGTACTGCTGGTGTTAGCATTAGATGATTGTAGGTTGTACTGAAAGCTTCATTAGACTTTTGAATTAAATTAATGTGTATTTTTAAATATAAACCAACGCATCTAACATATGATTTCAAAGATCTTGTGCCCTAAAAGGAGGCTAATTAAAAGAAGATCTACATAAAGATGACTTACAAAAAAAGTTTGAGTCAATAATAATGTAGATGTGGAAGTATCTGGAACTTACTTCATGATCATTCACAGAAGTTGTACCCAAATGACCAAAGCTTAGGACACACTGCCACCAGTCTCAGTCCCAAGGCTTCTCCTCCTAGGTTCCCCCTACCCTGAAAAGCTCCTGATGTTTTACAGTTGTGTTCCTAGGAAACAGTTTTGAACCCCTGTTTTAAAGTAGTAATAACATTGCTTTAGCATAAAATACATGCAAATACTATCTTCCTTACATTCTTTCATCACTACAGTTGGCTACATTTCTAAAAGCCTCTCCTCTTCCTTCTTCCACTGATCAGATACTGATCTGACACTACATAATATGAAAAGAAGAAAGGAAAATACATATATTCCTGAAAAGCAATAATATTCAAGTTTATATTGGAAATAAGCCTGTGGCCACTGGGAACAAGGGGCGGGGGGAGGGGGGGGTTGCTCATCAAAACACAACCTGTAATGTTTCAATAATCCAGAGCTAGAAAACAGCCTGACCATCTCATTCAATTAGGTCTCCAAACATGTTTTATTATATAATACTATTGGTTAAAAAAAATTGAACACAAACCCAAACTACTTCTACGTATGTCTGCATATTCATTCATAAATTATATACCTGCCAATATATTACATACATTATAAAGCATACCCAAATATGGATATGTAACAGGATAAGACCGGATGCTAAACCTGGGGGGTGAAAGTCTGATAAGGAACAAAATATTTACATAACCTCAGTGTCTCCTACAAATTACTTAATTGAAAAGGGAAATGTGTGATGAAAACTGGAAGGCCACTTTCACCAAATGACCAAAGTTGACACTGCTAGTCATGAGATAAATAGACATCACATGCACTGTGAAACACACATCATTTCTGTGGTATTCCTGCCAAAAATGTACACTCTATATCTAATCATACAGACCAAATCAAATTCAGGGAAATTCTACAAAATTGTTAACCTGTATCTTTAAAAATGTTAAGAACTCCTCCGTATTTAAAGAAACCAAAAAAAAAAAAAAAAAAAAGAAAATGACAACACAGGCAATGTGCTATTCTGAACTGAAAAAAAAATAGTTTTGAAGAACATTATTGGGAAATTGATGCAATTTGAATATGGACTGTGAATTAAATAATAATAATATATCAATGCTAAATTTCTTGATTTTAATTATTATACCATGGTTAAATGAGAGAATGTTATTGTTTTAGACTATACTTACTGAAGTGTTTAGGGCAATGTGGAGCATGATGACACACATATATGCATACGTATACATACATGTATTTACACACATATATACATACACATATGTATATATGTATATGTGTGTGTATGAGAGAAAGAAAACCCCAGTACTGTCGTGGGAGGAAGAATAAGGCACAACTGGGGAAAGTTTAGTAACTGGTGAATCCAGTAAAGGATATATGGGAGTGTTGTTTTTTTTTTTTTTTTTTTTTTTGAGATGGAGTCTCACTCTGTCACCCAGACTGGAGTGCGGTGGCGTGATGTCGGCTCACTTCAACCTCTGCCTCCTGGGATCAAGCGATTCTCCTGCCTCAGCCTCGCGAGTAGCTGGGACTACAGGTGTGTGCGCCACACTTGGCTAATTTTTGTATTTTTAGTAGAGATGGGGTTTCACCATGTTGACTAAGCTGGTCCTGACCTCAGGTGATCCTCCCGCCTCAGCCTCCCAAAGTGCTGGGATTACAGGCGTGAACCACCACGCCCGGTTGGGAGTTCTCTATACTACTTTTGCAATTTTTCTCTAAGTTTGAAACTATCAAAATGCAGTTATCCTGAAAAAAAGACAAGGAGTAAATAAGGATAAAAGTTCTAGTATTTTCTTCCTGCACCCAATGGCCTGCCTTGGATACCCACTTTGGTGTCCACTGAGCAAAACCAGATGTTAGAAAGTGTCCAAAACTGGAAGATAAGGTACATCACTGATACGCATATAAACAAAGTTCCTTTGGGCTGTTACTGATTTTTGGATCTTCCATGCTGTTTAGAATAGAATAGGCTCACAATAAATACTTACTGAATAAATAATTGAAGAAAAAGGTAGCTCAGAGATACAGTAATTTATGTTTTAAAAATGAGGAAATAGAAACTGAAAGTGCTCCATTTAAAGGAAAAAGTCACACAGCTAATAAGAGTGAGCCAGAAATCAAGCCTATCTTCTGATTAAATGTTTAGAGTTTTGTGTCCCTAAGCATAGCTTAGGTAGTAAATGTCAATAATTAAATATTAATTAGTAAAATTCCTCATGTAATTATTTTTAAACATTAATGAGTAAAGCCTATATAAATTAAAAAAAAAAAAAAAAGAGGCAGGCACAGAGGCTCACACCTGTAATTCCAGCACTTTGAGAGGCCGAGGCGGGCAGATCACTTGAGGTCAGGAGTTTGAGACCAGCCTGGCCAACATGGTGAAACCCTGTATCTACCGAAAATACAAAAATTAGCGAGGCATGGTGGTGTGTGCCTGTAATCCCAGCTACTCGGGAGGCTGAGGCAGGAGAATCGCTGGAACCTGGGAGGTGGAGCTGCAGTGAGCCGAGATCACATCACTGCACTCCTGCCTGGGCGACAGAGTGAGACTCCATTCCAAAAAAAAAGAAAAAAAAAAGAGAAAGAGAGAGAGACATGCTTTAAATCCCCTATGCATCAAACAGATCATCTATTCCTGTTCTATTTTTCTCTTCAAATTACTTGTGTCATATAAATGATTTAGGTGGACTTTACTTTCAAATCACAGTCTGGGAGGTGGTGGTAATGGGGATAACAATGGCTATTTCCCTGGCTCCATATCTAACCTCATGTAAAACTCCTGAAGCTATCTGTCATTAATTTTGATTGTCAGAGATAAAAAATCACAAAATCATAGATTTTTACAATTTGAAAGAATAGTCTAAATTATCTAGTCTGATCTTGCATTGGAGAAAGTCAATAATAATTTCTTCTTTACTGGAACCCAGAAGACTCAGCGGATATGTTTCTAAATTAGTGTCATGTATTTGATAAGTAATTATACAGACATCCAATGAAAACTGTCAAAATGTCTATTGTTTCCTGTCCAGGACCTATTTATATAGACATATTTATGCTCATCCATTAGCAATTCATAATTAAACCTTGGCACATCAAGCTACAAAAACAATCTTATAAATAGATGATCTGAAGAACAAATCAATATGTATTATAGGCTAGAATGTGGTTCTGCCTTTGATTTATTGGTTCTATTTGTATCGTTTCCTTCAGTGTAATGTAATATGGGGGTAGAAGACCACAGTTAGAGAGATCTTATTTCTGCAGTCATGAATCTGTAACATAGCTTTCCACATGACGCCATTCAATAGCCTAAAAGGTCATAACTTTGGAGTCCACCATAGCTCATCTGTTGCCTCCATCCTAAGCCACATGCCTGGAAAGGTTTTTAGTTACTAAACAAATAGGGGAAGGGAAAGTCCAAGTCAATTGGTTAAGAAAACTTTCAAACTTTATGGAAATTAATTCCAAAATTAAGGAGATTCTTTACATTGCAGGAGTTTGAGACATGGATCCATCACTGGAATAAATATTTCTCTGTGCTGAGGAGACCACTACAAGGGATCTTGGCCCTTTCAAAGTTAACTAGGGACTTTTATTTGGGAAAGGCAAAATTCTAGACAGTTTGGCCCCAGTGAGCTAAAGAATTTGGGGAAATAATATAATAAAATACCTTTATCATAGGGAGAATTTTACTTTTAAATAGGGATTTAGACTGTATTGTTGGTGGATCTTGAGAGACTTATGTCTGAGTAAAAGCATTCATACGCAGGACAGAAGGAGTCAATGCCTCAAGATGACAGAAAGGATGTCAAAGTCTACCTTCATTTTATCCAGGTGGAGGAATAATAAATGATACTGAACTGAGATTTCCAATGCTCAGTCTAGACTATGTTGTTGAAGCTGTACAAATGCTTAATGCATGAAGAAATGTACTAATATCTATTGGGAAGCAAAGGGCAACACTGCACCCGTGCAGGAGGAAGTCAGACTTGCTCCAAAGCAGGATTTCTCATCCTTGGTACAACTGACATTGTGGGCCAGGCAATTCTTTGTCGTTGGGCACTGTCTATACATTGGCGTTGTAGGAAGTCTAGCAGCAACCTTGGCCTCACTCACTAGATGTCAATAGCAAACCTACACTCACCAACCAAAAATGTCTCTTAAGTATTGCCAATGTAGGGTGGGGCAGGTGTGGAGAATTTCCTGATTAAGAACCACCACCTAAAGGAAGTGGAGATTCCCACTATCAATCAACCTGACAAGAATTAATCCTGGGACAGGAAGAAAGTGAACAGCAAAAGGTTTCTTCACTCTGCTACCCCAGAGATTGGATTTGAGCCTCTTTCCTCAGCAAGGGAAACCTACTTAAAAGAGCTCTCACTGAGAAGAGTAAATATGCTGTCCCTTTTAACCCACTTAATGCCTGAGGTTGCAATTTTTTGAATTTGAAAAATCAGATCTTGGCAATGACCTTGAGCAGTAGGATATAAATAACTCCCACATTTAGTGTTCCAATAATGGAACACTAGGCATAAATTTAATATAGTTTCGGGCAGACAATTAGGTGTAGAAATACTTGGGAATGAAATTCCCATTAAATGACTGGGCTGCACCTAATTATGTGGTGTAAAATACCCAAATCATTGTGATTGGGGCATTAACAGCTTAAACTCACAGCCTGATGGCATCTGGGATACTGAAATTTCACAAAAACCTAAGTACTAAAATGAAAGAATACCTTTGGCTACATCTCTGTCTCCATAAACAAAGTAAAGAACTGAGGCAGGCCTTTGCTCTTCTACTCATTTGCTCAGCAAGTATTTATTGAAAGTCTGTTACAAGCCAGGCACCGTCTTCTATTCTTGCTAGCCAAGTCAGTCTTGGGAAGTGCATCTCCACAGCTGGAAAATGAACTCAAATCTCATATCTTACCCAGAAGGCATCTTACTCATATCAGACATCATAGGAAAGAGAAGATAGAACTTTTCCCCACATTACTATATATCCTGCAAACACTTGTGGAGAAATGTCTCCATTTACTGTGTATTTATGTTAATGAAAATGTAATTTCTGGAGGCTGAGTAAATATTTAAGAAAAATATCTTAGGTATATAAAAGTGAGGTTTGGTTTTCAGTGTTACCCTGCTGTGGAATCCTTTTGCAAAGAAAGTCATACCCTGAAGGGATGCAAATAAAAGGGATAAAATTGGTCCTTCTCTGCCGGGCGTGGTGGTTCACAACTGTAATCCCAGCACTTTGGGAGGCCAGGTGGGCGGACCACGAGGTCAGGAGATCAAGACCATCCTGGCTAACATGGCGAAACCCCATCTCTACTAAAAATACAAAAAATTAGCTGGGTATGGTGGCGGGCGCCTGTAGTCCCAGCTACGTGGGAGGCTGAAGCAGGAGAATGGCATGAACCGGGGAGATGGAGCTTGCAGTGAGCCGAGATCGCGCCACTGCATTCCAGCCTGGGTGACAGAGCAAGACTCTATCTCAAAAAAAAAAAAAAAAAAAAAAAATTGGTCCTTCTCTGGTTGATCTTGGTACAGTCCCCTGCCTGACACCCTCTCCCTCCCGAATCTGTGAGAGACTCCTCAGAACACAGTTTAAAAGCCTCTCCCTTTGGGAATATCCTAAAGAAATAAATCCTTCTGGTTAAACATAAAAAAAAAAACTTAAAATCTCCTGTTATTAGAAATCTCAGAATAAATATGACTAAAAACAAATCAAAATTGCACTAATTTTAATTTATGCCTTTGCAAATTACATATGCACCCTTTTGCCCCATCCTGATATGTTCCCCTAGATGAGATGTTACTCCCCAATCATCATTTTATACATTTTAAAAAGACATGACAATATAAGTCTCACATTGATTTTGATAGCCTCATATGAAAACCCCTTTCTGATGTTTTGCCTGAACACACTAAAATTATGTAACATTTTTCACCTCAGAAACAAAAAGACAACCAAATTAAAAAATGGGCAAAAGATCTTTGAGATATTTCTCCAAGAAAAGATAGAAATGGCCAATGAAGCACAGGAGAACCTGTGTAACATCATTAGCCATCAGAGAACTGTAAATCAAAACCACAATGACATATTGTTTCACACCCACTACAGATGGCTAGAATCTAAAAGGCACAAGAAGTGTTGGCAAAGATGTGGAAAAATTGGAACCTTGATACACTGCTGGCAAGAATATAAAATGTCAACCCGTTTGAAAACAATCTGGCAGTTCCTCAAAAGGTTACACATTGAGTTATAATATGAGCCAACAATTCTACTGCTAGGAACCTACTCAAGAGAATTGAAAACATAGGTCTACCTCAAAAATTGTACACAAATGTTTATAGCAGCGTTATTCACAATAGCCAAGAAGTGCAAACAACCGATTAAATGTCCATTAGCCTATGAAAGGATAAAATATTATATATTCATACAATGGAATATTATTCAGCAATAAAAAGAATGAAGTACTGATGCATGATACAAAGTGGATGAACCTTAAAAACATTATACTAAGTGAAAAAAGCCAATCACAAAAGATTACATATTATATGATTCCATTTGTATGAAATGTCCAAAATAAGCAAATCCATAGAGACAGAAAGTAGATTATTGGTTGCCAAAGTCCAGAAGTCAAGGGTCAGTGGGGCGTAACTGCCAAAGAGTGCCAGATTTATTTCTGGGGTGAAGGAAATGTGAAGTTGGTGATGGTTGCACAACTCTGTGAATATACTGAAAACCACCGAATTGCAATAGCCAGGGTATAGGATCAACCTACGTGTCCAAGTGTCCATCAGCAGAAGAATAGATTTTTTAATGTGATATATCTATACAATGGAATACTACTCAGCCATTTTAAAAAATGAAATCCTGTCATTTGCAACAACATGGATGAACCTGGAGGACATGATGTTAAATGAAATAAGTGAGGCACAGAAGGACAAAGACCACACAATCACGCTCCTATGTGGAATCTAAAAAAGTTGATCTCATTGATGTAGAGAGTAGAATAGTGATTACCAGAGGTTGGGGAGGGTGGTAGGAAGAGGGGTATGGGGAGGGGTTATTCAGTGAGTACATAGTTACAGTTAGACAGGAGGAATAACTTCTGGTGTTCTCCTGCACAGTAGGGTGACTGTAGTTAACAATGATGTACACTTCAAAATAGCTAAAAGAGAGGATTTTGAATGTTCTCACCACAAAGATATGACAAATGTTTGAGGAGATGAATACGCTAATTACACTGATTTGATCATTACACAATGTGTCCATGTATGAAAACATTACACTAGACCCCATAACTAAGTACAATTACTACATGTCAATTAAAAACAAATAAAACTGGCCAGGCGCATGGCTCATGCCTGTAATCCCAGCACTTTAGCAGCCCGATCACTTGAGGCCAGGAGTTTGAGACCAGCCTGGCCAACATGGTGAAACCCTGACTCTACTAAAAATATAACAATTAGCCCAGAGTGGTGGCACACACCTGTAATCCCAGCTACTCGGGGAGCTGAGGTAGGAGGATCGCTTGAACCTGGGAGGCAGAGGTTGCAGTGAGCCAAGATCGCACTGCTGCACTGCAGCCTGGGAGACTGAGCAAGACTGTCTCAGAAAAATAAAATAAAATAAAATTGTTTATAAAAATATATATAACATGAGGATGCAAAGACATAAGGATAATACAATGGACTTTGGGGACTCGGGAAAGGGTGGGAGAGGAGTGAGGAATAAAAGAATATACATTGTGTACAGTGTACCCTGCTTGGGTGACAGGTGTACCAAAATCTCAGAAATCATCACTAAAGAACTTATTCATGTAACCAAGCACCACCTGTGCCCCAAAAACATATTGAAATTAAAAAATAAAAATTAAAATGAATAAATAAAACATTCTTCAATCTGACTTTTCTAAGAGTCTGTCTATTTTTCTGACATTTCAGTTAATCTTCTAAACACCAAAGTACCCAATACAATATTTCATACCAAAAAAATAAATAAGTGGTTTCTCTACTGGATGAGATAAAATGCTTTATCTGGAACAAAGCAAACTTTACAGTTGATTGTAGCTTAATAATATACTTTTAAAAATTTCTGTCAAACAATTTGGTAATAGATTTCATTTTTTTATTTTATTTTTTCTAAATTTGGTGATAGATTTCAAAAGCCATAAAATGTCTATATCTCATTTCAATGACTTTCATATTACATACACAAAAAGCTAGGTATGTTGTAGAAAAATGCTTATAATATTTACGGAAAAAATCATGTTATACATTCCACGTTACTGTATATGCAATTATATTAAAATGTCTATTCACATGCAAAAGGCCTAGAAAGAATTAGATAAAAATGATAGCAGGAGTTCTTTAAAGATATCAGAATTCTTGGTAATTTTTCAAAGCTTTCAAGAAAGTCCTTCCCACCTTTTTCACACGGAGAAGAAAAAAAAAATCAGTAAAAATATAACAAACCTCTCGTACATCATTGGTCATAAGCCAGAAGCGATTCTTTAAATTGGATTCAGCCAATGCTGAGTTTATAATCCTAGAAAATGTTTGACTCTCTTTCTCCATCCAACAGATATGATTTAAAATAACAGTTTCAGCAACTCTTCTCATCACGCCTCTTAAGACAAATTCTCCCAAACTTGATCCAGGGAGACCTCCTCTGGAGATGAGAGAGAAGTTCAGTTTGGAGTTCAAACCTTAAGCAGTGTCTGAACGACTCCAATAAAGAAAAACTGTCTTTTAAAATACCTTAGTTAGCGTCTCTCTTTGCATCTAGCTTACGCCAGCCAAGCTAGAGGCAACATAATCAGCTACACTTTATGAAATAATGAGAAAGAAATTCTCAACAGAATCATCAAAAAATGGAGAGCTAACTACTTGGGTCAAATTCACTTGGCCCAATATATCTTGCTTGAAAATAAAGACTGTTTGGGAAAAGACATGTTGCAAAATGAATTTCCACTTCAGTAAAGTCTTAATGAAAATAACGATCATTAACAATCCTTGGAAAACCAAGCTCATGTATTTATAAATATAAGATATTACCATATTTCCCAATTTAACAATGTATCCTAGCAGTTTGTTTTTTTTTTTTAAATGGAGTCTCGCACTGTCACCCGGGCTGGAGTGCAATGGTGTGATCTAGGCTCACTGCAACCTCCACCTCCCGAGTTCGAGCAATTTTCCTCCTAGCAGTCCTTTATTGCTGATATTGACTCTGTAATACCAGCACTTTGGGCGGCTGACGTGGAAGGATTGCTGTAGGTCAGGAGTTTGAGACCAGCCTGGGCAACATAGCAAGATGCCATCTCTTTAAAAAAATTTTTTTAATTAACTGGGCATGCTGGCATGCACCTGTCGTCCCAGCTATTCAAGAGGCTGAGGTGGGAGAGTTGCTTGAGCTCAGGGGGTTGAGGCTGCAGTGAGCTATGATTGCATCACTGCACTCCAGCCTGGGTGACAGGGCAAGACTTTGTCTCAAAAAAAAAAAAAAAAAAAAGGAAGAAAGGGGCCTGTTAGGCCAAGAGCTTGGTGTGAACAGGGGCTCAGTGACTGGAGGACCCACCTCCTGCCCCGGGAGAAGTGAGGAGGCCAATGTAGCTGAAGTTGAGGGATGAGATTGGAAGTTCTACAGAGGTTCCAAGGCATCCCCAGGGAGGTCTTGAAATCTATGCCAAGAACTGGCTGTCATTTTCTAGCAACAAGAAACCCTAGGCAGGGAAACTAGTTACAATATTGCATCAACCAAGATCTCAAGTAATAAGTCCCAAGCCCAAATGGTAGAAGTGAGAATGAAGAAAAAGGAACTTGAGACTTTACGAAAAAGAAAATATATATATAATGAAAGAATTTGGCCTTGGCCCTACATCTAGCCAATTATTTAGGGAGACACTTCAAGTACTTTGGGGAAGGAAACAAGATGAGTTCTGCAGAAACACACACAGGCATATAAGTAATTAAGGAGGGGGTCCGGCCCACTTGTATGTGGTCTGGAAGGTTGTATAAAATACCTCCACTAGCCTGCTAGCCATGTTACTTCTAGAAGTTGACTTTTCCTTTTTTTATTTTTTATTTTTATTTTTTTGAGACAGTCTCACTCCGTCACCCAGGCTGGAATGCAGTGGCGTGATCTTGGCTCACTGCAACCTCCGCCTACTGGGTTCAAGCAATTCTCATGACTCAGCCTCTTGAGTAGCTGCGATTACAGGCACGTGCTATCTACCACACCCGACTAATTTTTTTGTATTTTTAGTAGAGACAGGGCTTTGCCATGTTGGCCAGGCTAGTCTCAAACTCCTGACCTCAGGTGATCCGCCTGCCTTTCCTCCCAAAGTGCTGGGATTACAGGTGTGAGCCTCTGCGCCTGGCCCCTTTTTTCATTTTAATATTGTTGTAGTGGTACCCAGAGTTATCATTGCTTTCAATGTAAACAGTAAGGATATGTTTCAAACATTAGATAGGAGTCACTCTCATGTCATTATCCTACCATATCATTTTTTTTTTTTTTTTGAGACAGAGTTTTGCTCTTGTTGCCCAGGCTGGAGTGCAATGGCACGATCTCAGCTCCCTGTAACCTTCACCTCCTGGGTTCAAGCGATTCTCCTGCCTCAGCCTCCCGAGTAGCTGGGATTACATGCGCCCACCACTACACCAGGCTAATTTTTGTATTTTTTAGTAGAGACAGGGTTTTGCCATGTTGGCCAGGCTGGTCTCGAACTCCTGACCTCAGGTGATCTGCCTGCCTCGGCCTCCCAAAGTGCTGAAATTACAGGTGTGAGACACTGCGTCTGGCCCCTACCATATTTTTTTTAATGCAACATAAAAAAAACTTACAGAACATGTAATTTAGGGGATGAGTATTGCATTTCCAAAAAAAAAAAAGCTACACATAAATTTAATTTAAATAACAAAGTCCTCCAGTACCTTCAGTCTGAAGAGTTTATAAATAGAGACATAATTACTGAGGATTTTTCTATCATACCACCACACTTCACACACACACACCAGAAGATACATTTACAGGCTATTCGTCATATAGATCTTCTTTGACTTCAATATGGATCACATGATTAATAATCCTCAATTCCTTCATGAAATTTTTTGTAGGACTCCAACTGTGTGTAATCATGCAATCTGAGTATTCCAAGCAACTTTATCAAAACTCTTAGAACAAAAAGAAAATAGTCAGACATGGAAGAGAAAATTTGTATTTGTGACCTCCTAATAAACATCTTTTAATCCCCTGTAGCCAAAAGTCTAGATACAATTTTATGTTTGAAGCATGGCAAACCAAGCAAGGAAGGAAGGGTTTGTAAGGTACTAACTGAGGTTTTGCAGAAGTCTGGCCCCAAAACCCATACTGTCCACCATCATGCTATACTGTCCGACCACCATTCTGGGAGTCTCAAAAAAATTGTAAGGATTTCACAAACTTCTCAACACAAAATATATTTCATTCGCTTTTTGTAAAAATTAAATTTTGTGTGTGTGTGTATTTTTATTATACCACCACACTTCACATACACACACCAGAAGATACATTTATTCACAGGCTATTGATTATATAAATCTTCCTTTGACTTCAATACTGGTCACATTATTAATAATCTTTAATTCCTTTATGAAATTTCATATCTATATTAATGAAAATAATAATCATTAATAACCCTTGGAAAACCAACCTCATGTATTTATAAATATAAGATATAATCATATTTCCTAATTTAACAATTCATCTTAGCAGCCCTTTATTGCTGATATTGACTCTGTAATACCAGCACTTTGGGAGGCCAAGGTTGGAGGATTGCTTGAGGTCAGAAGTTTGAGACAAGCCTGGGCAAGATAACAAGATCCCATCTGTAAAAAAAAAATTGTTTTTTTTGAGATAGAGTCTCACTCTGTTGCCCAGGCTGAAGTATAGTGGCACGTGATCTCAGCTCACTGCAACCTCTGCCTCCCAGGTTCAAGCGATTCTCCTGCCTCAGCCTCCCGAGTAGCTGGGATTACAGGTGCCCGCCACCACACCCGGCTAATTTTTGTATTTTTAGTAGAGACAGGGTTTCACCATGTTGGCCAGGCTGTTCTCAAATCCTGACCTCAGGTGATCTACCAGCCTCGGCCTCCTAAAGTGCTGGGATTATAGGCGTGGGCCACTGCGCCCGGCCCCCACAAAATATTTTTTAATTAGCTGAGCATGGTAGCATGTTTATTTCTTCTCCCCTTCCTTTTATTAGGGTGACACGTGATATATAAGAAATAAAGAATCACAATATGTTTGTGTTCTGTTTCACACATCAACAATAATTTACTCAGCCTCTAGGTGCCACATATCATACCAGGCTCCAGGAATCTGATGGTGACAACACCTGACTATCAGTGCTTTTATGGCACTTACCACCTAGTAGGAGATGTAATCAAAAGGAGATCTAATCAAAAGATCCTAGTAATCAAGATATCTCGTTAATAAATGGGAAATCCCAACCAGCTAGTACTGTGAAGGAAAGGTGTCTACTCTGAAGCTTTGCAAGTATAAAAGAATGGGATTCACTGGGGTAGGCACTGGCGGAATCAAGTGCAATTAAAAAGAAGGATCCAGAAACAAAAAGTTATGAGTGAGTAAAATCAGAATGCTTTAATTAATAGAACTGTATAATTCCCTATAGCAGAACTGTAATAGTAATAAAAGCTATCAAGATAAAAACTTACCCTACTATAAAATGTAGTCAGTCAACTAAAACGTTTACATTATTTTGAAGAGCTATCCCAGTGGCTTCTTCACGTGATGTGGGAATGCCATCATTTAAGCAGAAATTAAAATTCACACCAAGCCACAGTGCTCTGCAGCCTCTGGGCACATTTACGGAAAACATAGTGTGGTTTTGGGTGGTATTTTGGCATTTTTAATTTCATGAACTAAA
The DNA here is from genome assembly GCF_000001405.40 of Homo sapiens. Lineage (NCBI taxonomy): Eukaryota > Metazoa > Chordata > Mammalia > Primates > Hominidae > Homo > Homo sapiens. The sequence continues at coordinate 254,166 of NW_025791813.1, read as the reverse complement.
ATGTCTTATTTAAAAAATTAAGTTTTGAGTAGGAAGCATTCCTGGTATTCCTTTTGCTACTCCATAAAGCACTTAATCTCCAATAGCACCACTTGAATCATTGCTGTAACCCCCTTGCCTCCCTGTCATCCTCACACTCAGCCTGTCCCCTGCCCATTGCCCCTGGTCCTTGCCCAGTAGGCAGTGCTCAGATGTAGAGTGAGGGGGGTAGGTACTTACTTCCTTTGCTCAAGCAGGGTGATTTCCTTTTTGACCTCATGGTATTCTTCTGCTATTTGGCAGTGCTGTTTGAACACCTCCATGGATTCCTCGGAGTCATGACAAGGCGGCAGGGGCTTCACAAACAACAAGAAGAAATTAGTCCATTTCTTTGCATCAGGATAAATTACCAACCATTTTGCTCGCTGATGTTCTTTAAACGAAGGTTTTTTCTTCTTCTTTTTTTTTTTTAACGTGAGAACAGCATTGTCAGTCAACATTCAACAGAGTTCAGCTGATTCTATTTGACTGAAAATAGAGAGGTGGACAGATAGTCTCCACATTCATCTCCCAGTGTCATTCATGGGCATCTCAGGCCTGAGCCAGAGCCCTGAAATCCATTACATGTCAGTTACCTGCCTTGTGATGGAGTAAAAATAAGTCTCCAAAGGATTCTACCGTACTCCCCGGAAATCTTAGACTTTGCTTTAGAGAAGAGCAGTGGTGGGGAAATAGTTCAGTTGTCTGTTTCAATTATCCCTTGCTTTCTGTTTCTGTAGCCAGGAGGTATAATCTCATCTTGCAGAGTAGAGAAGAAAAGCTCTCTTCTGAGAAATGCATTTGGGCTAAAGAAAGATGCTGAGCCAGAAATAATGCTTGCAAGGATTAAGCAACCTGTAAGAAAGGCCGGATCTCCCTCCCCCTAAAAAAAAACCATCCCTATAAGATTCATGTTTCTCTTTTTCTCCCATCCATGAAAGAAGCAAAGGCCAGCGTGGCAAGCCTTTCTGACCGCAACATGGTGAAAACCCTACTTCTAGGAATTATTTTTAAAGAACGAGTTTTCCCCAAGTTTATTTTTCTAATTTCTTGTTTAGCAATGCGTGATTAAAAGTACTACTTTTAGGCCAGGTGGATCACTTGAGGCCAGGCATTCGAGACCAGCCTGGTCAACGTGATGAAAACCCATCTCTACTAAAAATACAAAAATTTGCCAGGCATGGCGGGGCCCACCTGTAGTCCCAGCTACTTAGGAGACTGAAGCAGGAGAATCGCTTGAACCCAGGAGGTGGAGGTTGCAGTGAGCCGAGATCATGCCACTGTACTCCAGCCTGGGTGACAGAGTGAGACTCCATTGCAAAAAAAAAAAAAAAAAAAAAGTACTACTTTTAGGAATACTAGTTAAGAGTTTTTTTTTAAATCACCCTTTTCAATTATATATAGAAAAAAGTAAATAAAATCTGAGAAATATCAGTTTATTGTGAAATAGGCTCTTCAATCTTATCCTTTCTTCACAATGGTCTCTCTCTATATATAAACTATGTATCTGACAAGGTCATATTGTCACTAATTTTATATTAGGAAATTGAGAACTAATGAATTTTTTACTATTTGTTCCTCTCATTATATTCTTCAAGGACACAGATTTCTGTGGGTGTCATATTTATTTCTGTGATCCCTCCCATGATGTAATAGAAATTCAATAAAGTTTACTGTCTGATTGATAGATAAGATGACATTCCCTATGTATCATGAGGCCTCTGAGTAGAGATGTTTAAAGGAAATAAAATTCTAAATAGATTTAGGTCAAATTTACCTTCACGTGGAACATCTGTTATGTCCCAGTTCATGGAAAATCTCATAATAATCATATTAGGTAGCACCTTTCTCTGCTGCCCATGAACACATTCACAGCATAAACTCAGACTGTTGGAACCATCATCCCTTTCTATACGGGATTCAATTGAAAAATAACGCACAGTAGTACTACAGTATAACTCGCCCCATGAGATAAAGCTATTGCCAAAGGAATTCAGAACTCCTGGCTCCTCCAGTCTGTGCCCCAGAAATCGCTACCCACTCATCAATTTTCACCTGTTACACTGGCAACTTACCAGGTATAACAGTAAGGGGAATGAAAGCAATTTATTCTGGGCACCATAGCCAAGCTGTTGAATCATCTGTGCCCTGTTAAAGGATTTGCCTCCTGGAAGGCCCTAAGACTCTACACATCAGATCCTGTCCTTACAAACACCACACAGGCTATACTCAGTTGAAACAAGAGCTCAGTACGTGTAGGTACCTGAACCATGAATTCAGCACAGTTAACTATGTGGCAGCGAAAAAGTTCTAGAACTCTACATAAAGGATTCACAACTTTAAGATAACATAGAGAGCAGCCGTGTAAAGGGAGATATGTCTTTTGCTGCTGTAATTTAAAAGGAAAACTGAAAAGTACATTAATAACTTTCTTAAGAAGGGAGAGGCCTTCCCTGCCTCACCCCCAGCTTACCACCTGTAATGATTTTTACTAAGTGGGAAATGTTGTCATTTGTTCTTTTTTTACTACTGGCACCTCTTAATTGTGGGAAATTCAAGATGTTGTTATCTATAGGTAGAGCGATCATGCCACTAAGCATATGTGATGATAGGTAGTACATATTTCAAGATATCCACACGTGCTTTCAGCAGCATGATCATGCTATCTATACATAATAATATTTTCAAGACTTCCCATCATAAAGAAGGGACAATCAAAAAAGAATAAGCCTAAAATACTTTGTATCCAGTTTTCAGGGAGTACAAAGATTCCAGGGGTCACTTCAGCCTCTGGATCCTAAAAACTAAGCCTTCAACTTGACATAAAACTCAGCACCACTTCAAATGTTCCAAGTTTGTATGAAAACATTAAAGAGCAATATAGATTTCTATTTTTTAAGTAAAGAGGAAGGTTATATTGCATAACCCACCAAAACATTGTAAAATTCTCTCATTTGTTGCCATAGGAAGAGGGAAATAAGGAATTGTTGTTTAATGGGTACAGACTTTCTATTTTGCAAGATGAAAAAGTTCTGGAGATCGGTTGCACAACAATGTGAATATACTTAACACTACCAAACTGTACACTTAGAAATGGTTAAGATGGTAAATTTTACCATATGCGTTTTTACCCATAATAAGAAAAAAATCAATGCAAAAAAAATTATTTCATTAAACCTTTCTGCTGTCTCTAGCCCATCTTCTAAGCAGTGCTACCAGGGTTACCTAGGAGAGGCTGACTCCATTTGTACTCAATCTTTTGCTCTTTCCCAAATTTCTCCCCAGAGAACTTCAAATTTCTCACCCCTTTATAATCTCGAGCCATTCACTGGTAACCCCAAACATTGTTGAGCAAATCAAAGTGCTCTCCGGTCAACGGAATCTACTGTTCTTAGAGGGCAGTTGACATCATTGGCCATTTACCCCAGCCAGGAAACTGATCAAAGAATTTGCTTAAATATATATGGTTCTTGTCCCAGCAGGAATTCTGGTGAATACAAGTATTAAGATATTCAGGTTTTATACCTAATACAAAAAGTGGCACTATAGAATAATGTGATGTGTTGTTCCATGTAGGATGGAATAACTCTCATTGCTTTGTGATATAATGTGTGTATGTATGTTGTATCATCAGGTCCTGACTGAGGGTAATCCTCTCTTACCTTACCTTTTGAGAGGTAATCCCTCAAAATAAGAGACAATATATGGCCAACAGTATTAATCAAACACAAGCTTCTGCCTGAGGAAATCGATTCTTAGAATTCAAGAATCAGGTTTCCAGTTTAAAAATGGAGTGTCAGTACGCTTAAGTAACATGACATGTAAAACACTGGCACTCATGAATTAACTGGCTGTACGTGGGTTTATGTAACACATGCTCAAATTAAAAACTGTAAAATAACTTAAAAGAATACCTGTGGGTAACTAGATGAGAAAACATCTATTAACTTCTTGGAATAAAAGAAACACTATTTCAGTTCTCATTGCTTGATTTTGACTATTCTTGTCAGAGAGATTTTCATAGTTATAAGCCCATGCTGGGAATGGATGTACGATAAATAAACTCTTAATGTTGATAGTTAATTATTTTTCACATCAGGAGGAAAAAAATTCCCTTGTTATTTTCTCCACAATGATGCTACATCCTCCAATTTTGGATACACTTATCCCACCTTCCTGCTTAAAGAATGAAATATTGCACTCCAAAGAAAAGGAATCCAAAGATAGTTGAGTTGATAAATTGAAGAATAAAGATACTGCTAATGTACTAGAGCACAAATTCTGTGCGGTCACAGCAGCAGCTTTTCAGATGCACTCCCTGCCATCGTATCTGGTTTACTATACAACGCAGCCAGTTCTTAGGAGGTGAAATTAACACCTTCTCCTAACAGCGCCTCAAGCCAACTTTGAAACACATGTTTCCAAGACACAGACTGGGGCTTGGGTGAGGTCACAGCCCAGGAGGAGATACTTCCTCCTCGCCCACTTTTCCTCCATCTCCGCCTCCTCCCGCTGCCGCCTGAGGATGGAGCTCGCAAGGGCTTAATATTTCATGGCAGTGCAGCGTGAAGGAGCTGCTGCTATCTCTGGTATCCGCCCCAATTATCAGGACCGATTTAACAAGATGAAGTAAGAGAGAAACCGCAGGGTCCGGTTCCAAGAATGCCGGCTTGAGCCACACGGTGCTATGGTGCTGTTCTGCTCTCTGCCTGAGCTTGCCGGTTCATAGCAAGCTCCTCCCGAAGTGGATTCCACTCCCTGGAACAGACCCCATGGGGAAGGACCCAGCCAAGCCACCCTCAGCTAGGAGCAAAGCCGGCTCGGGCGTTTCCGTTTTCTATTTGGCTTCTGCGAATACTACTGGCCCCATCCTCTTCAAAAATGTCAGAATTTAATTTTCCTATCCCAGCTTCCCACACAGGAGATATATTTAGGAAGCTAAACATTCTACACTCGCTGAGCACTCTTTGTATTTATTCCTTGATTCTCAGGGTTACCTACTTTTGGGAAAGATGGGGGTGTCTGATTTAAATTTACATTACATTGTAATGTCTTAAAATTAACAAGCATCGTTTGTTAAAACTGAGAGGAAAAACACAGTCCATGCTGATTTCGATATTTAAGAACTCTATTATCTTAGAACTTTAAATATTTTAAGAAATGACATTTATATAGTATCTACATTACAGTACAAGTTGAGCACTATCAATTATACTACAGAACTTATACATCATGTTACACTGGAGTAAAGTATATTTAAGTCATTTCTGTTGACATAAACAATATCAAAAGGAGAAAGAACACAAGAGTAGCAAACTTTTTGAACAAGCCATACCTAAATGACAACTGAGCTTCTCAAAACAAACAAAAAATTAAAGGCATTATTGAAAAGCTCCAAAGTATCTATATATGTTTTCTGTGTGGACACAGCAATCAAAGAAAAATTGCAGTATACAATACTTTTCAATGTGTGTATGAGAGAAAATGTCAGCTACGTCTGGTGCTTTCTATGAGAATATACCCTAACCACATTTCCAGATGGATGTTAAAGACCAGTGTAGCAGAATCCTGGAAGGCTAGACTTCTTCATTTTCTATCATTTTCATTTCCCAGATGTCAAGCAATATATTGATGCAAAATCTAAAAGAAGTTTTCGGAGAGGCTGCTTGGATAACAGGATATTATGGTACACAACTGAAGCTACGAAATTGTTTATTTGTGGAGGTGACATCAGTTTCTGGACTTATCAGACTCTGTTAGTTCAGTGTGTACCACAGAGACACCTGTCACTGTCATCTCAGATTAGATAGGAGGACTTTAAGGAGGGATTGAAGCTATTGCTCAATTTGGTTAAAAAAAAAAAAAAGTCATATTGTTCTCGAAGCACCTTGGCTTAATGAAAAGAAGAGGGCATCAGAACTTCTATCCCTAACTTAAAAATTCAAGCAGATGCTTTTATTTCATTTTACATGAATAAAAATAAATTACTTATTCTTAAGTATTTCATTCAATAAATAATTTCACCAGAGAATGAAATTTACATTAATTGAGCAATTATTTTGTCAAGGACTGTGCTAGATCTACTCATTACCGTATTTAATTCCCACAACAATGTGAGATTGATATCATTATCTCCACTTTGCAGTTGAGGAAAGTGAGCTTTCAAGAGAGTAAATAACATGCTGGAAATCACAAATTTAGCTGAGATCCAAATCCAGGCCAACCCAATGCTAATGCCCATGCCTTGGTCATTGTCATTCTTATTAGTTATCATGTCCTATACCTGACAATAAAACATATTTCTCATTCCAATGAAGTTAAGACCACGTTATAGCATAGTTTTGGATCATGTGTAAGTCAAATCATGGTTCCAAAAACATAACATGCTTAAGCAGTAAGACAGGCTTGGTCTTGACCCAAACCCTGGGACCATGAAAGGATGCCACCATCTTTTAGAACAGAGAGAGACAAGTCAAACAGAAAGAAGCTGAGACCTGAAGAAAAGTAATGGCTGGGTGTGGTGGTTCACATCTGTAATCTCAGCATTTTGGGAGCCTGAGGTGGGCAGATCCCTTGAGCACAGGAGTTTGAGACCAATCTGGGCAACATGGCAAAACCCCATCTCTACAAAAAATACAAAAATTAGCCAGGTGTGGTGGCATGCACCTGTGGTCCCAGCTACTCAAGAGGCTGGGGTGGGAGGATCACCTGAGCTTGGGGAGGTCGAGGCTGCAGTGAGCCATGATCATGCCACTGCACTCTGGCCTGGGTGACAGAGCAAGACTTTGTCTCAAAACATAAAAAAGAAAGAGAATAGTGATTTTTCATTCATTCTTAGAAATGGACATAGAATTGGGCGTCCTTTCTTCTGACTATATCATCTACACTAGCTCTACTCAAATACTGTCCCTGATGGGCATGGGAAATTTAGAAACCTAGTCCCAAGAAAGGAATCTGCACAAATAGAACTGACCTTCCACCTACTCCTGGACAGAGGCCCAAGGCCCACAAATGAACATTATAAAGAGATATTCATTTTAACACCTACCTTCTCCTGCGGTCTCTTGCTCAATATTTTGCATTAATAGAGACATCAAGAGAAATGTTTTTCACTGCTATTCTTGCACAAGGCTTTTTTTGGCTTCTGTGAAAATAGAAGCACTGCAAATTACATGCTCAAACTTGTCCACATTCTTGGCAAAACAACAGAAAAATCCTGGGGGTCAAATTAGTGATTGAGTGTCTACCAAATAGCTATTTTATAGCAGCATTTTATAAACTACCAAAGCATGTGTAATGGATATCAGAAAGTCAGAACAGATTTTACAAGGTTATTCTATAACTACATTATGGCAATCTTGCAAACCAGAAACAAACAAAAAAAGTTTCCACCTATCAAAGTAATTTAAGCAGCCTGTATATTCCTTAAAAAGCGTAAGGGAAAGAAGGGAATAGTAAATGTATTTAGACCAAAATTTGGCCTCAAGTTTCTCATCTGTAAGGTGGAGACAAAACAGTTAGCTTACTCATTATTGCAAAGATCAAATGAGATCATATGTAGGGAAACACCCCTTGCCTAATAGGTACTCAGTGGCTTCGGTGGGATTTAAATCCGAGGTTTTGCAGAGAACGGGGCTGACAATACCTAGCATCATCTATTTTCCACCAAGAAAATGTTTAAGTCTCTGATAGAGGTAATCAAGACTCAATTCATTCTCAAGCAAATAGTTGCAACCACAAGGCACTTCATATGCCTTTGTAATCCAACTTTTACTCTTCCATAGTGGATGATGATAGTCGATAAAATTCCAAGAGCCATTACTGTGTAATGAAAGCACACGAGACTGACTATAAAGATGGCCTGCTCTGTGTAATAGATTGTTCCTTTTGTACATAAAGCATTTTCACTGCTTTCAATACAGAGACTTCCTGCAACAGAAGGCTTAAATGTATATGCTTACGCTAAGTATAGAAATAAAAATCTGCTTTTAGATGTCATCTTCTATTAGATTTCTCCTCCCAACCATCATCGTCTTGCTGTTTAGTCACTCACGCCCTGGAGTACAGAACAAAGATAACAGGCAACAGCTCTAGACAGAGGCAACCCTACCCAAAAGCCTTGACAACTGGTAAATGTTTGTAACACTCACTCCTATCCTTCATTCAACAAACAAGCACTTACTGAAATGTGTTTGGTTGTATTGCTGGTAACACACTCTCCATTCACAAAGAGATAAAGCACTATCATACTTTAAGGGGGAAAAAAAAATCAAAACCATGAGCCAGAAACTACCCTCTCAACTGCCTAATTCATTAAAGATCAATGAAGATGAAATAGTTTCATTGGAATAAAATAATTAAATAGACTTAATTTCTAACATATGTCAAGTGGAATTAAAGCTATAAAATTCAAATGGACCTGGCAATGCTTTAACAGAAAAATTATCTGGATAATTGCCAGAGCTACTGTGAGTCTTGTGGAGAATGATCCACGAGCCAGAGAAGACCATTAAAGTTCCCAAAGGAAAAAATGTTGTTCCAACACAAAAAAAGTAGAATTAATGATCCATAATTTGATGAGAGAACAATAGCCTGAATATGCTTTTAGTGTTTTATTTTCAAAATATGTTTACTCCTTATTTTCACCTGATTTCCGTGATAATAAAATAGCTTTGACATGACCATAGAATAAAGAGGAAAAAATATGACTAGGGGAAAAAATAGCTATTAGGTTGGTGCAAAAGAAGTTGTAGTTTTTGCCATTACTTTCTTTTTTATTTTTTTGAGACGGAGTCTTGCTCTGTTGCCCAGGCTGGAGTGCAGTGGTACGATCTTGGCTCACAGCAACCTTGGGCTCACTGCAACCTCCGCCTCCTGGTTTCAAGCGATTCTCCTGCCTCAGCCTCCCTAGTAGCTGGGACTATAGGTGTGTGCCACCACACCTGGCTAATTTTTGTATTTTTAGTAGAGATGGGGTTTCACCATATTGACCAGGCTGGTCTTATCCACCCGCCTCAGCCTCCCAAAGTGCTGGGATTACAGGTGTGAGCCACGGCACCGGGCCAATGGCATTACTTTCAATAGCAATCCCAATTACACCACCAGCAGCACATAGACAGCCTCTCTGTGAGAACAGAACCTAAGCAAGAACTATCACTTGCAGTGTCAACAGACCAGAAGAAAATGCAGGCCAGGCGCCGTGGCTCACGCCTGCAATCCTAGCACTTTGGGAGGCTGAGGCGGGCGGATCACTTGAGGTCAGGAGTTTGAGACCAGTCTGGCCAACATGGCAAAACCCCGTCTCTACTAAAAATACAAAAATTATCCGGGCGTGGTGGCACATGCCTGTAATTCCAGCTACTAGGGAGGCTGAGATGGGAGAATCGCTTGAACCCAGGAGGTGGAGTTTGCAGTGAGCCGAGATCACATCACTGCACTCCAGCCTGGGTGACCAAGGGAGACTCTGTCTCAAAAAAAAAAAAAAAAGGAAAGGTAGAGGGAGAGCTGAATTGTTCTTCATGCTGAAAAGAAGACATATTGGTGGGGGTGGGAGTGGGGAAGGGAGAGACTATGGTTAAAAATTAGAAGCCAGGAGAGCTGGGTTGAGAACCCTGCATGGAGGATAGAAAAAAGAGGGAGACGTGATGGCTGATAGCTAGAGAGGAAATTTTAGGGGACGACAGAGCTCTTTTGACAGCTGTGTGGTGATCAGTGTAACCCTCCGACCTCCTATACAATTTTCAGTAATACCTACATAACTGATAATGCTCTGTTGAGCAGCTTTCTGTTGGAAAGCTGAGACAATGCCCAGGACTGCTACAAAGGTGAGAATGAGGACTCCTCCAAGCGGCCAGATCACACCTGAGTCACCCTCAGTTGGTTTTTAGAGACCACCCTGGCAGTAGAACACCAGCTCTTCAAACCTGACCTGGTTGCTGCCAGGTTTTTAACACAGTGCTCTGCATACTGAGGTAAGAACAGAAGCAAACAAAAAGGAACACTATCTTGGCTTGCGGAAGGGCTCATTCTTGGTTCTTCTTCCACCTCTGTTGAGGGCTGTCCAGGAATAAGAATGCCAAACTCAAATGACGTTAGGACACAAGGCACACCCACAAATGGGAAAAGCTGCTGTGTGTAAGATAATAGGGTATGTCAGGGCCTGTTGGGAACTGGAGGTTACAAACCCCTCCTAAAGGCTTTCAAAATCAATATTTAGGAGAAAAAAGTGGTGACTAAGAAATGTCTGTGTACAGGATTCAAGACCCCTATTGGACTTGCCTAAATGTGACTACAAAGTTAAGTATTCAAGTGAATGGCTGGCCCAAGGCCAGTATCCTGGTATTTTAGACAGAACCTCTTCTGAAAGCCATTTTTGCCTGGAATCACCATGGATAATCTAAAGAAAATTAAAATGTGATAAATGAGCTCCTTTCAAATAATTCTGGTGTATTAAAATATCTTTCAACAGATCACTCAGAAACTACATATACAAAATAATTTGTCATGGGTCCAACAAGTCAATTTTCAGAAGGTTTAAGTTAAAATAGTTATATTCCATTAAAAGTTGTCAGAGAACTGGGGAAGGGGCAGGGAACAGAGAAAGGAAGATTATTCCAAAGTCTTGGCAAACATGGTAAGTCTTCTCTGCAGAGTTTAATACTAAATCACTAACCCCAGACAAGCCAAAAATGCAATGACCTAGAGACAGCCATATCGAAGTAGAGAAGGGACCCGTCCTTTTCCCAGGCTCCAGAACCCCTTAAAAATAGGAGCCAGTTTATGCTATAAGCACTTGCTGTCCTGGTGCCATAGCCAGATAACCAGACAGGGGCATTCCATGAGGGCTTCAGCCTGACTTTGGAGCTCTAGAAATGTAATCCTTGATGACTTCAAAGCCCCACATTCTGGGTCCAAGTCAGTCTCCCCTAGTCAGGCCACTCTCTGCCCAGCTCGCTATACTTTATGACACTAAGGAGGAAAGAAGAGAGACTTTAGAAAAATCCTTACCTGTAGCTGCTGGTCTAATTCTGGAAAGACCAAAGGAATGGAGTCTTCAGGGGGTGTATCATCTAAAACAAGGAAATAAAATGATTCTTCACTATGGAGCTCTTTCTTGTAGGAGTCCTTGGACTCCCCCAGAGTTAGACCATCAGTATACACTGTTTCAGTCATTTCATCACTTCAGTTGGGGACAGACAGAATGTAAAGGACAATTTTGCTCATTTTCTGTACACACAGATGCGTGGAGAGCTTAGGTCGCCTGAACAAAATTTTGCAAGCAAATATCAGAATCCTCAAATGTCCAGGCTGGCAGCTCTCCAATTAAGAAGGACTGCTTGTCTTTCAATACTCTTACATTGGCCAAAACCAAAAAATATGATATGAAACAAAATGCTTTAACAAGGTGCTAATGAGGTGGCCAGAAGGACTTTAATGGGACAGGAGAACATGTTAGTGAAAAGTAGAAGCATTCGTTCTGCTCTGAATGACTCCAAGTGCCACAAGCTGTGATGGTATTGCTGTCTGCTCCTACCACAAACCACACTAACAGGCAGTTAACCAGAAACTCATTCTGGGTTACAGTGAGAAGCAGGCAGCAACCCAAATGGGGCGTTTCTTTCCAATACACCAGGCAGCACTCCTACCCTGCAGCAGAATTCACAGCTTTGTTAGGGAGCGCCAGAGCCCAGAGAGTCCCGAAAGACCTCCTAACTCATGCTTACGTTGACTGGTTGGCAATAGGCAGCTGTTGCTGGATGGCAAGATGCAGTTCTAAGAAGCATTTGAGGAAACCTGACCAAAATATGGGTCAAAATATCCAAGTCACCCCCAATCTCTTCAAGAACATAGTGCTGACCGAGCCTTGGTGCTAGAAAGCAGAACTTCCATTATCTCCAGGTACTCTCTGGCTCTAAGGTCCATTGGCCACTCATTTCCAATCCCTACCCTAGTACATACACAGTACACATATATGTACAGTAAAGGTACAGTACAGATACATATACAGTACACATACAGTATACCTACACATACATATATAATAGAGATACAGTACAGGTATATATACAGTACACATATACATACAGTACAGGTACAGTACAGATACATATACAGTACATACATATAAAATACAGACACACATACAGTATACCTACACATACATATATAATAGAGATATAGCACAGATACATATACAGTACACATATACATACAGTACAGGTATAGTACAGATACATATACAGTACATATACATATGCAATACACATACAGTACACATGCACATACACAAACATATATAATATATAATAGAGATACAGTACAGATACATACACAGTACACATACATATACAATACAGATACAGTACACATACACATACATATAATAGAGATACAGTACAGATATACAGTACAGATATATACAGTACAGATACAGTTAGGTTTATACAGTACACATATACAGTACAGATACAGTTAGATATATACAGTACACATACAGATACAGCACAGATACATACATACACAGTACACATACATATACAATACAAATACACATACAGTACACATACACATACATATACAATAGAGACAGTACAGATACATATACAGTACACACATACAGTACAGGTATAGTACAGATACATATACAGTACACATATACATACAGTACAGATACATACACAGTACACATACATATACAATACAGATACAGTACACATATACATATATAATAGAGATACAGTACAGATGCATATACAGTACACATGTATACAGTACAGATACAATAAGATATGTACAGTACACATACAGATACAATACAGATACATATGCAGTACATATACATATACTGTACACATATATATGCAGTACAGTACATATACATATACAGTACATACATACAGTACACATACACAGTGCAGATACATATACAGTGCATATATGTATACAGTACAGATACAGTGCATATACTACATATGCAGTACACTTATACATATAGTACACATACATATACAGTACATATACATATATAGTACCTATACATATATACATTTACAGTACACATATGCATATACAGTACACATACTATGCATATACAGTATGTATGCAAAATATAAGGTGAAAAAATAATTTAAAAACCAAAGCTATTTTAAATTATAATAAAGCAAGAAAAGATAACAGTTTTTATGTTTTCATAGTCATCACCAAATTTCTTGATAAAAACTTGTTGGTGTTCTTTTTGAACTAGAGGAAGTGACATGGGCCACATACAATGTGGAAACAAGTATCCTCTCCCAATGTGCTGATAGTACAGTCCAGAATAAAATGCAGTACACAAGGCATTTCTGGCATCTAAGGCATTGAAAGCATCGAAGATAATCACCAAAAAGATAATTTAAACAAGCATGGTATTCACTTTGACCAAACCCCTCAAGGGTCATATCACTTAATAGTCTCTGGTATATTTTAGTCAAGAGTAGTATAACAATACTTCCATTTAAAAGTAGTTTAAAATAATGACAATGCATCACCAAATTTGAATCTGTTTTGTATCTGCTCCTATGCTAGACAATGGGTGTCCTCAGATTCAGTGATATCACTTAACTTTAGCTCACAGAACAAGTAAAAACTGAGAAATTTCCCAAGCCCCTTGCTGCAGGTTAGAGGACAGTCTTCAGAGGAACTGAGATTCAGTCCCAAGGCCCTTTGAATGCTCTACTTAGACCAGAAGTGACAAATTCTGCCAATTACTGTGCCTTGTTAAATCCACCCCAATGTTTGCAAAGAATTGGACAAAAGGCAAAAATAATACACTTGTCACCACTGAACCTTTAGAGGTAGGCTTCATTATAAAACCTATGCTTTGTGAAACTGATTTTGTTCTTAAGTGCGTTTACATTCACTGCAGTACAAGTTTAATAACCTAGACATCACGACCATTTTAGCTCATTGGGTCCAAGGCCAGAATGATTTGGCAAAGGTAAATGGGAACACACTGTACTTGTGCATCCCAACCCTAATAATCATAGACAAGCAGGCACTTGTTGGAAGGAGAAACCACTCTGTAAAGTATGAGAGCAGCTGAGACATTCTAGAATTCTAGAAGACAGCCAGGAATGAATCTTAAGGCTTCCTGAGACTTAATCCACCTTGCCCCCTGTGAAGTCACACTCCTTCCTGCTTAATTATTAAAAAAAAAAAAGTTATCCATTTACTTTACTACAGTAATGTAAATAGCAAACACCTGGTATCAACAGACTTAATGAGGCCCGTTGTGGAAATCGACGTCCTTATTTATAGTCACGCCATGTCACCTCACACATATGTGACCATACTGATAAACTTACAGATAAATAAAGTAGCTTCAAATTGGACTCCTTGAGTTGAAATAAAAGTCTAATTGATTAACGTAGAAATCAACATACAATAGATGTTTTAGAGAGTCAAGCAAAATAAAAAGTAAGACTTTTGTTAAAGAATGGATCAAGTTGGATTAACCCAAGCAGGAAATAGCAGCGGAAACAAGAAAACCAAAGACAGATGTATGAAGCCTACCAAGTCTGAAAGCCAGGCCTGTATTTCACTGTTTGATGCCATCTGGTTTAGCTGGCATCCCTACCAGCCAGAAGTTTCAGGGCTTGCGAAGCTGCTTACAAAGCTGCCCCAAGTTGATGTGTGGTGTGTTTACTTTTAAACAGTGGCTGCCTTCTTTGACTGGTTTTAAAAATAGGCAAATATTCTAAAAGCAGGATGATGAATCACTGGATTGGGCCAAAAGGAAAGAAGGAAAATGACTCATGCTGACTTGTAGCACAGCTGTTCCAAAAACATTTGGCTGAATCGTTGTAAAACATTTTGACAGTGATACCGGATCGGAGTTCCTGACAGCAGTTAAGTTTGTTTTGACAATTCCAGAAGCATAAAGTAGACTGTACAGTAGCTGTACAAGAGACCCTCTAGCAAATTTAGCTTTTTTGAAAAAAAAAATAGTTGCTTGATATGTTTATAATGGGACAAAATCACAGCACAAGTACATTTTTATTAAAATTTACCAATTATTTATTGTGCAAGACAGGGACTCAGACTTACGCAAATTGGCAAATCACTTTATCATATTTTTAATGCATTAAGGAAGTAATTTGAAGGCTTCTTCTTCAAAATGGCACTGTAGACTTACTAGACCAAGCAAAATGTATCCTAAGAAATTTTTTAAAGGATGAAATATAAAGGAAAGAAGAGGAAAATTTTTTATATAAACAGATGTTCACTGCCTGTTTGGCAAATACAATGTGACTAAGCCAACGTCCTTAAGCTAGAACTTTCTTACTGACAGCCCAACCATTATGATGTACCATAGTACATTTGATGATGGGCTCTTTTCAACATCTATTGAGCAGCTGTTGGGTTGGTTTCAGGATTATTTTGTTTGTAGATTCCCTTCAATTGTCTTCTCTGTGTTTCTCCATAACTTGAATAAATAGGACACATTGGGTCTGTAATCCAAATCCTCCCTGTTATTTAGCAATGATAGCTAGCAATCAGTTAACAGAGAATATTGAAGCTGGAAAGGACTAGGCAACCATCTGGTCCAGCCCCCTCAGAGTAGAGCTAAAGACAAGGACCCCAAAAAGGGAAAGAAGCCACCCAAGACTCCACGATTCGTGGCCATGTAAGACTAAGGGGTGTCCCCCAGCCCTGGGCTCTTTCCACCATACCACTCCGCTCTTCTTCACTTACTAGTCCATAGGTTCTCAGACTCGTATTTCATGAACCAGTAAAATTTTCCCTAAAATATTCTGGCTGGGCACAGTGACTCATACTTGTAATCCTAGCACTTTGGGAGGCCCAGGCAGGAGGATCACTTGAGGTCAGGAGTTCGAGACCAGCCTGGCCAACATGGTGAAAACCTGTCTCCACTAAAAATACAAAAATCAGCCTGGCTTGGTGGCACATGCCTGTTGTCCCTGCTACTCGGGAGGCTGAGACAGAAGAATCGCTTGAACCCAGGAGGCTGCAGTGAGAACTGGAGGTTGCAGTGAGCCAAGATCAAGCCCCTGCTTGCACTCCAGCCTGGGCAACAGAGCTAGACTCCGTCTCAAAAAAAAAAAAAAATTCCCTAAAACATGGGGAATTATGTCTTAAGAGCATCCAACTTTTTATTTAGCTAGTGAAGATGATTCAAAAATGACCACCGGATATCATTAGTATCCCTTTAGGACAGAGAGAACATTTCAACACCAAAATCATAAGGCAATCATAGAGTAAAGGAGTGGCCATTATATTACATACATTTAGCTTTACAGATAAAAATAAGCATATACCCAAAACACCTCACTGTCGTACCCTTCTTTCTTTCTTTATATCAGAGGGGTGAAAACTTCATCAAAGCCAGACCAGGTTTTGAGAACCACTGTTCTAAACAGCATCTTCACTGGGTTTTACAATCAATCATCTCCCCCTCCCACTGTGCTCCCCATCGTAGACATAACTGGGATGTAAGTTGAGACGCCCTAAATCCTTGTTAAAAAGTGTTTAGGTTGGGCCACGCGGGGTAGCTCACACCTGTAATACCAGCACTTTGGGAGGCCGAGGTGGGCGGATCACCTGAGGTCGGGAGTTCGAGACCAGACTGACCAATATGGAGAAACCCAGTCTCTACCAAAAATACAAAAATTAGCCAGGCGTGGTGGCACATGCCTGTAATCCCAGCTACTCAGGAGGCTGAGGCAGGAGAATTGCTTGAACCCAGAAGGCGGAGGTTGCAGTGAGCCGAGATTGCGCAACTGTACTCCAGCCTGGGCAACAAGAGTGAAACTCCGCCTCAAAAAAAAAAGAAAAAAAAAGTGTTTAGGTTTCCACACAGAGAAGACCTCAGGAGAGGGAAAGCCATGCCCAGAGGACATTCCCAAGCCCACTCCACTCCCCAAGCAGAACACAAGAGGCAGCCTTGCCCAGGATCCACTGAATTTGTTGACATTTCCTGCAGTTACAGCTGGCTTCATGGGCATTGGACCTATGTGATCACACAGAGCCCGCCCTCCAGACGGGCCCCACGCTTAATTTAATGCTATAGTGTCTTGAATTTCTTAAAAATTTTTGAATGAGGAACCCTGCATTTTCATTTTGCACCATGTCCTGCAAATTATGAAGTTGATTCTACCTGCAGTATGACCTCTGAGTGCTGGTGTCCTGTAAATTGTCCTGCAGGTCACCAGGGACAAACTGACACTTACAAGGCAAGTGAATCTGAGTAGTGGCTTAAGTGTTGAGGCTCATACAGAAACTTTCCTAGGAACTGTTTGCCTATGAAGGCTCCTAACCACTAAGAACACAGCGGGTCAGTACAACGTTCAGTAGGACACAGACTTGCATTTGAATCTCGGGTTGGCCACTTTTTAATTGGTGAATGTGAACAACTGGCATAATCTTCTTGAGACTCAGTTTCCTCCTCTGCAAAATGGGAAGGGTATTACCTGTCTCTGAAAATTTGTATTGATAAAGCAATGTATATGTCAATCACTGGCCTAAAGCCCAGCACCTAGGAAATAACCAGTAATAACAATGAATGCTTAATATAATTAAGTTCATTTTTCATTCTTTTTCACTATAAAGCCAACCAAAGGAGTAATGTGGAGACAGGGGAGCTGTGTGTGTATATATGTGAGTAGTGGCACTTTTTCCTCTAACCCATGTCTATTCTATCAAGCTAAACTTCTGAGGTGGGGAATTATTCTTCATCATCTGAATAATACAAAGGCAAAACACAGGGTTAAGGTCAATGACTCTAATTACTGAGTTCTGCCTCTGCCACTTAAGGGAGATTTCCCTGATGCAGCCATAACCTCAGGTCTTGTGGATTTACTCTCTTCATTTAAATCTGAATTTAAGAATCTTCTGTCCAGGCGCAGTGGCTCATGCCTGTAATTCCAGCACTTTAGGAGGCTGAGGTGAGAGGATTGCTTCAGTTCAAGAGTTTGAGACAAGCCTAGGTAACATGGCAAAACCCCATACCTACAAAAAATACAAAACAATTAGCCGGGCATGGTGGCGCACACCTGACGTCCCAGCTACTTGGGAGGCTGGGGCAGGAGGATCACTTGAGAATGGGAGGTTGAGGATGCAGTGAGCAGAGATCATGCTACTGCACTCCAGTCTGAGTGGCAGAGTGAGACCTTGTCTCAAAAACAAAATTTACTTCCAAACACTTTTTATATGAAAGATAGTAAAAAAAAAAAAAATTAACTTACGCATAAAAGGTCTTTGAGTACTGTCATTTTAAATCTAAATTTAAATTAATATTTTATTTTTAGGAATAAAATATGTGATAAAAAGTAGCCAATGCACATTCCCAATATATCAAAAAAAATTAATTGCTAGATACCCAAGTCCTTGTTAGAGTATAACATAGTTTTAAGACACAACAAAAGCTTTTTAAAACTTTGCTTCCTGCTTATTAAACACTAGAGATGTGAATTATTTAATATACATTGGATTTTCAGGGCCCATAAGATTACAAGTATAGCTATAGAGATGGATGTGGATATTAACACAGATATGGATAAAGATAGAGATTTGGGATGACAAAGCAGGTTTTCAATACTTTGTAAATTAATAAACATGATGTTATCTTAACCAGTACCTAAAATTGTCAGGCTAACAAGATCATGCATCAATAGACTGGTTTTGCTATGCAAAAAAGAGACTTGATTCAGTTAAGGACAATTTCTCTCTTTTTTTTTTTTTTCTTTTTGAGATGGAGTCTCGCTGTGTCACCCAGGCTGGAGTGCAGTGACTCAATCTCGGCTCTCTGCAACCTCTGCCTCCCAGGTTCAAGCGATTCTCCTGCCTCAGCCTCCTGAGTAGCTGGGACTACAGGCACCTGCCACCACACCTGGCTAATTTTTTGTATTTTTAGTAGAGACAGGTTTCACCACGTTAGCCAGGATAGTCTCCATCTCCTGACCTCATGATCCCCCACCTCTGCCTCCCAAAGCGCTGGGATTACAGGCGTGAGCCACTGTGCCCAGCCAAGGACAAATTTTATGTTTCTTGGAAACACCTATTCACTATTATTGTAGCTATCATTTTGTGAGTGTCTATTTATCCTGTTGTTAGAATATTTTGACTGACTTAGGTTATAACATACTCACTGTCCAAAAAACACCTGCCTCAAGAAGAACTTATTGGGGCTGGGGCAGTGGCTTATGCCCATAATCTCAGCACTTTGGGAGGCTGACGTGAGTGGATTGCTTGAGCCCAGGAGTCCAAGCCCAGCCTGAGCAACATAGTGAGATGCCATCTCTACAAAAAATAAACAAGAAACCGAGTATCATGGTACATGCCTGTAGTCCTAGCTACTTGGGAGGCTGAGGTGGGAGGATAGTTTGAGCCCAGGAGGTTGAGGCTCTAGTGAGCCAAGATTGCACCACTGCACTCCAGCCTGGGTGACACAGTGAGATCCTGTCTAAATAAAGAAATAAATGAGCAAACAAGAGCCTATTGGAAGTATATTTATCCTTCAGCACACCACCAAATAAAATTTACCCCTTCTTTTCTTCTTTCCTACCACAACATACCAGAAGTAACCTTCCTCCATCAACCCCATGGCCTTTGGGAAGCTATTTGTTGTCGGGAAGCTATTTGTTGTCAAGAAGCTTTGAGCTTTCTCTTATAACATGAACTCTGCCTCTAAATGGGCAATGAAGTAACAGTCCTGAGGACCGGGCTTTGAACCCTCCTTCTATGTATTAGTTGCATGATTTGAAGCAAGTCACTTCGCCTCACTTAGCAAACATTTATTTCCACTTTTGTGAAAATGAATGGAATAGCACCTTCCTGTGGGGTTGCAGCCAATATTAAATTGATGAGAAGATGCCAGTAAAAGCACTACTCCTTAGTACTCAATGAACACTCACCTTCTTTCTGGCCTTTCTTCACAACTTTAAGTAATACATTCCAACCAATAAATCCCATAGTATCTCAGACTCTTCATCTGACACCAGGATAATGAACCCCAAGTTGTTACAGATAGTGTATTACTGATTTTATAAGTATTTGATAATTCAGTTTCTACTATAGTTCTCAACTCTGTGCTCCATCAGAAATGTAAATACAGGAGACACCCACCTTCCACCATGCCCTTAAGGCACTTGTGACTGAATGTTGTCACTGCATGCTGAGGCGGCTTTAAATGTAAGCTCATGTTGGGACAGAAGGTGATTCGAGAGAGTTCATAATGACTATCTGAGCCTCAGTTTCCTGCAAATACCTGGTTCCTGGTTTCTAAAATCCCAGTGGGAACTTTATCCCTTGACTTCCTACAGAGTTCCCTGTGAATATGCCAAAAAAAAAAAAAAAAAAAAAAAAAGCCAGAGATGGGGCCTGGGCGTCGTGGCTCACTCCTGTAATCCCAGCACTTTGGGAGGCCAAGGCGGGCGGTCACCTGAGATCAGGAGTTTGAGAACAGACTGGTCAACATGGGGAAACCCCATCTCTACTAAAAATACAAAAATTAGCTGGGCTTGGTGGCGCATGCCTATAATCCCAGCTACTCAGGACACTGAGGCAGGAGAATGGCTTGAACCCTGGAGGTGAAGGTTGCAGTGAGCCGAGATCACACCACTGCACTCCAGCCTGGGTGACAGAGTGAGACTCCGTCTCAAAAAAAAAAGAAGAGAGGGGAAAATGGTAAACTCAATATTCATTTATAGCTTAGTGCAGATGAGGTTTTGCAGTTATTCCAGAGAACAATGATTAAAAGTGTGGAGAGAAGAGATTACTAGATCCGAAGATTACTTCGGATCCTGAGGAGGACAAGGGGAATAATACTGAAGGTAGAAAAGGTTGAAGGAAGAGGACAGTGACAAAAGACACTTTGTGGCTGGTCCGAGTACAATGGTGTTTACAACTACTTAATCACAACCAGCTACAGATTTCTTTGTTCCTTCTCTTCTCCCAGTGCTTCACTTGACTAGCCTTAAAAAATAATGATAAATAAGAAGACACTTCACCTGCACCACAATTTTGCTGAGAGCCAGTTTTAGAAGTACACACAAAAAGATCTCACATAACACCCAACTTGTTGCATTGGATTCAAAGGTAGCTATTGCAACTACTCCATGTAATTCTCCCTACCACACAAAACATCCTGATATTTGAGGAGAAAACTGTATTATTTAAAAGTGACACCAATGGTATGGGTTCCGGAGTACCAAAAAAAACACAAAAACTAAGTGTCATACGATTAATTCATATCCAGATATAAAAAATTTCTAACAGCTTGAAAGAATTTCTTTTTTGAGATAGGGTTTTGCTCTGTCACCCAGGCTGGAGTGCAGTGGTGTAATCATGGCTCACTGCAGCCTTGATCCTCTGGACTCAAGCAAGTGCCCCAGGAATTGGGACTGCAGACATGCACCACCACACCTGGCTTATTTTTTGATTTTTTTTATAGAGATAGGTCTCATTATGTTGCCCAGGCTGGTCTTGCCTGGCCTCAAGTGATCCTCCTGGCTCAGCTTCCCAGAGTGCTGGGATTATAGGTATGAGCCACCGTGCCTGGCCAGAAAGAATTTTTAAAAACAAAATATTAAAAGCTACCAGCTTGAGCTGATACTAGTATTCTTGACTCTTTCTAAGCGAAACAAAAAACTATTCTAAAAAATGCAAAAGACAGAAAGAATTCCAAAGCCAAGGTCTAAATTTACAAGGAGCATGCCAGTTTTTAGCTTAGCTGAAGATGAAGAAAAGTCTCATATAATTGACATGAAATCCTAATGTCTGTCCAACTCTAAATTCCCTCTAGCTGGAGAAGGGCCAGTGATTCTTGAATAACCCAAGAGGTGGGATTCATATTTTTCTTCTGCACTTTTTCTATTAAGAAAATTAACTCCATGAAGTTTCCAGTTTAGGAAGTTTCGACTCTTTGAAATTTCCAGTTTAGAAATAATACTGATTATCATTAATATCATTAGCTCATTAAAGACAGGCATCACTGCCTCTGGGAATTACCATTAGCTAAGTTTACTTTAAAAAGCACTCTGATGATAGGCTGAAAATGGAGATTGCATTGTCAAGGAATATATATATATTTGTGTTCTCCAAAACCTTGTTTCCTTTATTTAAGGACCTCTGGAGGTCCATGTTCTATTCAAAGTCTTACAGCTCATTCTGCTATCACTGAAAAATGACCAACTCCTCATCTACCAGGGCCAGTCTGTCACCAAGTCCTTTCAACCCTTCTTTCAAAATGGACCCTGAATTAAGTCATCCCATTACATTATCTAATGCAGGCTCTCATCACTTTGTACCATTATAAAATGCCTCTTCCATTCTCTCATCTCTCCACATTCCAGACTATTCCGCCAAATTTTTACCACTTTCATCATATTATTCCCTTTTCTAAGGACTTTTGACACTTCATCGCTTTTGATCAAGTCCAGACCCCTTGCTGAACTTTGAAGATTGACTTGGTAACCCTAGTCTATTGCTATCTAAACAGTACCCTATGTAAGTATCCAAAACAATGGCTGACTCAAGCAGGGCTCGGTAGACAACACGTTACTCTTCCACAGCTCAGTGGACTAGTCTTAGTCTTGCTCCAAATGACTAGTTTTAGTCTTTTCTGAACACACCATGTTCTTCCTGACTCTTAAGTTTTGCTCCTGCTTTCTGTTTAGAGGGAAAAGAAAGAAAACTGGTTACAAGATATGTAGCCCCTTTTTTGTATCTAGTACCCAGGAATGGCATCTGTCCTGTACTGCTCCTCTATACTCTACCTGCCCTCAAGCCCAGTTTGACTATCACCTCTTCCAAGAAGCAATTACTAACTGCTCTGGGTGACACAGACTTTTCTCCAAACATCTTGCCTTACAAAGCCCATAGGAGGTCATGCTGTTCTCTTTTGCACATCCCACCCACCTTTGGCAGACTGCTGGAAACACCGAAACCAAATAAATTCAGCTAATTGCCCAGAGGTAAAATAGGATATGAACAATCTATTAACTGCATAACTAGTCCCTAAATAACTGCAGGTCAGTAATGCTATAAAATCTACCTTGACATCAAGGTGAGATGTAGGTGAGACACAACTGCTTAGTGGTTTACATTTCCCTTATACTCCACAATCAATTATCATAATTTCAGGGGTAAGTTGAATGCTTAATTTGTATCAAGCACTCTGCTAAATACTTTACCTATAAGATGTCATTGGCTTCTTATTACAACCCTGTGAATTACTACTATACGCATCTTACAGGAAACTGAATTTCAGCAAGGTGGAATGATCATACAAATAGTGTTGGAGGTAGGTCTAGAAATCATGCCTCTCTGGCTGTAAAGCCATATCCTTAACCTCTACACTAAATCATCTCAGGAATATATAGTCCTGAAATGACTGGATGAAATGAGCACTAGGCTAGGCTTATCAGAAATGAACATGTCGGGCCAGGTGTGGTGGCTCACGCCTGTAATCCCAGCACTTTGGGAGGCTGAGGCGGGCCGATTGCTTGAGGTCAGGAGTTCGAGACCAGCCTGGCCAACAAGGTGAAACCCCGTCTCTACTAAAAATACAAAAATTAGCCAGGCCTGGTGGCGGGTGCCTGCAGTCCCAGCTACTCAGGAGGCTCAGGCAGAAGAATCACCTCAGGGAGGCGGAGGTCGCGGTGAGCCAATATTGCACCACTGCACGCCAGCCTGGGTGACAGAGAGAGACTCTGTCTCAAAAAAAAAATAAAATAAAAAAGAAAAGAAAAAAATGAACATGTCAACATTCACAAGCAAAGATGTTTCCTTTTCTCATGGACTCTGCTTATTCATCAACAATAAATCCAACAATGTAGAATTACTCCCAAAAAGTCCACATTAGTGCCCTCATTTACTATGAAAGTCTAGGGGGTTTTCCTTTGTTTCCCCCTAAATGTGTGGTCTGCAGGCCACATGCACTGGAATTCAAAAGGCATGCACAGCTCGCTTGATGGCAAGTGTTTTCCTGTGTGACACTCCACATGTTCCTTATTCAAGAATTTAAAGGGAGTGTCCCAAATATCTGCAAAGCATCTTTTTGTGCACTCAGCCTCATGTATATGCAAAAATAGAGAGTCCTGGGCCCTGACTATTCTTTGAAATCTTGCATTTGTGATATGCATAAAACATAGGAGGAGGTTTTCTTTTTCTTCTTACAACAATAATGGGTCTCCTGAATCAGAATATATAGGAGTGGGGCCTTAGAACACGTGTTTTCAATGAGTGTTCTCAGGTGATGATTTTAATCAGGCAAGGTTGAGAAACACTGAACCTCAGCTCCTGCCCTAGGTTCTCCAGGTAGGTGCCCTTTCTAGAGATATGAGGACACACTGACCATAAGATTAAAATACTTAATTTGGGGAGTTTTTTCATAAGCATCTTTTGGTGGGGCTAGAGGGTAGGAATAATTTAAAATAAATTATAATCCTTTTTTGAGGCTACCTATTAAAAACCATGGATTTTGAAAGTGGGCATTCTGGAGTCATTTGAAAGAGAAGAGAAAGACACTGGAACAAACCAGTCTAAACTGATGGATGAAAAACATCTGTGAGCTCCTAGTCAAGGGCCAAGAGAGTTCAAAGAATGGTGACAAATTAATTGCAAGTTGTACATCCTGTATTTCAAGAAAGAGGTTATTCAGGCAAACCAAAGATGGAGATTCACCTCTCCATGGCTCTTTTCTGTACATAAATTAAGTTCCTGTTAAAATGTTGACAGGGGAACAGTACATTTATTTGGTCCAAAATTAATACTGCCTGAGATAAATAAGCTTTATATACTGAAATTTTCTTTGTGAGGCTGTTGATTGTAACAGGACTTGTTCTGCTCACATGCAGCATGAGTAAAAAAGAAAGGAAATTATACATTTTCCTTCCCTCTGGATTTTGGGTTTGCACGCGTGTGTCTTGAGAGCTAGCCACTCAAGATGCCATGAAAAGCACTGACTATTCCTTGAAATCTTGCATTTATGAAATGTATAAAAACAGAAAGGGCTTTCATTTTTCCTTTTAGAGAAGCAGCATCGAAAATAGAGAAAGTTCAGACTTCAAGCCTAGGGCCCTGAGTTCAGAACATAACTCCATTACCTACAAACAGTGTGGTCTCTGGGTGGCAATCTCTGTGTCTGTACATAAGGAATACTAATGCTTATGTTGCATGGTTTGTTTTTTGTTTTTTTTGTTTTTTTTTTGAGATGGAGTCCTGCTCTGTTGCCCAGGCTGGAGTGCAGTGGCACGATCTCGGCTCACTGCAAGCTCCACCTCCCAGGTTCACACCATTCTCCTGCCTCAGCCTCCCGAGTAGCTGGGACTACAGGCGCCCGCCACCAGGCCCAGCTAATTTTTTTTGTATTTTTAGTAGAGACAGGGTTTCACCGTATTAGCCAGAATGGTCTCAATCTCCTGACCTCGTGATCCACCTGCCTTGGCCTCCCAAAGTGCTGGGATTACAGGCGTGAGCCACCGTGCCCGGCTGCATGGTTGTCTTAAGGATCAGAGATAATACAGGCAAATGCTTATTATGACAGAGAAGTATAGTTAATGGCAGTTGTCATTTCTATGTTGGGGTGGATTGATTTGCCTGTTGGGAGGATTTCTTCTCACCACTGTCTTTCAGGGTGACCCTGAGTGAGGACACAGTACAACGGCAGATCATGAGAAGAGGTTTGGAAAAACTGATTATGAAGAGTCAAGCCTTCACCTCTTCCTGCTACGGAATACATCCTCCACTGGAGGCTAACAGTCTAGGAAACTCCAGGTTAAATGTGTCACCTGGCATAGTAACCCCAAGCCTGCAATGGTTGTGTGACATCAGATTTCACAGAGCTCCTTACTTTGCATTATTTTGGAATGATTCTGTCCCTTTTCAATTACTACTTTTTTTAAAATAGAGATGAGGTCTGCCTGTGTTGCCCAGGGTGGTCTCAAAACTCCTGGGCTCAAGGGATCCTCCTGCCTTGGCCTCCCAAAGTACTGGGATTACAGTCGTGAGCCACCATGCTCGGCCAATCATTACTTTTTAAAGCATCATCCCTACATGGGCATTATAGCAAGAGAGAGAGAGAGAGTCCTCAAAAGACCCAAGGTTTAAATGGTAATGTTGTTTAAGCATGTGATTTTAACAGATGACATTAAACTAAGAGCAATGGCGGATGCCAGTGGAAGAGAGCCAAGCCTTCCTTTCCTCAGCACCGTGACCTCCCGCCACATGAGGTCTTTTGTTCAAAAGTGGTGCAATTCAATGTGTGTTAAGAGGTCACTGAGGGGAGCCATGACGAAGGGCTCTAAGTATGGCAGTTTCACCTCAGACCTTACTATTTAGAGAGGCTCCTCCTCACCTGTCCCATTTATCATTCCTGCTGAAGTCTGTTGATTTAGCCAGAAGTGTGGGAGCACCAGTGAGAAACCAGCATTTCTAACTTACGCTTCAGCAAATGTTGCTGTAAACGGAACAGTGATATTTTCATATTACCTAACCAACTGCCAGCTCCTAATAAAAGTTTCCTCATGCAGTTTTAACAATAACACACTTTGCTATTGTTAGAAATTGTTGTAGCTCAGTGAATTTTATTCTAAAAGAAAGCTAGAATGGGGAGGGAGGAGAAAAAAAATGAGTTTAAATGACCCGAAAACTCAAGGTGGAGGAAAGCATCACTAGAGGCATTTCTGGAAGCCGCCATCTAACAATGCATGATGAAATATCACATTCCCCATCATCAGGTCATGCAAGCATGCAACTTTAAATTTTCCACAGAGGCGTGGCATTAGAAAAGATGCTAGAAAGGTGGGGTATGAAGGAAACAATCCTTCTTCCAGAGCAGAGTATACCTGAGGCGTCATTGAGGCTAAAGGCGATGCGTACAGGCTTGTCAGCAGGTACCCTGGCTGTGCTGATCATGTGGGCACCTGAGCCTCCGCCTTCTCCTGGGTCTTCCAGCTGTGACAGCAAGAGAGAGCCATTGTCACTTTATCCAGCATCATCCCCCTAAATACTCAGAGGCCCTTGGAAATTACAGGTGAAGTTATTAAGGTTAGTAAGCATTACCTGCTTATTCTAAAGATACTCCTAGTTTTGAGCTTTTTCTATGTCAAAAGTATTCATCCGCCCCATTTAAATCTTTTTTTCTTGGCTCAAGAAAAAATTGCTTTTGCAATATACATCTAGAATGAATGAAATATGGGAAATATCTCTACCTGCCTTACTTGCTCAATATCTTTTTACACGGACCAGTTCAATCCTGCCTCTTTAAGGTCATATAAAGTATTTTACTTTCAACTGAGGAGGATAAAAAGAGATATAGTCTTAATAAGGTATCAGATGGCTTCAGATTAGACTTGCTTTTCATGTTCAAAAGCCTAAATTAAATCTGAATTATTAATCTGAGAGTGGCAAAGAATGGGTTTCATGGAATCATTTAAAGAATACCAAAAGTCGCTGGGTGTGGTGGCTCATGCCTGTAACCCCAACACTTTGGGAGGCCGAGGCAGGCAGATCCCCTGAGGTCAGAAGTTCGAGACCAGCTTGACCAACATGAGAAAACCCCATCTCTATCAAAAATTCAAAAATTAGTGGGGCATGCTAGCAGGCACCTGTAATCCCAGCTACTTGGGAAGCTGAGGCAAGAAAATCGCTTGAACCCGGGAGGCAGAGGTTGCAGTCAACCGAGATCGTACCACTGCACTCCAGCCTGGGCGACAGAGTGAGACTCTGTCTAAAATAAATAAATAAATAAAGAATACCAAAAACCACTTTAAAATATCTGTTATATGATGAATATCATATGCTTTAAATATCTGATTAACTACCTGTAAGTCTACCAAACATTTCTAAGGATGCACATCTTAACACTCTATAAAAGCAAAGACAAGACTCAAAAACATCCTATAGATATTCTACTCCAGCTATCAAATCATCATTTAATTAATTAAGGTAGAATGAATGGAAAAAAAACATCCTGCAGATAAAATGGAATGGGCAAAAACACATGAATATTTCTGGTTATAATCAGAGAACTTAGCCCAAATATATTTTAACCAAGATATTTGATAATTTGATGTCTATAGGGGACTAGGAAAAGATAGTTATAAATACATGATATCTTTCTTATTTAAAAACATATATTTAACTTTTCTATTTTTAGTCCCACCTCCCCTAAACCCTCTACTTTCCTTCTCATGTAGACAGTAAACCAAAAAACCTGAATGATATTTTAAGGGAAATAGCTCTAAAAATGGCAAAGTATAAATAATCTCTTTAGCCATCCTTAAAGAGATTCTGGGAAATGCTTTAGCAGGACATTTTCTCACAGCACGGTTTCTGACTTTTTCCCATAACTTTCCTCTATCTATCTAAAAATAGTGTCCAGAACACTGAATTTTGTTTTTAAAAGTATTTATAGAGCCAAAGCCAATGCATATATATATACATGTATATTTAGACATACATACATATGGAATCATCTTACCCAGCATATGAAAAAAGATCAGGCTTATATTAAAACCCTAGTATAGCTTTGGAGAAAAACCAGCAACTGTTTATTATCCAGTTAGAATCATAATTTGGCCCATTTATTTAGCACTACAAGTAGCAATGCACCAAAAAGCTCTCCACTGTCCATATCATGTAATTCTAAGTTAGAAAGAAATAGTGACATGAAACATTTAATTTTAAAAAAGAGTAATATAAAATATCTGTTATTTGATTCAGGATTTGTTTTATCTTAACTCTGCCACCCTTCTGTCCAGTCTTACCTGCTCAGAATCAAGCATTTTGTTAGCCACCTAGGGAATGGCATGGATTGTCTCAAATTCAACAGAAGAAACCATTAAAATTCCCTTAACATTTTAGCTAAAAAGAAAAGTTTTACTGTTATGCATTGTACAATCACCGAATCACTTTAGCATAACATCTAAGGATGGAAAGTTGCACTCCTCTTTTGGCTAAATCCCCCAACACTTTCCCGCACCAAGAAATCAAGTACAAGAGGTAGAAATTTGCCTCAAGGATTTTGTAAATAGTCCTCTGGTATGGTTTCCAGCTACAGGAAATGGAATTAATAAACACAGCTAATTAGAGTCCCTCCCCTCCGCTCAATGGAGAACATCTGTCTGCCTATGAAAGGATGGTGGCAAGACTGAGTGGACTTTGAGTTCCACACCATGTTGACCACAAATGCCCCTACACCAACTTGCCTTTTCATCACACCGTCTGGGGAAACGAACCACAGGTTCCTTCTCTTGGCTACAGGCTGTAACAGAGCTTTGGTTAAGTTGCTGCTGATCTGAGCATTTAGTTCAGTTTTCACACCTGTTGGCTTACCTCACTTAGTTGAGTGTCTGCACTTGTGTAACCCAGAGCCAGCCACTGCCTTGGCCAGTCGTTGCCTTTGTGGAGTAGAGACTCAGTGAGAGACCAGGCTGCACCTGCTGCATAGCAGCCACTGACAATCTGAGGAGCGGAGACAGCTGTCAGGGCAGCACGCTGCTACCTGCTCTGCCCCAGACCCCAGCGTCCCACGGGACCTCCCTTCCCTTCCCTTCCGCTTCCCTTCACAACCCCTCTCTCCTTTCCTTGCCTCTCTAACAGCCAGGATGTTGTCATCTTTCTAGAAAAAGCAAGAGCAAAAGAAAACCCTCCTCCTGTCAGAGGCATTGATAAACAGCAAGTTGTGGGGAGTCCAAATGTTTTAATTCATTAGTCCTGGCAAACTTAAAATACAAACAGACTTGCTTCACAAGACAGGAATGTCTTCAGCGTGACCCAATCGGTGTCTGTGTCTATTCCAGCAAACTGGCAAAGATAGCATGACTCCAGTCAGCAAAAATGTCGGCCGCTCCAATCAGCTCAGCCAGACCCAGCCAACTTGGACAGGCCACAGGCTGACTCTCAGATGATAGCAGCGAGGATCCTGGTTAAGAATGTGAGGTTTGAGGTTGAGCCCATGTTGGGCTTGATGACTCGATTCATTCTTCAAATGCAACCAACCACAAAAGGAGTCAATGGTAAATAAGAATACAGCATTAGGATTTGTCAACCTTTTTAAAAACTGTAAACCTGGATGTCATTGGTACTTAAAAAATAATTGGATTGTGATTTTTGAGGTTAAATAAGCAAAATAAATATTAGGAGAAGGCAAACACAAGCCACAGACTGAAAGAAAATATGCAAAATACATATCAGATGATGGACTGGCATCCAAAATATACAATGAACTCTTAAAATTCAACAACAGAAAAACAAACAACCCAATCAAAAAATAGGCAAAAGATCTGAAAGATATCTCACTACAGAAAATATACAGATGGCAAGTAAGCATATGAAAAGATGATCAACATCATATGTCATTAGGGAATTGCAAACTAAGACAACAATGAAATACCACTATACACCTATTGGAATAACCCAAATTCAAAATACTGACAACATCAAATGTTGGTGAGGCTGTGGAGCAACAGGAACTTTCATTCCGTGCTGGTGGGAATGAAAACATAATAGTATATCCCACTTTAGTAAACAGTTGGGCAGTTTCTTACAAAAGCAAACATACTTTTACCACATGACCCAGAAATCACACTTCTTGTTATTTCCCCAAAAGCCTGCATACAGATGTTTATAGCAGGTTTATGCATAATTGCCAAAATTTGGAAGCAACCAAGTTCTTCAATAGGTAAATAAATCCTGGTATATCCTGACAATGGAATATCATTCAGGGATAAAAAGAAAAACTATCAAGCCACAAAAAGATATGGAAGTATCTTAAGTGCATATTACTAAATGAAAGAAGCTAAATCTTGAAAGGCTACATGCTGTATAATTCCAACAACATGACATTCTAGAAAAGGTAAAACTGTGGATACTGTAAAAAGATCAGTGGTTGCCAGGGATTCAGGAAGAGAAAAAGGAAGGATGAATAGGTGGTGCATGAGGGATTTTTAGGGCAGTGAAACTATTCTATATGAGACTGTAATGGTAGATACACATCATTACACAATTGTCCAAACCCATAGAATGTACAACACAGAGTGAACCCTAATGTAAACTATGGACTAATAATGAATAATAATGTATCAATATTGGTTCATTAATTGAAGCAAAGATGTTAATTAGGGGTTAGAGGGATGAGGAAATATATGGGAATTCCATACATTTTACTCCGTTTTTTTCTGTAAATTGACAACTGTTCAAAAGGTATTAAATATACAAGTAAAAGGACTCAGCAGGCTTTCTTAATCTAATGAATGGAAGGCTAATTTGTTATGATATATACAACAATAAAGCTGTACAGACTCAGACAATTAAAACATTCACATATAAGCTTATTCTTTTCAGGAATTAATATTACTGTTTTAATATTATTTTATGGTTATAATAAAACTTACTAATGCATTATAATTTATCGAAGTGAATTTCTTATTCACGACCTCATTTTAATCTTCCAGAAGATCCTATACAATAGTCTTTGTCAGTATTGCCATCCCGATTTGACAGATGAGCAAATTGAGACGCAGACAATTCAAATAACAGGCTTGAGGATGAATGACCATAATAGAATTAAGAACCCAGATAGGATCCAGGTTTTCTAATTATTAGTTCAAGCTACTTCCACTACACCAGGATGCACTCCGTATCAAAGATTTAATTGGCCGGGCGCGGTGGCTCACGCCTGTAATCCCAGCAATTTGGGAGGCTGAGGCAGGCAGATCATGAGGTCAGGAGATCGAGACCATCCTGGCTAACATGGTGAAACCCCGTCTGTACTAAAAATACAAAAAATTAGCCGGGCGTGGTGGTGGGCGCCTGTAGCCCCAGCTACTCGGGAGGCTGAGGCAGGAGAATGGTGTGAACCCAGGAGGCGGAGCTTGCAGTGAGCCTAAATCGTGCCACTGCACTCCAGCCTGGGCGACAGAGTGAGACTCCATCTCAAAAAAAAAAAAAAATTTAATTGAAATTTTTTAGAATAAGTCTGACTCTCAGCTTTTGTTTGGAGGAGACAAAAGTATCACTTTCTTCAGTGGTCCAGTATCCAGGTTCATCTGACACTAGCCATCTTTATCATGACACCCAAGTTCCACCCCAAGAAAATCAAAGTTTTGCATCTTATGTGTGCCAATGGGAAAGCAGATACCACATCTGTGCTGTCTCTCAAATTGGCCCCCTGGGTCTGCCTTCAGAAAAGCTGGTGGTGACACTGACATTGCCAAGGCAGTCAGTGACTGGAAGTGGCTGAATTCTAGTGAAACTGACAGTTCAGAATGGACAGACCTAGGATGAAGTAGCACCTTCCTTTTCTGCACTGACCATCAGGCTCTCAAAGAACCATACAGAGATAGAAAGAGACAGTTACATATTAAACACAACGGAAATATTGCCTTCTATGATACTGTCAACAGCTCCTCACCAACACAGCATAGATCTTTATCCACAGAACTCTCTGGAATCATTAAAGTGAGCCTGGGGATTGCCCACTGTGTGAGCTGCAACACTGACAGCTACGTCCTCATGACATCAAAAATGACATCAAGAGAGGTGTGGTAGATGCCCAGTTGGTAAAGGGCTACAAAGAAAAAGATTTCATTAAAAGATAATTTGACAACAATGAGAAAGGAACAAAAAAAAATACATCTAAATTGTCTAAATGTTCTCTTTCTGAATCTGATAACATAAATTCAAGGTTTTCAGTCACAATTAACATTTACCAGCTTTTCTGTTCCCATATGAGCAATGATGTATTTCTTGGCTCTTTATCCAAACACTTTCAAGAGAGTAACAAATCTGAAATCCAAGTGAAATCCCTTCCCATAACTGAAACCCAAAATAACTACATGGTATTTTAAGAATTTAATAGAATTATATAAATTCAATCCAGAAAGGATGTGTTTCTGCATCAATATATAAACAGATTAACAGTATGTTTCTTGATGGTGGCAATAATGTATAATTTTTATTTTATTATTTTCAGCAACAAATGTGTTTTTACAGTTATTTGGAAAGTTATTTTCAATAATATTCAAGGAGCTTTTCACATACTGAGCTCTAGACTTGCTTCTGAATTATGATCAATAATACACTCCTACCATAGACTATTGTCACAATTATGCAATATCAATTTCTCAGTACAACTCAATACGTATGTAGCTTGGTATGTTCCAGGCTAGTGTTTCTCAAAAGTACCTGATTACTAGGTGCCTTTAAAAAATACCCATTCCCAGGCTTTGCCATAGTGACTCAGTAGTCTGGGTAGACCCTCATTCTGGAAATTTTAAAAAAGAAATTTTAATGGCTATTCATAGCATTTAGAGAATAGTTGAGAAGACATTTTCCCCAACATTTTAAAGTCAGCTCTGTATTGCTATGTGACATATACGGCCGGTAGTCTCCAACAAAGAAATATTCCATGACGGCAAAATAATCACTCTTCCATTATATCCAGAGGTCAGCACAATTTTTCTCTAAAGGGCCATATTAGAAATATTTTACACTTGTGAGCCAGGCACGGTGGCTCACATCTGTAATTCCAGCATTTTGGGAGGCCGAGGCAGGCGGATCACCTAAGGTCAGGAATTTGAGACCAGCCTGGCCAACATGGTAAGACCCCGTCTCTACTAAAAATACAAAAATTAGCCAGGCGTGGTGGCGAGTGCCTGTAATCCCAGCTACTCAGGAGGCTGAGGCAGGAGAATCACTTGAACTCGGGAGGTGAAGGTTGCAGTGAGCCAAGACCACACCATTGTACTCCAGCCTGGGCAACAAGAGCAAAACTTCATCTCAAAAAACAAACAAACAAACAAAAAAACAGAAAGAAAGAAATATTTTACACTTATGAGCTCTTAAGGATCTCTGTCACAACTACTCATCTCTGCCTCTGTAGCATAAAGGCAGCCATAGACAACATGTATAGGAATGGATGGGCTCTGACTTTATTGACAAAAACAGGAAACAAATGCACATGGCTGTGTTCCAAAAACACTTTATTTACAAAGAGAGAGCAGCCTGGATTTGGCCTGCAGACTATAATTTGCCAGCCTCTCCAGATCGAACATCCAGTGGACGGCCTTATCCTGACTGAACATCCAGTGGACAGCCAAGGCACAGCTCCCCCCACAGTGCCGTATGGCACATGCAGAGTCCTCTGGGAGAAGTAACTCTTCTTTTGCTGCCACTTTCTTCAATTCATTCTTCCCAACTCCATCCCCATAAAAAAATTTTGTCAGATTTCTCAGTTAGTAAAGCAAAAGTCCCAAAGTTATGTATTAACCCTGCTTTTCTATGAAGCACTGATACATCTGTTTGAAGAAAACACCAGTGAATAAACACCTCTTCCAATTGGTTCATGAGACTGCATGTGCAGGCCATGGTAAGAAAGTGCCACGGGACCTGTTCCATACTGTGAGCTGGTCTTGTGCCATTGCTCTTTGGAGGAGCCTCTTCCTCCGCTCCTGACCCCAGTGAAATGTCAGGTAAGGTTTCCCAGGTTTCCCAGGAAGCCTTCTTGCAGTGCTAACTTGCAGTAATGTTGTTACTCCTTCTCAAACCTTCTCGTAGGGCAATGCAATGAAAAACCACAAAGCAAGGATCAAGGCTCAACGACAAAAACAAGACACCACCTCCCCCAGGAACTTCTTTTTATTTTAATTGACAAAGAAAAATTGTATGTTTCTAGAGTAAGGATTTCTGATCACATACTGTCACAGCCTTTGATTTTAAGGGTAACTGGGAGCCACTTTTCCTAATCAAAGTTCACTTCAGGCTTAAGATAGCAGAATGATCAACCCTATATCATTCGTGCCCCCAAAGCTCAAGAGAGGAATGACAGGGGTTAGAACCACTGAACCACTCAATGGTTTCTCTTTCACTAGCTTTGTGGTTCCCTTAATGAAGGAGACAGAGCAATGTGCAACATTTAAGTCAGGCCACCTGGGTCTCCAACCCAGCTCTGTCTCTTACTCATGTAGGACTTTGGTTAAATTACTTAATAAATTATATGCCACAAATTCCCCAAGTATAAAATGGGGGATAATCATAGTACCTGTCCTACAGGTTGTTATGACAATTAAAAGAGCAATACAAGTACGTGCAACAATGCCAGAAATAAAACAGGCACTATGTAAATAGAAATCATTTTTTCAAGGGGGCAAAAACATAGGAAAAAACCACATCCAAAGGGTACCTAGATTCAGAAGACCTGGGTTTGCATTGTGATGCTGCATTCAAAAGCTGTGGAAGTTTAGACCAGAGACTTCATACCTCCAGGACTCAGTTTTTTCATCTAGGTTGACAAACTTTTTTTGTAGAGGGCCAGGAGATAAATATTTTAGGTTTTTCAGGCCATACACTTTCTGTTACAATTACTCATCTCTGCTGTTCTAAGTTGAAAGTAGTCATAGACAATATGCAAATGGATGGATGACTCCAGTAAAACTTTATTTACAAAAACAGTAAGTAAATGTGTATAGCTGTATTCCAGTAAAAGTACAGACACTGATATTAGAATTTCATATAATTTCCAAATGTCACCAAAGATTATTCTCCTTTTGATATTTGTCAAATATTTTAAAATATTAAAACCATTCTTAGCTCCTGGGTCATACCAAAACAGGCTGTGGGACAGACTTTACCTGATCCTCAGAGTTTTTGGACCCTTGATTTGTATAGCCAACAAGCAAGCATGGACTAACTCAGGGTTTCCCCAGATGGGAATAACGTGATGTGTGTGTAGCCACTGTTTTGCCTTTTTAACTTGATTTAGCTATCTATTTATCTAAATGGATTAATCTTTTATCTAAATATTTTATTTATGAAAACTTAAATGGTTTTATACAATTTGAGTTTACCATTTAAAGTTAATTAAATGTGACACATGTGTTCTTTTTTTTTTTTTTTTTTTTTTTTGAGACGGAGTCTCACTCTGTTGCCCGGGCTAGAGCACAGTGGCGCGATATCGGCTCACCTCAACCTCCGCCTCCCAGGTTCAAACGATTCTCCTGCCTCAGCCTCCTGAGTAGCTGGGATTACAGGTGCCTGCCACCACGCCCAGCTAATTTTTGTATTTTTTAGTAGAGATGGGGTTTCACCACCTTCGCCAGGCTGGTCTTGAACTCCTGACCTCATGATCCACCAGCCTCAGCCTCCCAAAGTGCTGGGATTACAGGCATGAGCCACCACCCTTGGCCTGTGTTCCTTTTCTATAAACACCTAGACAGCAGACTCTTGGAGAAAGAATAAATTTCCTTTAATATTTTTGACTGTATGAGAAAATAATGTTTATCTTATATTTTAGTATTTATATCTTTCCCAAGAATATAACCTAGAAGGACTAACAGCACCAAATTTTAAAGCTTGTTATTATAGTATAGATAGATTTACTTTACCTTCTTAATGTTATCCTAAGGAAAACATAAATTTCTCATCATCTGTTAATATCCCAGTGTGTACCCCAAAAAGGAAGAGCACTCTCTTCATTAACAGAACCAAATAGCACCATCACACCAACAACCACCACCACAGTAATTCCCCAACATTACCCATCATCAGACAGCATTCAAACCTCCAATTTTATCACAAACATTTTCAATTGTTTTCTCCATTAATTTTTAAATTTTTAATCAAGATCCAAAGTCCGGACACATGATGGACTGCTAAGTTTTTATATTTATAAATCTACAATTACTCTTCCTCCCTCTTTTTTTGCAAATTTATTTGTTAAAGAAACTATAGAGTTCCCAAAGTTACACCTCCATAATGTTTTTTAATATGCTTCTCTGTTCTCTCTGTCCACTGTAAATTAGCCATTGGATCTAGAAACTCGGTCAGATTCAGATGTGACTTTCTTTTTTTGCAGGACTACTTCATAGACAGCGAATAACATTTATTTAAAAGATCAGCCGGGTACAGTGGCTCATGCCTGTAATCCCAGGACTTTGGGAGGCCAAGGCAGGTGGATCACCTGAGGTCAGGAATTTGAGATCAGCCTGACCAACATGGTGAAACCTCATGTCTATTAAAAATATACAAAATTAGCCAGGCCTGGTGGTGGGCACCTGTAATCCCAGCTGCTTCAGAGGCTGAGGCAGGGGAATCACTTGTACCCAGGAGGCAGAGGTTGCAGTGAGCCAAGATCACGCCATTGCACTTCAGCCTGGGCAACAAGAGCAAAACTCCATTTCAAAAAAAAAAAAAAAAAAAAAAAAGATCATTTCTTCTCCAGTATTGACTTCATTTTGAAAATAGCATTACTTAAGTATAAGCATAAAACTATATATAATCTTTTTATAAAACTCTTACAAAATCAAATGTACAAAGTTCTTATCAACCAATTTTATAATTTAAATTCAAATAAAGTAACAAATTTAAAATACAATTGATACAGACAGGAGGCAGGAAAATACTGGGTAGAAGAGGGCAGTCCCCAGTGAGGACCCCACCCTCAAACCTGGACCCATGGCCCAAAGTAAGAACATGCATTCCTCATTTCCCACCCGAATGTTGCCTTTTCCAAAATCACCCTGGCCTGCCCTGACCCCCATCCTGTACCCAGAAAAACCCCAGCCGCCACTGGCAGCAGAGCGGCAGAGAAGTAGAGAAAAGCAGCAGCAGCTAGACGTTGGTGAGAAGCAGCTTAACTTAAGAGGGACGGCTTGACGGCAGGGCCTCGAAGAAGAGTTTGGCAGTGGATGGCCAAACTCCAGGGGAAGACCACGTTCCCGCTCCATCCCCTTTCCAGCTCTCCATTCCACTAAAAGCCAGTTTCATTGGCAATAAAATCGCCCACAATTTACCATCTTCAATTCGTTCGTGCAACCTGATTCTTCCTGGACACTGAATGAGAGCTCAGGATACAGAGGGCTGTCACATTGAGCTGTTAAACACTTAAGCCATCCGTGAACAGCAAAGCTAAAAAACTGCAGTGTAATACATGCCCTCAGGGCTCCAGGGGTCACGGGTACCCCCCCAGATGCTGTCACAGGGCCGCACAAAGTTCTGCTCCCGCTGACACCCAGAAGCACTCATCCTGGCCCCCGCACCCACTTACCTGCATGTTCCCCATCCCGTAAGGGATTGAGTGCTGCGGGCTCAGTAAACAAGCCACCCCTTTCACAAATCCTGCAAAGGGTCAAGGAAGATTTCCTGTTTTACAACTTAACTACATAAATTTAACATGAGGGAGCACTTTCCAGAAACCAAACAGGTGCACAAACATGAACATGGGACACATTCTGTAGTGTACACTTGGTTTGAGTTCCTCCTCCCCATGCTGATGACTGAGTACTTGCAGGACTTTCCCTCTGTGGCCTGCTTTGCAACTCAAATTTGACTAGTGCCTGTGACATCCTTGGTCTTCATGCAGCAAGAACACATTGTGAGGAAAGTGCTGAGTGCCTGGTGTTCATAAATGTTGGTCTCTCTCTTTTTTCCCCAACCACAGCTACATTTATCCATGAATACAAGCCTCTTAAAATCAGAAGGCCTACGAGATGTAGCCTAAGTACCCTTCAGACATTTCTCAAATAAGCTTCAATGTTAAGGTCATATCTTTACTGAAATTATAAAGGAAACTCATTGAAGTATTTCTAAAAATCCCAAACACTGAACTGCTTGGCTCATTAAAGATCTGGCTCACTACCTTTCTGGTTTATGTCTTTACTTGGACATCCTCCTACTGCAAGAAAGGACCAAATGCCAACCAAACCTCCCATGTGAATGAGAAAAAAGAAAAAAGAAGTTTAGCTCTGAATGAGCCTATATTCTTTCAGTTGCAGGAGTCAAGAACTAACTTAACATTAGCTTGAATACCAACAGGTAATTATTGGTTCACAAAAGTAGGAAATCCAGGGACCTTTTTGTTTAGACATTGATTTACCAAAGGCACAACTGATACCGTTAGGGAACTAACTTACTCCACTTCATGGTCAGCTTTCTTTATTTTAGCTTCATTTTCAGATGGAGTTTTCCCATGAGTTGGCCACCAGCTGCCTACATTTATGTCCTACCAGCTTTACAAACCCATGAAGGGAAGACCTTTTCCCTCAGAATTCCCAGGTAAGACAGTCATTGCCCAAACTTGAGTGCCATTTCCTTCACTGTAGATAATGGGTAGAGTACTTGAACAGATGAAGCCTGCAATACGGTTTCATGAATGAAGTTGGGTAAGAAAGGCATTATTTCTCATATATACACTATATATATATATCTGACTCTGTTGCCCAGGCTGAAGTACAGTGGCACAATCATAGCTCACTGATGCCTCAACCTCCGAGGCTCAAGTGATGCTCCCACCTCAGACTCCCAAGTAGCCGGAACTACAGGTATATGTCACCATGCCTAGCTAATTTTTGTATTTTTTGTAGAAGTGGGGTTTCACCATGTTGCCCAGGCTGGTCTCGAACTCCTGGGCTAAAGCAATCCACCCACCTTGGCCTCCCAAAGTGCTGGGATTATAGGCATGAGCCACCATGCCCAGCCTATTCCTCAAATTGATGAAAGAAAAGGAAGGAAGGAAGAAGGAAGGAAGGAAGGAAAAGAAAGAGAGAAGGAGAGAAAGGAAAGAAAGAAACAGAAAGAAAGAAAGAAAGAAAAAGAAAGAAAGAAAAGAGACTCAAACATTCTATGTTAATACCTTCATGAGTAGAATATGTCGAAATCCCATGAAATATTCTGGTTTTAAGGTGATGAGAAATGAATTATGTGGGGCAAATACTATGTCCCAGACACTCAGCTAGGCCCTTTTCATACCCATGATGTAATTTAATGCACAAAACGCCCCTTTAAGACAGCTACTGTAAATTCCTGCTTTATAGAGGAACTAACTGAGACTTACAAAGTTTCAATGATTTGCCCAAAGTTCCAGAGCTCATAAAGTGTAAGAGCTAATTTGTTTGCCAAAATTAAATCTCTTCATTGACACACCAAAATCCTGTTTATGGTATATGGCTCAAATTGCCTTTGTAGGAGATACCTTTTCATTGGTGCCAAAGATACAAATATACAAAGATACAAATACACAAATATACAAAGACACAAAGATACCAATAGATTGCAGGACTCTGTCTCAAAAAAAAAAAGAAAATTCCCCAAACTGGAAACAAAAGATCAAGCTTCCAAGGAGGAAAAAAATAAGATCTCATAAAAACAATCAATAACCAGAACTGTTTTCATATTTCTCCGTAACAATGCTGGAAACCAGTAGGAAATGGAACTAATGTTCAATATTCTAAAGGAAAAATTATTTCCAACCTAAAGTTCCATATCTGACCAAACTATCAATCAAGTTTTAAGATTAAAGGCCAGGCATGGTGGCTCATGCCTGTAATCCCAGCACTCTGGGAGGCCGAGGTGGATGGATTACCTAAGGTCAGAAGTTCAAGACCAGCCTGGCCAACATGGTGAAACCCCATCTCTATTAAAAATACAAACAAATTAGCCAGGGATGGTGGCAGGTGCCTGTGATCCCAGCTACTTAAAAGGCTGAGGCAGGAGAATCCCTTGAACCCGGGAGGTGGAGGTTGCAGTGAGCCGAGATCATGTCACTGTACTCCAGCCTGGGCAACAAGAGTGAAACTCCATCTCAAAAAAAAAAAAAAAAAGTTTTAGGATTAAGGTCTTCAACAAAATTCTTATATCCCATGCACGTTTTTCAAAAAGCTGCTGGTGTAAACCAGGAAAGAGAAAGCCTGGAACACAGGAAACACAAAGGCGCAACAGCACACAGGGTAAAATGGCCCTTCAGGACGACAATAAAAGGGAATCACAGAGTGACCCTGTGTGCCAGACCTCACAGAAGCAGGTCTGAAAGCCACAAGAATGGCTCCATTAGGAATAGGAAATGGTTAGACTGCTTGATTGATGCCATATTGAAAAGACATTTAGGCAATTGGCAGAAGGGCAAAGACCTTTAGGGTTGAATTAGTGATGAGTACATGGAATAAAAAGG
This sequence comes from Homo sapiens, assembly GCF_000001405.40. Taxonomy (NCBI): domain Eukaryota; kingdom Metazoa; phylum Chordata; class Mammalia; order Primates; family Hominidae; genus Homo; species Homo sapiens. The sequence continues at coordinate 213,206 of NW_025791813.1, read as the reverse complement.
CAAGCAAACAAACAAACAAAAATTTAGCCTGCCCTCCAGGGACAGGGCTGAAACTCTACTGTAAAGTAAAAATAACCATCGTTGACTATTTGCCTCAGCTGTGAATACATTTACACGAGCCTAATATTGTCAGTACTGAATGTTGATCTAACAAAAATTACACTGTGGAAAGGAGGTGGCAGAGAAAGGGTATTTGTGTGTGGGATGGTGTGGGGATGCAGGGAGAGAGCCAAATCCTCATCCTCCATGGGGAGAAGCCAATAGATAATGGCCGAGACTGGTAAAAGCAAGAAATAGTCATGCAAACACATCTCATAAAAGTGGGAAGTAAAGACCAGCACCATCATCTAGACAGTGTTTACCTCTGGAATGGGGAATATGGGAAGTAGGAGGGCTGAGCCCTCTTGGGATTTTTGTAATAAATCTTGCAGAACTATTTGACTCCTTAACATATGCGCATGCACAACTTAAAGAAAAATTAAAATGTTTAAAGATCCATTTGTTGGCTCACTCTTGCCTAAAGAATCACGTCTTTAGTTTGGCATCCAAAGCCCTTCATAATTTGTCCTCCTTTCCTCCATACTCATCTCATGCTCCCACCTTCCCTACAGTGGGGTCACACCGAACTTCTCTCAGTGTTTTCAGATACTATGGCCTCATTGCCAACTTTGTGCCTTCACAGATCAAGGCCCTCACTCCTGTCACCTTGTCTGTGTAGTCATTTCAACCCCTGTCCTCCCAAAACCCTTTGTTCATTCTCCTGCTAATGCACTGAGTACCACATTGTGCTGCTTCCATTTACCATCCCACTGTCACCCCCAATTCAACCAAAGACACATGATCAGTGCCTTGCCCTTAGCAGGGCCTCAGTAAATATTTCTGGAACTAAATTGAACCTGGGATGCAAGTGCCTAATAGGGAAGGTACCCATAAAAGTCAGGGACACACATGGAGAAAAGTTAAGACACTTTGGGAGGCCGAGGCAGGCAAATCACCTGAGGTCAGGAGTTCAAGACCAGCCTGCTCCACATGGTGAAACGCTGTCTCTACTGAAAATACAAAAATTAGCCAGGTGTGGTTGCACGCACCTGTAATCCCAGCTACTCAGGAGGCTGAGGCAGGAGAATTGCTTGAACCCAGGAGGCAGATGTTGCAGTGAGCCAAGATCACACCACTGCACTCCAGCCTGGGCAACAGAGTGAGACTCTGTTTCAAAAAAAAAAAGAAAAAAGAAAAGTTAAGAGATCCTGGTTTACTTTGCCAATATTTGTAGTTTTGTCTACTGCCAGACCCAGGTCCAAGATAACCTTTTTTTTGTGACAGAGTCTCGCTCTGTCACCCAGGCTGGAGTGCAGTGGCTCGATCTCAGCTCACTGCAAGCTCCGCCTCCCAGGTTCATGCCATTCTCCTGCCTCAGCCTCCTGAGTAGCTGGGACTACAGGCGCCCGCCACCGCACCCAGCTAATTCTTTTTGTATTTTTAGTAGAGACAGGGTTTCATCATGTTAGGCAGGATGGTCTCAGATCTCCTGACCTCGTGATCCGCCTGCCTCGGCCTCCCAAAGTGCTGGGATTACAGGAGTGAGCTACCGCACCCAGCCCCAAGTTAACCTTTTAACTTTAGATCTGTTTTTGTGAAGAATCAATATCCCAAACTCACAGCTATGGCCAAGTGAATTGAGGCATCCTTGCCCCCAAAAGGCATGTAAGAAGAACATGCGTGCTCATAGTTTACCACAGGCTGTTGTTTTGCTGGTGGGAGGTGGGGGAACATATATTCTTCAGGCTGCAGCCGAGTGGCTACAGATACTAAAGGGGATTTTAAAAGCTGTGTGAGGAAAAGGGAGGGGAGAAAGGGGACAGGGAGAGAAGAGAAGAAAAACATTAATTGTCACAGACAGAGGTCCAAAAAAACAATCTAAGCTTTCCTGTGGGCCATGTGATGAAACCGTCCTCCCCGTACCACTATGAAACATCAGTAAAATCCACATTATTCCGCAATGCTTCTGGAGTTCTGTATTCTGGAGATGTAAAGAGGCAGTGAGGCTTAACTCGAAGTTGGTTGTGGGGTGACAACATAGGCTACCCAAAGGGTGCAGTCGATTTGGGGTATGACTTCATTCCTGCACAGTGTCACAAAGATGTCTCTCCAATCTGGTTGTGGTCATGCTCATCTTGAATAAGGCTTTTTTTGTTTAATAATGCATACCTTTATTTCAAACACAAAGCTCCAAAGACAAGGGGAGTTGCAGCAATCATCAAAATGAGAGGCTGCTGCTATGGAAACATTTTCCTGTTGATGGTGGCAGTATTTTCTTTCCTTTTTTTCTTTTTTTTTGAGACGGAGTCTCGCTCTATCGCCCAGACTGGAGTGCAGTGGTGTGATCTGGGCTCACTGGGAACTCCGCCTCCCGGGTTCCCGCCATTCTCCTGCCTCAGCCTCCTGAGTAGCTGGGACTACAGGCGCCCACCACCATGCCCGGCTAATTTTTTGTATTTTTAGTACAGACGGGTTTCACCGTGTTAGCCAGGATGGTCTCGATCTCCTGACCTCGTGGTCCACCTGTCTCGTCCTCCCAAAGTGCTGGGATTACAGGCATGAGCCACCGCGCCCAGCTGGCAGTATTTTCTTAATAAAGTCACCAAAGTCAAACTTTTTCATTTGATTATGTATTTAGATACATTCAATGTTTTCAGAGGTGGGGTCAAAAGTGAAATGACGTAGAGGTGGAGTGTGGGGGTGGGGAACACCTTAGCAATTTGCCTTTAAGTGGAAAAAGCCATTAACACACAGACATAAGAAAGAGAACTCTAGCTTCATGAATGGCATCAAACTGTCTTCAAATCCTTTCATCTTGGTTTTGTCTCAACTCATTTGGCTACAAGAATGTTGTTATTTAATGTCTCTGAGCCTTAATTTCCTCATATGGAAGGGAGAGATTTAAAATTAATACTCTCAGCCGGGCGAGGTGGCTCATGCCTGTAATCCCAGCACTGGGAGGCCGAGACGGGCGGATCACGAGATCAGGAGACAGAGACCATCCTGGCTAACACGGTGAAACCCCGTCTCTACTAAAAATACCAAAAAAAAAAAAAAAAAAAAAAATGCAGGCGTGGTGGCGGGCACCTGTAGTCCCAGCTACTCAGGAGGCTGAGGCAGGAGAATGGCGTGAACCCGGCAGGTGGAGTTTGCAGTGAGCCGAGATCGTGCCACTGCACTCCAGCCTGGGTGACAGAACGAGACTCTGTCTCAAAAAAATAAAATACAATAAAATAAAATTAATACTCTCTGGCTGGGCACGGTGGTTCACGCCTGCATTCCCAGCACTTCAGGAGGCAGAGGCGAGTGGATCACCTGAGGTCAGGAGTTTGAGACCAGACTGGCCAATGTGAAAGGAAAATAAATCTTGGGGCCCCTAAATCACCGGGCTAAAAGGAAAAGTCAAGCTGGAAAACTGCTTAGGGCAAACCTGCCTCCCATTCTATTCAAAGTCACCCCTCTGCTTACTCAGATAGATGCATATCTGATTGCCTCCCTTGGAAAGGCTAATCAGAAACTCAAAGGAATGCAACCCTTCATCTCTCACCTATCTGTGACCTGGAAGCCCCATCCCTACTTCCAGTCTTCCTGCCTTTGCTCCAAGTTGTCCCGCCTTTCTAGATTGAACCAATGTACTTCTTACATATATTGATTGATGTCTCATGTCTCCCTAAAATGTATAACACTAAGCTGTGCCCCAACCACCTTGGGCACATGTTGTCAGGACTTCCTGAGGCCGTGTCACAGGTGTATCCTCAATCTTGACAAAATAAACTTTCTTTTTTTTTTTTTTTTTTTTTTTTTTTTAGACAGTGTCTGGCTCTGTCACCAGGCTAGAGTGCAGTGGTGTAATCTCGGCTCACTGCAACCTCTACCTCCCGGGTTCAGGCGATTCCCCTGCCTCAGCCTCCAGAGCAGCCGGGACTACAGGCACCCGCCACCACGCCAGACTAGTTTTTTTGTATTCTAGTGGAGACAGGGTTTCACCATGTTGGCCAGGATGGTCTCCATCTGCTGACCTCGTGATCTGCCCGCCTTGGTCTCCCAAAGTGCTGGGATTACAGGCATGAGCCACTGCACCCGGCCCAGCAAAATAAACTTTCTAAATTAACTGAGACCTGTCTCAGATTGTGGGGGTTCATACCATATGGAGAAATTCTGTCTCTACTAAAAATACAAAAATTAGCCAGGCATGGTGGCACATGCCTGTAGTCCCAGCTACTCAGGAGGCTGAGGCAGGAGAATCACTTGAACCAGGAGGTGGAGGTTGCAGTGATCTGAGATCATGCCACTGTACTCCAGCCTGGGCAACAGTGCAAGAGTCCGTCTCAAAAAAAATTTTTTTAATTTAAAAAAATTAAATTAATACTCTCTAAAGTTTCTTACAATTCTAAATTGTAGTAGGTGGAGCCAGTCCCTGAATAAAAAAATAATTATCCACAGAATTTCTTCTCTGGTTTTAATTCTGTAAAGATTCAACTGGTTTGTAACAAACCAAAAATACATTTTACAGCAGTCGTCAAGAAAAGAACAGAATAAAGATAATCTCTTCTTCCTGTGGAAGGTAGTTACCAACACAACCCTCAATTTTACTGCCAAACCCATTTAGTCATCGGATATTTGGTACCCGAATAAAATCCATTCAGTCCCTGATCACACTGTGAAACCTGAGGACATTCAAAAAAGTGACAAGAAAGAGATCATGTTTTGTTCATAAAAACATTTTTCAAATTAAGCCATCACATCCTAAAATAGTAGATTAGAATCACCCAGCAGGACTTCTTCCTGAAAGCATGCAAATGCACAATCCTTGTTTAGAAGTGAGTGTCAATTACTTGTGCAGACACAAAAATGACTAATCACTGGGGCCTAATAAGGCACCTGTCAATTTTCCTTTTTTTAGCTTAGCTACTTTCAATTCACAGGAGTTGTCCAATACAAACAGCATTTTGCTGACAGTTTTGTGTGTGCTTCAGCAGTGATAGCATTCAAACTAAAATGGAGCATCAGATATTTCTATCCACTTCTTAAAAATACATTTTAAGAATTACAGTATTAACCACAAATGAATGGCTGCCCAGCCTCACAAATGAGATACAGAAATAGCATTGTTAAGTCCATCAGAGAAGGAATAGCTTTCCATCACCGCTCCAGCTAAATGGGAATGAAGATTTCCTAGAAGAGTCCACAAATAGAAAATGACATTTTCCTGGAACAGAAAAATTCTAGTGAAGGACAGGAGATTATCTTCTTTTGAGATTTAAGGATCTTATAATGTATATTAATTATATTAAATTAAATTAAATTATGTCAAATAGAAGAAATATATTGATAGTTAAGACAGATTTCACAGATGCTTTTGTGTTTGAAATAAGAGTATGCATTATTAAACCACAAAAAGCCTTACTCAAGGTGAGCATGACAATAATTAGAATCAAAGTGATATTTCACCAGTTGCCAAATTAATCTAAACAATTCAAATTAGACAAGTGTGTTCTGCAGGGCCCTTTATGGCCTAAGTACCATGGCAATGGAAGTTATTTATATATCAGGAAATCATTCCTGAACATGAAAAAGTATATTGCTTTAAAAAGCTTTTTGGACTAACTATAGCTGATTCACACCCTGAATGATAAAATTATTTATATATTCAAATTTTTAAAGAACTCTTTGAAGAGCCTAATTAGCATGCTTTTAGTATTCTTTTTCCAAATTTAGATTCTGAAATTCAGAATGAACAAGAATGACATTCCCTGTTTATCAAGAAAAACTAAATGAAGATGAATCAGAATACAGACAGAAGTTTGTACTCTCTTTGGGTTTCTTAAAGGAAGACTTTAGGAAAATTTTATCTGTCATTGACCTGAGATATTTTTAATAATTTTCTTTAAGGACACATTAGGAACAAAAAAAATAGTCATTTCAACGAGATCTTTCCATTTGTGGCTACATGGGCAGTAGGAAAGAATTGAGGCCCATGTGATTCTGTTACTAATGTTAGAGCTAGAAGGCTTCTTTCAGATCATCTAAATCATCCTCTGATTTTACTCGAGAAAACTCATCCATCATTTATATTTACATTTATATTTTTTAAATATTTGTACTTATAAGTTTTCTTCACGTGTTGCTACCAAGATCCCAGATGTCATTTACTTGACTCTTCTAAATTCATGTGACTTAACAAGGTAAGAATCTCATGGCTTGTTCAGTGACAGAGTTAGTATAGCTGAAGATTTATTGTAGCCTGCTATAGCACTGGAAATAGAAATAACGAATAAAAACAAAACTCATGAACTACCCGTCGCCACTGTTTACTGTTGCACATGGGATATAGAAAAGCATTCAAAAATGCTGATTCAATGAAAGAGCTTCACGGAAGAAACCACTAGAGTATACATAAGTAAACTATGCAGAAAGCCACGGAACAGATCGAATCCAAGGCTCGCTTTACCACCAATTCACTGCGTTACTCTGAGCTAGTAACAATTTCTCTGGTTCCCAGATTACTCCTCTGTCATTTTTTAGATTCAATTAATGTTTACATAGACTGCATATGTGTCAGGTAGTACATTAAGGGCTTTAAATAGAATAATTAATTTAGTTCTCACAGTGATCCTGCGAGCAGGGCCAGCTTCCTGGCAAGTGTCACAGGGCCCATGCTCAGAGGGGTCCCACACTTGGTTTGATGCTATGCTGCTGCCGTCTTGAAAGGTGAACAAGGGGCCCAGCATTTTCATTTCATTGAGATTTGAACAAGAGTCTGGAAGCTATGGAACCAGTCCTACCTATGAGGCAAGAACTATTATCACCCCAGTTTTACAGATGGGGAAATGGAGGTAAAGGGAGGTCAAATAACCTGCCTACGGTCAAAAAGCTAGTCATTTTTGAAGTCAAGTTTCACATCCAGGCCATGACTGTGACCACTCTGGCCCCCTGCACTCAGGGATAACTCTGGAGGCCTTTATAGCTAAGTTCCCTGATATTTCTGCAATTCCAACTAAGGCCCTCTACTAAAAAGAATGTTGATTTCACTCTTTCCTCCTTCCATCAATGCTTTTTATAGATGCAGAATTGCAGTGAATAGAGAAAAACACAAACAAGCCAAATCTGAAAAAAGAACTGCTTAGCTAAATGAAAGGTGAGATGGTTTTAAATGGTCGTAGCAGGGGCTTAGCTATTTAAATGACAAGCTAAACAGGATACCTTTTGGGCTATTTCAGACTCTGATCCTCAAATTAGAGTTTTTAGGAGTGGGATCTAGAGCCCTACATGGGGAAGACCAAGTTAGCCCGGCATGATGAGGCCACAGCAGAGGCGGGACACATCAAAGGAAGCACTCTGCACTGCCTTATATAGACGTGAAAACAGCCCAAACCCCCTGCTGTCCAATGGGCAAACATAAATAAATGGTTTGCATCAGCTGAGGATCAAATACTAAAGAAAACAGTCAAGATTTCCTCAGGGCTCTGTGTCAAAGGTCAAGTCTCCTGTAGAGAGAAGCATCTGGCCTCCTGTGGCTCCTAGATTTTCTTGTCCAAGTCTTTCCACACCCACCTTCTATCGAAAGTAACCTTGGGTGACTCACTTTGACTAGAATATTTGAGCTCAAGGGGATGGAATGTAGACATTCCCATTAATCCAGGGCCTGGTCTACACCCTACAGTCTCTGAGAGTTTATTATTATTATTATTTGCCGTCATTTAGGTTTCCATCTATACTCTGCTTTTGAATTTTAAAAATCATAGCCAGGTGCAGTGGCTCATGCCTGTAATCCCAGCACTTTGGGAAGCCAAGGCAGGTGGATCTTTTGAGCCCAGGAGTTTGAGACCAGCCTGGGCAACATAGCAAGAACCTGTCTCTACAAAAAATACAAAGCTTAGCCAGGTGTAGTGGCTCACACCTGTAGACTCAGCTACTTGAGAGGCTGAGGTGGGAGGATCAATTGAGCTCGAGAGGTCGAGGTTGCAGTGAGCCGTGATTGCACCACTGTCCTCCAGCCTGGGTGGCAGAGCAAGGCCCTGTCTCAAAAATAAATAAAAAATAAATAAATATAAAAACAAAATAAGGCCTGGCATGGTGGCACACACCCGTAATCCCAGCACTTTGGGATGCCGAGGTGGGCAGATCAATTTTGACCAAGAGTTCGAGACCAGCCTGGTCAACATGGCGAAACCCTGCCTCTACTAAAAATACAAAATTTAGCTAGGCATGGTGGCGCATGCCTGTAGTCCCAGCTACTTGGGAGGCTGAGACATGAGAATCTCTGGAACCCAGGAGGCAGAGATTGCAAAGAGCCGAGATTGCGCCACTGCACTCCAGCCTGGGTGACAGAGCAAGACTCTGTCTCAAAAATAAGTAAATTATTTAATTTAATTTAATTAATTAGAATAAAACTCTCCTTTTATTTAACTCCCAAATATAGATCAATGAAAAGGCACCCCAGATTTGGGCAGAAATGATACCTCTAAAAAGAACCACAGAAGCTGCTATTCTAAACCAAGCACACTCCTTCCTCATTGCCAAATGCCCTCGCCCAGTGCAGACCAGAACCATATGAGCAACACTGAACAGGCCAGCAATTGATGCTTAAGTAGGCATTATATGGCCGGGCGTGGTGGCTCATGCCTACAAGTAATCCCAGCACTTCAGGAGGCCGAGGCAGGCAGATCATCACCTGAGGTCAGGAGATTGAGACCACTCTGACCAACATGGTGAAACCCCATCTCTACTAAAAATACAAAAATTAGCTGGGCATGGTGGCACACCTGTAATCTCAGCTACAGGGGAGGCTGAGGCAGGAGAATTGCTTGAACCTGGGAGGCAGAGGTTGCAGTGAGCTGAGATTGTGCCACTGCACTCCAGCCTGGCACAAGAATTGCTTGAGCCCAGGAGGCAGAGGTTGCAATGAGCTGAGATCATGCCACTGCACTCCAGCCGCAGTGAGCACAGAGCGAGCAACCAGGTGGATTGTTCAGATTTACACATGCCAAGAGAAAGAGAGATGGGGGAAGGCCTCTGGGAGAACAGTGAAGGAAGTCCAAATTCAAGTCTGAAGTCAGTCTGGAGCTAAAAATTACAATTTCCCAACTAATATTGCATGAGTTGGAAGAAAGGAAGGCCACGTTGAGGTCCAAAATAGTGGCATAAAATATTTAATAGAATAAATATCTTAAAGCACAAAGCAAAAATATACACGATGGAAATTATGAAGAAAAAGAATTTTGAGAGAAAATGGTCACAATCCAAAAATCCTATATCCAAACCACCTGCCAGTTTAAATCATAATGAAATTCCAAGGCACAGAGGAAGAGGAAAAGAAAATAAGATATAGATAAATGGGGCCGGGCGCAGTGGCTCACGCCTGTAATCCCAGCACTTTGGGAGGCCAAGGCGGGTGAGGAGTTTGAGACTAGCCTGGCCAACATGGCAAAACCCGTCTCTACTAAAAGTAACAAAAATTAGCTGGGTGTTGTGGCACAGGCCTGTAATCTCAGCAACTCGGGAGGCTGAGACAGGAGAATCGCTTGAACCCAGGAGGCAGAGGTTGCAGTGGTGCGCACTCTAGCCTGGGAAACAGAGTGAGACTCCATCTCAAAAAAAAAGAAAAAAAAAAAATTTCCAAAGGTCTCGTTTGCTGGGAGGAAAGGCAGAAGAATGAAGAAATGTATTCTGATGGAGGGAGAAAGCATGAAGTTTAAAAGACATCTGGATTAGGGAAATAATTGGTATCTTGTTTTCAAAAATCATAAAGAAAGATCTATGTAATTATGAGAGACAGGAAGGGAACACAGAATGAAAAAATATACTAATTATCAAGGGAAAAGAAAGAAACTGAACTTGATCAAACCTACCAAAGAAAGGGAAAAAAGAAAATAACATAAAAATGTATAAAATAAATAAATATAAAGTCAGATATATGAGATAAAATCTAATACATCAATCATTAAACTACAAAGCAGAGAGTGGGTTTTTTAAAAAATCCTAGGTTAATACTAATTGCAAGGAAGACACATAAAACAAAGTAATAAAAGAAAAATTTGCTGCTGTAAGGATTGAAGAGTGCATCTAATTTCAGTCCTTCCAAAAACTATAATGAAAGATTTTTTTATGTTTTATTTTATTTTATTTTAATTTTTTGAGACAGAGTCTTGCTCTGTCGCCAGGCTGGAGTGCAATGGCGTGATCTCAGCTCACTGCAACCTCTGCCTCCTGGGTTCAAGCGATTCCCTTGCCTCAGCCTCTTGAGTAGCTGGGACTACAGGTGCACGCCACCACACCTGGCTAATTTTTTTGTATTTTAGTAGAGATGGGGTTTCACCATGTTGGCCAGGATGGTCTTGATCTCCTGACGTCAGGTGATCCTCCCGCCTAGGCCTCCCAAAGTGCTGGGATTACAGGTGTGAGCCACCGTGCCTGACCTAACAAAAGATTTTGCAATGAAAGAAGACAGAGCTTTAAGGACGTGGAGGATTGGAGAGGAGGCAATACAAAGTCTGGGTTTGGAAAGCAGACATAAGAATGAGAGCTGGCTTAGCACATCAGTGGGTTTAAGTCATCCATGGGAAAGGTGAAGAATCAACTTGATTTGCAACACAGTATTCACAAAAAGCTCAGGAATGGGAGGCACTAGGTGCCTCTGGAAGTGGGGGCAAAGTGAGAAACTAAAATAAGGATGGTTTGAAATCTGTTTAAGACACAGTCAGACTCTTCAATCCCTTTCTACTCCACCCTCCTTTCCTCACCCCAGAGTTAGGCTTCATTCTTTGGAGAAGGGGGAAGAAAGGCTGTCTCCCTACACCAGCCTGGACTTAAGGGGGATTAAGTGAAAACACGTAGACTTCCAGTCCTTCTCAAAATCCACAATGCAAACAGTCAAGCTCTCACCCTCCAGGCAAGAGATGAAGATTCTTCTCAAGAGACTTGGACAAGAAGATAGATCTAAACATGTTGATGTGGTGCAGTGGGAAGGGGGACAATGGAGGGGTAGGGAATAGAGCTCCTCACCAATCCAAACAGTGGGGTCACTCTGTACTCCATAAGCCCACCTGACACACCCAGAACACCAGCCAGCCTCTTAGCTCCCCACTGTTAAATAAGAGCAGACAACTAAGGATGATGAGACATCCAAGGAACGTTTTTTGTTGTTGTTGTTGTTGTTGTTTTGTTTTTTCTTTTTTTGAGAAGGAGTCTCGCTCTGTCGCCCAGGCTGGAGTGCAGTGGTGTGATCTCGGCTCACTGCAACCTCCACCTTCCGGGTTCAAGCAATTCTTCTGCCTCAGCCTCCCGAGTAGCTGGGACTACAGGCACTCACCACCACGCCTGGCTAAGTTTTTGTATATTTAGTAGAAATGAGGTCTCACCCTATTAGACAGGATGGTCTTGATTTCCTGGCCTTGTGATCCGCCCACCTCAGCCTCCCAAAGTGCTGGGATTACAGCCGTGAGCCACTGCGCCCAGCCCCCAAGGAACATTTTTTACATGGAAGACAGGGACCAAAAACAGCAATGAGAGACAATGCTGAGAGTGAGAGAACTCTTTTTAAAATATATACGTTCAGATTTAAGATATTGCATCCATGAAATACGAATAGAATAGCATTTTTAAAAGAAACATTCAGAGAACAAAAAGAAGTTCTTCACAATTAAGAACATGAAAGCAGAAATGAAAAATTCAATAGAAGGGGTGGGACATGAAGTTTAGGAACTACCAGCAAATAGAACAAAAAGGTACAGAGATGGCCGAGTGTGGTGGCTCATGCCTATAATCCCAACACTTTGGGAGACTGAGCGGGGGTGGATCATTTGAGATCAAGAGTTTGAGACCAGCCTGGCCAACATGGTGAAATTCCATCTGTACTAAAAATATAAGAATTAGGTGGGCCTGGGGGCACACACCTGTAATCCCAGCTACTTGGGAGACTGAGGCAAGAGGATTGCTTGAACTGGGGAGGTGGAGGTTGCAGTGAGCTGAGATCACGCCACTGTACTGCAGCCTGGGCAACAGATAGAGACCCTGCCTCAAAAAAAAAAAGATACAGAGATAAAAAACGGAGCAACAGGATGATAAGAACATTAGAGCATTAGTCCCCCAAGCATCTGAATATAGAAATTCCAGAAAGTGAAAAAGTAGACGTACCTCAAAGTTAATGACTTTAGTCAAAATTGTAATTGATGTGAGTGATGGAGGGATATGGTGGCAAAGAAATATGAATATATGTTCTAATAGTGGATGTGTTTTTTATTTATGGAAAATAGATTAATTTTGTGTTTAAAGAAAAATGGCTGGTTGCTGTAGATGTAATGGAAGATAGTAAAAGAAAAAACGTGAATGGTTAAAAGTTATACAAGGCTTGAAGAAAAGTAAAAATATGCTCAAATTTACTAATAGTCACAGAAATGCAAGTAAGTACACAGTATCATATCACTTTATACAGCATTGTACTCATAACATTCTAAAAATAGATAACATCTCTTGTTGGTGGGTTTGCAGGAGAAATCTACTACACATTGCTAGATTAATGTCTTCTTGGAGAGCAATCTGACAATAACAGAAGACAAATTCAACATACCCTTTGACCCAGAAATCCCACTCCTGGGAGTCTACACTATGTATATATATAAGAAGCAGCAGCAGAACGTAAGATATAAGTAAAAGACACTTTATTAGACCATTGTACAATTTTGCCTAGGGCCAGCTTGAGATATAACTGTTTGTATAAGGTTTGTATAAGGTTGCAGTGAGCCGAGATCATGCAGAGAACCCTAAATGCAGAGTAATTATCACTTATAGACATTCATCATTACTATATCAACTCTGTGACGAGGGGAATAATGTGCTATTTACATTAAATGTGCAGTTTATAAATCAAAAAATGGATTTCAGTAGAGTAAAGTACTTATGGAATTGCTGGTCAAAATCTATTCCTGTATCTCTGCCAACAACTGTTAACAAAGAGAACAACCGAATGCTGAGATGGGGGTTTTGCCAGAAGTCTCACACTTAGTGAAATACTTAACACCTCCTGGCTGAGCATTTTTTAAAGCTCTCTCTGATTTCAAGGAGTTGATCTATCTTTCTATTACTAATGAAAATCAAATTAATTACTAGAAGGAATAGTGATCATGGCATTAATTAAATGGGCACAAAATAAGCATTACACACACATGCACTATCTGGTTGTATATATGGAATTTCTTCTTCCTCGGAGCTCATAGCACTTAATACTTACCCACCCTTCCCTATGTCCATACCTGCAGTCCGCACTGGTGGAAAGGGCGTTAGGGAAGAGGAAGAAACAAGCATCTTCAGTCAGGCCCAGGTGGTCTTCATAATTTGGAAATGAAATGATGAACAAGGTTTCTCTGATAGGATCCAGGAAGGTTACGAATGTCAACCTAGTAGGAAGTAGAATTTTCTGATTCTAGAAAATTATTTGGGTCCAGCCGACATTGAATTCAGATTCAAGTTGACCTTCAAGACTGTAACCAAAGCATTCATGCATTTCTCATTTTGACTAATTTTCACACCATTGGAGCTGACTGAACACTGCAAAATTATTTTTGACTGTTTCATTTGACCTCCTAAACATTCTACAGTTTATTCTACTGAGGCAGGGAGATGAATAACACCACCAACAATACTTATGTTTTCCTTTACAGTTTGCAAAACATCTTCTCATACTTCATCTCATTGGAACTCCCAACAGTGCTGTGAGATGGCACCAACAAGACAGGGATTATTATGATGCTAATTTGACAAATGAGGATACTGGGACTCAGAGAGGGGAGTGGTTTGTCCAAACATACCCAGATGCTGTAAGGTATACTGCACTTTAAATTCAGTTCTTCTAAGGTTACATTCAGTACTGATATAAGCACAGGGAAATATGTATTTTTTTATATACTACTGGTAGGAATGCCAACTGGTATAATGTTTCTGGAGGACAATTTGGCAGTAGGTGTCAAAAACCTTTTAGTCAGCTTAGGCTGCCATAAGAAAATACTATAAATTAGAGGGCTTAAACAACAGGAATTTATTTCTCACAGTTCTAGGCTAGGAAGTCCAAGATCAAGGTGCTAGCTGATTCCATTCCTGATGAGGGCTCTCTTCGTAGCTTGCAGACAACCACCTTCTTGCTATGTCCTCACATGACCTCTTTTTTGTGTGCGCATGGAGAGAGGGGGCTATCTGGTATCTCTTCTTATAAGGACACTAAGCCTATCTGATCAGGGTCCCACTCTTACGACTTTATTTAATTAGGTCCTAAAGACCCTGTCTCAAAATACAGTCACAATGAGGGTAAGAACTTCAACATATGAATTCTAGGGGGACACAGACATTTAATCAATAACAATATGTATACTCTTCAAGCTCGTAGTTTCCTTCCCAGGAAATTAACTCAAGAAAATAACTAATCCCATTTATCAAAATATATGTAAATAAGTATGTTCCTTGCAATGTTGTTGGGCAAAATACATTTCTGAACTTCAGTTTACTCATATACAAAAAGAGAGATAACAGCAAGACATACTGCATAGAGTTGTCATGAATATTATGAAGTTGCAGCACAATGCCTAGCAAACAATAATTTCCATATCAGTTATTTTCACTAACCTTTAATAGAATACTCAACAAAAATAGTTTAACCAATGGACATTTATCCTCTCACATAACAAGAAGTCCAGAGACAGGATTGATTAATGTAGCAGTTCAATAAAGTCAACACTTTGTTTTAGTGTCCCTATTTTTTTCATAACTTTATTCGCTCATGGTCTCAACATGGCTGCTGCAGCTCAAGATACCACATCCCCACGTGACAACTTCCAAAGACAGGTGGGGGTGGCAAGGGAAGAAAATCTTTCCCAGAGGCTCTCATTAGACTTCCCCAGAACCAGGGAACAGGCCTACCCTAAATCACTGCAGAAAGAAATAGGATTATCATGATTCACTTACACCACTTTTCCTGCGGAAACAAAATAGGATCACAAAAGGGAAATCACTCTTGTTTGGGCTGCCGGCAGTCTCTATACTGTTGCTTTCTGTTCCTGAGAGTTCATCCTTCATCTTAGACCAATTTTCTTTATAAGTCAGACTTTTTTGTTTTCTTTCTTTCCTTTTTTTAGATGGAGTCTCGCTCTGTTGCCCAGGCTAGAGTGCAGTGGCGAGATCCCTGCTCACTGCAACCTCCGCCTCCTGTGTTCAGGCAATTCTCTGCCTCAGCCTCCTGAGTAGCTGGGATTACAGGTGTCCACCACCATGCCCGACTAATTTTTGTATTTTTAGTAGAGACGGGGATTCACCATCTTGGCCAGGTTGGTCTTGAACTCCTGACCTCATGATCCACCCGCC
The DNA here is from genome assembly GCF_000001405.40 of Homo sapiens. Taxonomy (NCBI): domain Eukaryota; kingdom Metazoa; phylum Chordata; class Mammalia; order Primates; family Hominidae; genus Homo; species Homo sapiens. Next base: position 197,819 of record NW_025791813.1, on the reverse strand, counting down.
TCGGCCTCCCAAAGTGCTGAGATTACAGGCGTGAGCCACCACGCCTGGCCTAAGTCAGACTTTAATACACCCCAGACTTTGAATGCCAGCCATCTTCCTTCTCTTAGCAGTCAGCCCTAAAGCCCTACACAGGCCTGCCTTCTTTCTTCCCCAACAAGCCGCAGCTTGGACAGAATTGGACAAAGCTATCAGAAAGAGCAAGATCCTGTGCTTCAAGGACTGGCAGAATAGACAAGTGTTCAGGATGGGGCTAGGGGCGGAGAGTAGGGCAGAGGCCTGCTCCAACAGCTTGGCCACATGAGGCTCTGTGTGCAGAACCATAACAAGGCAGAAACTAGTCTGAGACGCAGAGACAAAGCCCCACTGCTCAGAGCTGGGACATCAGGCTAGAGAGGGACTAGTGGCAGCAGTGACTCAATTCTAAACCTTTCAATACTGAACTCATGTCTGATCCTTAAAACTTTCTGGCCAGAGGTCATGTTCCCGAACTGGCACACGTGGTTGTACAGATTGTGATCAGTGCAAGGGCCCCAGACTGAGAGAAGTGGATGGGGATAAAACCCAGCTCAGCAATGCTCTCCAAGCCATAACCCCATTATTGGAGTCTATCTTCCTAAAGAAGTAGGTGCCTCTTTCTTCGGAAGTACTGCCTTTTTCAGGCGGATCACCTGAGGTCAGGGATTCGAGACCAGCCTGGCCAACAGGTGAAATTCTGTCTCTACTAAAAATACAAAATTAGCCAGGTGTGGTGGTGCATGCCTGTAGTCCCAGCTACTCGGGAGGCTGAGGCAGAATAGCTTGAACCCGGGAGGCAGAGGTTGTGGTGAGCTGAGATCATGCCGCTGTACTCCAGCCTGGGCGACAGAGCAATACTCCATCTCAAAACAAAAAAAAAGTGCCGTTTTCTTAGTACTTTCAAAGGAGTCTTATCCTTGACATGCCCTGGACCACACAGAAGAAGATGCCTTTTCCTGATTTGTGTGGAAATTCCATATAGGTTACTTATACCCCAGTCTGGCTTGATCTTAGAGCCTAGGGATTAGTGTGAGCCTACAGATGAGAAGACAGGGAGGTTCATGGGGTCTCAATTTTGTGAAGAAAAGGCCAGGAACCATGCAAGACCTGGCCAGGGATTAATTTTGTAGAGCTACCTTCAGCAACATTTTAAGAAAAAGAATTCATAAGGAGTAGAATTTTTTTCTGTCTCCCTCTATGTAGCCCTCTTCCAACAGTCAGAGTACAGGATCATATGCATTTTTTCTATCCAAGCATCAACTCCAGACAGGACTCACCTTAGTCCCATACAATGTGGGGAGGTGATTTAAAACGCTCTTGAATGTCACTGCCCCTCCTCCCCCACTGGCCCCTTCCACACAGAGCTTCTAAGACGAGATTTATGAAAAGACTGTTTCTCTGAAGGAACTGCTTATAAGCTCTTCCCCATGTGGTTTCATGGCCCTGTGCCTCTATCTGGTATGTTTTTTCCCACTGCCTGGAATCTCTTGCCCCATCCCACTTCTCCAGATAAATAATTACACACTCCTTCCTCAAGGATCCCATAGCTCTTGAATGTCCTTTAGATCATTAATCACACAGTACTAGGATTATTCCTTTATAGGTATAACTGGATAACTAAGCAGGAAGCTCCTCCCTGAGGCCAAAGACCTCATCCTTATCATCTTGGTTTTCAGCTCAGAGCTCGAGAGGCTCAGTGGAATGAGCAACAGGAAGAAGGCAGGGCAGAATCAGATCTGTTGAATGTTAATCATCAGCATGGCATGGGAAGGCGGAGGAAGAGAATGAACGATCACCTGTAGGAGGACTGAGAAAGATCAGAGAGCAAGGCCTTTTTCAATATAGCATTCCCCAGGGCAAGCTCCACTTCCAGTGATGGGGTCATTGTAGACGGAAAGCAAAAAATGAGGAATTGCCCAGAGAATGATTGGTGATTAGATCCCACCACTAACTCAGAGCTGGATTCTTGGGTGGAAATCAGACAGCTCCTGCCATTTGAATGTTAGGGGGCTTCCAATGAGACCTTCTTCCCTTTTTAGGAAACATGTGGGAAAGTCTTACCCGTGGCTTATCTCCAGTTCCCTATGCATGGTTCTTCAATAATTAGAACCCTGAGTTTCTCCAGGAGAGCTGGTGATTCATGAAAAACTATCGAATGGATCTGGTGGGGGCAAAGCTAGGCCTGTGTCCAGAGTCTTAGGCCAAGGCATGAAAAGACTGCAGGAAGGATACCACTTCGAAAAGAGGGTACATGTAGAAAGAGAATCCACCTCAGCTAACGAGGATTAGCCGAAGGACACGCTGTGGTTCATAGCAAGCGCACTTTTGGGGTGATGCTTCCTGGAGTGCTGTAATTGGAGACAACCGCACACACATTCTGCCATTCAGGCAGGTCAGCAAATACCCAGCCTTTCCTGTGTGTGATTCCAAATACTCCAGCTCAGGACAGTGTCAGGTTTCTATGGAGGACTTTTCTAATCCAGACAAGCTTTCCCGGCTTCGGCAAAGGAGGTTCTCAAATTCACAGCATGTGCGTAAGGCTGGTTAGCACAGAATTGAAAACAGCAAAGCTTGCCTCCACGTGGGGGATTTGCTTATTGTTCTGTCCACCATGCAACTGGAAATGAAACAACTACTACAGGCATCACCAACACAGGCCACGAACAATGGAATGAGAAGTCAACTCATTTAAAGGTAGGGAAAGTGATTTTCTTCTGCAGAGACAGCAATAGTTTACATGTAAACCACAGCTCTTGCCAAGAGGAGAAATGAAGAATAGTTTTGAAATGAGAACAGAAAAAACCCCGAGAAAAAAAAAATGTCTGTTGTTTTTAAAGGGTTGTCTGTGCTGGTGCTGATGCTGCTGGGACCAAGGACCACCCTTTGAGCAGCAGAGCCTCATGGGACACAAGGCCTGATACTGATTTGCAAAAAACCAAACAAACAAAAAACACACAAACTACAACAAAACAAATATGTATCAAGAAGGGGAAAAAAGTAAACAACATCATGGCAAGAGTTTGTGTTGCTGGGTGCTCTCAACACAAATTAAAGCATTGTCAGTTTCCTCCATATTAGGTATCTACTGCTGTGCAAGAAAAAAAAAATTACTCCAAAAGCTTAAAACAGGAATTGCCAAACTTTTTATTTTAGTTTAGTTTAGTTTTGAGACAGGGTCTCACTCTGTCACCCAGGCTGAAGTGCAGTGGAGCAATCACAGCTTGGCTCACTGCAGCCTCAACCTTCTGGGCTCAAGTAATCCTCCCAACTCAGCCTCCCTGAGTAGCTGGGACTACAGGTGCATAACATCATGCCTGGCTAATTTTTTTTTTTTTTGAGACAAAGTCTCACTCTGTCACCCAGGCTGGAGTGCAGTGGCACGATCCCGGCTCACTGCAACCTCCACCTCCCAGGTTCAAGCAACTCTCCTGCCTCAGCTTCCCAAGTAGCCTGGACTACAGGAGCATGCCACCACGCCTGGCTAATTCTTTTGTACTTTTAGTAGAGATGAAGGGTTTCATCACGTTGGCCAGACTGGTCTCGAACTCCTGACCTCAAGTGATCTGCCCTCTTCGGCCTCCCAAAGTGCTGGGATTACAGGCATGAGCCACCGCGTCTGACTGTAATTTTTAATTTTTTTTTTGTAGAGATGGGTCTTATCATGTTTCCCAGGCTGGTCTGGAACTTCTGGGCTCCTGTGATCCTCCTGCCTCAGCCTCCCAAAGTGCTGGGATGACAGACGTGAGCCACCATGCCCAGCCATGAACCTTCCTTCTGTAACATACGGCCAAATGGTAAACATCTTCAGCTTTGTGGGTCACATAGTTGCTATCACAATTACTCAACTGTGCTGTTGTAATGGGAAAGTAGCCATAGACACTATATAAACCAACAGACATGGCTTTGTCCCAATAAAACATTATTTACAAAGACAGGCTGCAGACTGGATTTGGCCTTGGAGCAGTACTTTGCCAACCCCTAGCTTAAAATAACAAATACCCATTACCTCTCACAGTTTCTATGGGTCAAGAATCTGGGAGCAGCTTAGCTAGGTGGTTCTGGCTGAGAGTCTGTCCCGCAGTTGCAATCGATCTGTTAGCTGGTGGGGGCAGCAGTCCTGTGATGGCTTGACCAAGGCTGGAGGATCTGCTTCCAAGATGACTCATTTACATGGCTGTTAGCAGGAGACCTGAGTTCCTCATTACATGGACCCCTCTATAGGGTTGCTTGAGTGCCCTCACCACATGGCAGCTTCCCCCAGAGTCCATAATCCAAGAGAGAATAAGAAAGAAGCCATGAGGCATTCTATGACCTAATTATACATATTCCGTCATATTTTATTCTTTAGAATTGAGTCATTTATCCAGTCCACACTTTTAAAAAGGGAACCTAGTCTCCCCCCTTTTGGGGCTAAAAAGATGAAAACAAGAAGGTCATAGAATCAATTCAATTTCAGCCAGGCACGGTGGCTCATGCCTGTAATCCCAGCACTTTGAGAGGCGGAGGAGGGAGGATCTCTTGAGCTCAGGAGTTCCAGACCAGCCTGGGCAACATAGCGAGACCCTGTGTTTAAAAAAAAAAAAAAAAAAAAAAGAGAGAGAGAGAGAGAGAATCAAGTCAGTCTTGATATCTTGGCCAAATGTGTGATCTATGTCTTAAAAAGCTGAGATTTAGCCTTATTTCTGAGGCTTGTTTCCACCATATACTTAATTTTTCTGTTTCTTGAGCCTCAGTTAAGTCAACTGACTTGAAATTCCAAGAACGGCCTCTTTGTTAATGGAAAGCCACAGGTCTCCATGGATTGTTGTACCTTTTGTGCACTGCACAAGAAGAGGCACAGATGAGAAGTGACTGAAATCCAACCTGGACTCAGTTCGCCACACTCTGTTCCCTAAAGAAGGAGATAATCTTTGTCTTTCTTCTGCTCAAAGAGGGCACCTCTGCAAGGATCCCCACAATGTGATTCATGTGCCAGCAGTGCCCCTGGGATGTTGATTGTTTACATGATTTAGCCCCAATCTTGGTACTTTCTTTAGATCCTGACTGTGACATCCACCACATTCTCCATCTCTCAGTCACTTTCTCTGTTGGTGGGTTTTGCACACCCAGAGAGTACATAAGAATCCTTTGGGATTCAGGTGAAAAAATAATGGAACTTCTATTTGTAACTTTTTAAATCTAAAGAATGAATGAAAGTAAGTCACTATTAGTTAATAGATTAACACTGGCACATGTGTTAACTTATAAATAAATATATATATTTGAAGTGAACACTTACAAGTTTTTACTGACACATAATCAAGAAAAATTAGATACTATTGTTTTATATCATCATCTAAGTCACTGATAAAAATGTTAAATGTGGCCGGGCACGGTGCCTGAAGCCTGTAATCCCAGCACTTCGGGAGGCCAAGGCAGGTGGATCATGAGGTCAGGAGATCGAGACCATCCTGGCTAACACAGTGAAACCACGTCTCTACTAAAAATACAAAAAATTAGCTGGGCATGGTGGCGGGCGCCTGTAGTCCCAACTACTCAGGAGGCCGAGGCAGGAGAATGGCTGAATCCGGGAGGTGGAGCTTGCAGTGAGCAGAGATGGCGCCACTGCACACCAGCCTGGGTGACAGAGCGAGACTCCGTCTCAAAAAAACAAAACAAAACAAACATGTTAAACAAGACCAGGCTGAGAACAAAGCCTTCAGGTGAACATTGATCCAATAATCTGTGTGGGTGACATTATTACTTGACCCAGTATCTAATCCCAAATCAATCATTATGAAGCAGATACTCTGTGCTAGACAGCCTGGAAAATGGTCTCCAATGATTCCACTTCCTGCTTTTCACACCCATGTAAATGGCATTTTGCATGACCTATCATGCAGCTTTGTAGTAGATGCTGAGCCTGAGGTATCCAGCGAAGCCACACCCAGATTGCTGACCCACAGAAATCGTAAGATAAAAAATGTTTGCGGCCACGCGCGGTAGCTCATGCCTGTAATCCCAGATCCACAGACCTCCATCTTCCTGTGACAGACTAATTAAAAAAAAAAAAAAAGAGGGACCGGGCGCAGTGGCTCATGCCTGTAATCCCAGCACTTTGGGAGGCCGAGGCGGGCGGATCACGAGGTCAGGAGATCGACACCATCCTGGCTAACCCGGTGAAACCCTGTCTCTACTAAAAATACAAAAAATTAGCCAGGTGTGGTGGCGGGCACCTGTAGTCCCAGCTACTCGGGAGGCTGAGGCAGGAGAATGGTGGGAACCCAGGAGGTGGAGCTTGCAGTGAGCCGAGATCGTGCCATTGCACTCCAGCCTGGGTGACAAGAGTGAGAGACTCCATCTCAAAAAAAAAAAAAAAAAAAAAAAAAAAGTTTGCTGTTTTAAGCTGCTAATGTTGGGGTTATCTGTAACACCGTAATAGATAACTACTACACTTTTCCAGGTGATGCGTAATAGTTTGCAATAACCAACAACTCTGTGATCTAACTATTATCATCTTCATTTTACAGAGAAAACGGAGACTCAGAATATTTACATGACTTTCCCAAACTCAAAACAGCTAGTAAATGACAGCACTGGAAGTTAAATCCAGTGTGGCTCTGAAATCCACACTCTAACTAGCTGTATGACTTTGGGAAAGTTACTGCAACCTCTTAGTAGTCAGTTTCCTCATCAGTAAAATTAAGGACTGAAACAAAGTATTCATCTCTATTTTTCTAAAATTTCATACCCCTCCTCTGCTTTATCCGTAGCCCAAGAAGCGAACTGAAATGATATTTATACTAAGAAATGTGGAGTGGGGAAACAAGGGTTTGAAGATTACTCAATTGAGATGAAGAAAGGCAGCCATGCCGAAAACCAGTGAGGCTTGTGACTCTCCAGGGCATACGTGGCTGATGCTGACAGCTTCCTATTCATTCGGGCTGCCGCTCAGAGGACAAAGGTGGGAGGAGGAGATCCATTTCCTTTTTTTTTTTTTTTTTTTTTAAAGACGGAGTCTCGCTCTGTCGCCCAGGCTAGAGTGAGGTGGCGTGATCTCGGCTCACTGCAAGCTCCGCCTCCCAGGTTCACGCCATTCTCCTGCCTCAGCCTCCCGAGTAGCTGGGACTACAGGCGCCCGCCACCACGCCCGGCTAATTTTTTGTATTTTTAGTAGAGACGGGGTTTCACCGTGTTAGCCAGGATGGTGTCGATCTCCTGACCTCGTGATCCGCCCGCCTCGGCCTCCCAAAGTGCTGGGATTACAGGCGTGAGCCACTGCGCCCGGCCCCTTTTTTGTTTTTTTTAAATTAGTCTGTCACAGGAAGATAGAGATCTGTTTCTTAAGAGGAAAGGAAGAAGAGGTTTCTAACCTGCTCTGACCAACTGTTATGTTGCAATATCTTCACAGAGATCCTTCCAGCTGCAATAAAGATAATAAAAGGAATACAACATACTTTTGCTACAACTCAGTACACAGACTCTTAAATACAGTGAGGCTAGGCAGATGGAACATGTGGAACAAAGCAGGGGAAGGGCGTAATAACAACCATGATAACCATGGCTGTACTTATATATATTGAGATGTTTTATTTTATTATAATTTGTTGTTATTATACTGGCTTTTTGTGTGTGAGCTGTTTTGAATCTTTCAACTCCTTTAAATGCCTTCAAAAACTAGTATTTTAGCTGGGCGCAGTGGCTCATGCCTGTAATCTCAGCACTTTGGGAGACCAAGGCAGGAAAATGGCTTGAACCCGGAAGTTCAAGATCAGCTTGGGCAACATGGCAAGATCCCGTCTCTACAAAAAAAAAAAAAAAAAAAAAAAATCAATTAGCTGGGTACAGTGGTGTACACATGTAGTCCCAGCTACTTGGGAAGCTGGGGTGGGAGGATTGCTTGAGCCCAGAAAGTCAAAGCTGCCGTGAGCCATGATTACACCACTGAACTCCAGCCTGGGGGAAAGAGCAGGCCCTGTCTCAAAAAGAAAAGAAAAGAAAAGAAAGCTAGTATTTTAAACTGTGCCTCAGACCTAAAAATGAGTGAACCACTGCCCTAAACCGTGGAAGAGCAAGCCCAACTTGGTTGGGAGGAGACCCTTTCCATATGGGGTCAAAACTGTACCTGCCACTTTGGCATCTTTGAGAATTAAAAGAATAGAGACCTTCAACTTCACCCTGAGGGGACTGCTATACTCATAACTGAGGAGGCAAAGTCCAGATAAATGAGCAGATAAGGTAGAGAAAGATACAAAGAATTTCTCTCTTCCTCAAAAGGAAGAAGCCCAGTAACAAATCTCCTTCAGTGCTTAATAATGTTTGGCGAGGTAGTCTAGTAGAAAGCTTAGGACTTGGCTGTTTAAATCATCCATTCATTTCTTCAAAGGGTTTGCCACTTACTAGCTAGGTGAACACAAGCTAGTTATTTGCCCTCTCTGAGTCCTAATTTCCGCCTTTGCAAAAAGGAATTATAATACCTCCCTTTTCCTTTATTATTGTAAAGATTAAAGAAGATCGCTTCTTTGAAAGAACGGTGCACAGTGGCACAAGTAATGGAAATTCAGAAAATATTGTGTCCTTCTTTCACATTCCTTTTTTTCTCAAGAAATTTAAAACCAGTACGTGTTTTTTAAAAATCATTCCAGCTGCTCCATGGAGACCATATATAAATTGAAAGAATGGAAATAGAGGGGTGAGTCAGGAGACTATTGAAGTTGTCCAGATGGGAGATAAAAATGGCTCAGGCTCAGAGAGTAACAGTAGAAAAAAAGAGAAGTGGGTAGATTTGGGATGCATCTTAAACATAGAGTTGACAGTGCTTACTGTGGAGCACACGGAGAGAAAAATCCCTCTTAAAAATTTTATTTAGCTTATTTCATTCCAAAGAAAGGGAACTGACTTGCTGGTGCTGTGTAGACTGGTGCTCTCCAACAGAACTTTTTGTGATAATGGAAATGTCCTAGATGGTTATTGTCCAGTATGGTAGACATGAGCCTCATGTGCCTCTTGGCACTTGAAGTATGGCTAGCATGACCAAGAAACTAAATTTTTTATTTTATTTAATTATAATTAATTCAAAGTTATATAGCTATCATATTAGCGCAAATCTAGGTAATATACAACCTAGATTTTTTCCCTATAATTCCTTCAAATTATACAGACACAACAGTTTATAGAATGTACAGTTTGTCCCCACACACATTTTTTATGATGTTGTCCAACCTTAACTGTTCAACCAGTTTATGTTAATTGAGCTAAAATCTGGGTGCGGGGGGTAGAAATCAACATTCTTTCTACTTCTATTAATCCCAATATTATAACATTAGTCAGTAAGCCATTTCTGACCAATTAAAAACATCATATAAATTATATCTTTGCATGTTTTCATTATGTTGCTCCTTGGCTTAATTTATGTGAAATCAATTGCTATGATAACTACATATCGTGTTATTTGACCATAATGTCTACAGAAGAAATGACTAATAAAAAAAAAACTTGTAAGGGAGACTATGTAGCAAATCTGACTATCTATTGGCCTAAGAACTGAAGTAATCATTACACCTTAAATATTTAAAAGGTATATCAAGGTTGACGTAAGGGGAATTGCAGTGGCAATAATAAAATTTAAAATAAATTTTAATTTTGTTCTACCTCCTATGTTTTATGAACAATAGTAATATTTTTTATTTATAAGAGCGTTTTTCTCTTTTCTTCCCCTCTCTTCTTATTTTTCTTTGGATAATAAGTTCTAAATATCTATCTACTACCCTATAGCTTATAGACACTTCAGTTTCTTCAAAACTAAACTTACCATCTATGCTGCAGTTAGGAAAAACCATGCTTACCATAGTATGCATACTCCCTCCAAATTCCTACTAGATACTCTGAGTGAATATTTTTGGGTTCTGTCTGCCCAGTATTATGTGTCCCTCTTTTCCTGATAACTGCAACTCCTTTCCCACTAAGGTAGTATCCCTTACCCCTACTTGTGATTTTGGTGGGACAGCCAATCACAATACTCCTCTCATCCCCCAGCCACAATCGTTAGCCTAGGATTAAAAATGGTGCTCTTCCAAGTTCCTATCAGAGTTCTTAGCCGAGATTTTAAACGCGTTCTGAAAGAAAGGTGACCTCCTTTTTCTTTTCAGTTGCTAAACTGGGTTGCTGTAAACCTTGAACTACCTGTAATCATACTCTGTCATTTCCCAACCATATGAAGGAAGCGCTCCTGAAATGGGGAAGAATAAGAGCAGCACATGGAGGGAAGTAGAAGAGAGGAAGAGAGCAAAGAGATAGATCGGATGATTTCATTTCTCTGCCTGAGGCCAGCTCTACCCAACGGACTTCCCAGTTCAGTAAACCAACAATTTCTCTTTTATACATAAGCTTCTATGAGTTGGCTTCTGGCACCTGTAATCAAATGTGTCCTGTTGAATATAGTGCCTCTCCAAACTCATAGCCATGCTCCCTTTCACTCTCTGTGCTCAACCATACTTGAACACAATCTGGTCACTGTGCTCTTTCATCCCTGGGCCTTGGAATATATCATCCCTCTGCCTGGAGCCATTGCCTTCAGATCTCAGCTTAAACATCATTGTCTTAAGGAGGTCCTACCTGACTTTTAGATGTAGGTCATTCACCTGCTATAAACTCTTTGTGCACTTTGTGCTTTCCCTATCATCAACCTCACCCTAGTTATTATTATTATTGCCTCTTTGATGTTTCTCTTTACCACTAGACTCTGAGCTTTGTGAGATCAGGGAACTGCATCTGTCTTATTCACTGATATATTCCCCAGCACCTAGAATAGTGCTTGGCCCAAAGTACGCACCTAAGGTATATTTTGAATGAACAAGTAAACGAATGGTGTTTTCTATGTGTATTGTCAATATATTTTCAAAACTTAGTGTACATTTTCAACCCTACTTCCTAGTAGAACTAAGCTGGTAGACACTAAATTTCCTAAGATCCCACAGCTCAGAAGGCCAATTACCAGGCTGAAAATGTGACTTTCAACTCCTAATCCAGCCTACTTCTCACTATAAACACCTACTTCTAAAAACATTTTTTCATGCAGAAAATCAATAATAAGCTTCTGAGCTGCAGCCCAGAGTTAAATACCACTGTTTCAAAATCACCTCATGTTTCCTCTTAAACAGCTGATACTATCAAGTGGCACTGCCCTAATTGTTTTGTGTTTCTCTGTGTATTAATTCTAATTCTTTAAATGAAATTGTTAATTCCTTGACACTTTAGTCTTGCTACTCAAAGTGTGGTCCCTGGACCAGTAAAACCAATATCCCTCCAGGAGCTTTTCAGATATGCAGAATCTCAAGCCCCATCCCAGAACCTACAGAATTAGAAACATTTTAACAAGATCCCCAGATATTACCATGTACAGTTCTCAACCACTGCTCTGGAATAGTTGGTCACAGCAGATGTTTTTGTGCTACAACATTTGTATTCACAGCACATAAGTTGGGAGACCACAGGTGAAGGAAAATACTTAATACTGGCTTTTGAGGAATCAGATGTTGAGGTGGTCAATTAATTCAATGAGCCAAACTGAGAGTAACAATCAGGTCTTTATTCTCTTCTACAACAGTGCGGGCAAGAGGCAAAAGAGGACGGCTCCAGCTCCCCCACATTCCCCTTATCCCCCTGGAACAGCTCTAGGTGAGGATCAGATGACATGCAGAACAGGCAAGAAAAATGAGCCCCTGCCCCACACAAAAGGCTCCTGCCTCTTTATAGCCCACAGGCTGGGAAACGGGAAAGGGCTAGGAGTAGAAAGGCGTGGAGTCAAAGTGGAGGAAAGTGCCTCAGCCAAGGCCCCCAACAGACAGCCTCTGAATAGAGACACCTGGGCTAGGCATACAGACACGCATACATGTGGGTGCAGGGGTGTGGGGGTGGGGTGGTGGAACAGAATCTCTTTTTTTTTTTTTTTAAATGAATGAGCCTAACCTTCCCTTCCCCTCCCCTCCCCTCTCCTCTGCTCCCTTCCCCTCCCCTTCCCTTTCCTTTCATTTCTGAGACAGGATCTGGCTCTATCACCCAGGCTGGAGTGCAGTGGTGCAATCTCAGCTCACTGCAACCTCCGCCTCCCAGGCTCAAACCATCCTCCCACATCAGCCTCCAAGTAGCTGGGACTGCAGGTGCATGCCACCATGCCCGGCTAATTTTTTTGTATTTTTGGTAGAGATGGGGTTTTGCCATATTGCCCAGGCTGGTCTTGAACTCCTGGGCTCAAGCAATGCTCCTGCCTCGGCCTCTCAAAGTGCTGGGATTACAGGTGTGAGAAGAAAGATACCCGCATGAATCCTTGACTGCAACTCCCTAGAGGAAACCGTAAGGCACTGGCTGTGCACCGAGTCTGGTATGGGAAGGGCAGCTTCTTCCTTCCATGGAGCTTGCCTTGTCATTATCTCAAATCACACACAGATCACACAAAGGATTTTGGCCTAGAGTCAAACTTCTCAACTAGTTGATACAAATTTTGCACCATTTAATAAGATACTACTTTGCTCAGTAGGCTAAGCAAAGTAGTCTATCAAAGCGACCCATGCATAGTGAAGGATTTCTCTCCAGAAATGGTTCTCAAAGAGCAATGTCTGGACCAGCAACATTAGCATCACCTGGGAACTTCCTAAAAATTCAAATACTTAGGCCCCACCCTAGACTTTCTGAATCAGAAAATGTTGGGATGGAGTCCAGCCATCTGTGTTTCGATACTTCCCCTGGGTGACTCTGACAGATGCTAACATTTGAGAACCCACTGCTGTCTAGCAGAGTTTCTCAAATTCAGCACTATGGACATTTGGGGCCAGATAATTGTTGTTGCGGGAAGCTGTTCTGTGGATTGTGGGATGTTTAGGCTAGCCTCTGGCCTCTAGCTACTAGATTCTTGTACCATATCCCTGGTTGTGACACCCCAAAATATCTCCAGCCATTGCCAAATATCCCCTGGGGGAAAAATTGCCCCCAGTTGAGAACCATTGCCCTAGAGTAATTACTATGACCTAGATTGGTCCAAGCCTAAAGCATAACATATAAACTTACAAAAATGATATTCACAGATACATGACAATGTGACATAAACTAACCTTTAAACAGTTTACAGTTTACAAAGCACTTTCACATATAAGTCATTTGCTCCCCACAGTAATCCTAGAAGGAGGGTAATTATCATCATTCTCATCTTAGTGGTAAGGAAATTGAGATTCATACAAGTTACTTGATATGACCAGGGTTACTGCCTGCTAAGTGGCAGAGATGGAACTTAAACCTAGGTCCTTCTCGGCCGGGCGCGGTGGCTCACGCCTGTAATCCCAGCACTTTGGGAGGCCGAGGCGGGTGGATCGCAAGGTCAGGAGGAGATTGAGACCATCCTGGCCAACACGGTGAAGCCCCATCTCTACTAAAAAAAAAAAATACAAAAAATTAGCCCGGCGTGGTGGCGGGTGCCGGCAGTCCCAGCTACTCGGGAGGCTGAGGCAGGGGAATGGCGTGAACCCAGGAGGCGGAGCTTGCAGTGAGCCGAGATCACGCCACTGCACTCCAGCCTGGGTGACAGAGCGAGACTCCATCTCAAAACAAAAACAAACAAACAAACAAACAAAAAAACCTAGGTCTTTCTTTTTCATAAATAAAGAGAATTACCTTATTAAATGAGCTATGGAGGGGTTATTTCTAGTCTTTAACAATATTATTGCTCTTGGTAAAAAATTCAGTATTAGCTGAGAAATAATAGTTGTAGAGATACTCTTAACAGATTATTCAGTATGAAAAATGGATTGTGCATCCATAATAAGGGAAGCCTATCTGTAGATATTTACACAAGTTATTATATGAGCTATTATTTGGAAATAGAAGTCTTATGATAGTCAGCTGGGTGCAGGGGCTTACGCCTGTAATCCCAGCACTTTGGGAGGACGAGGCGGGCGGATCACTTGAAGTCAGGAGTTTGAGTCTAGCCTGGCCAACATGGTGAAACCCCATCTCTACTAAAAATACAAAACTTAGCTGGGCATAGTGGTACATGCCTGTAATCCCAGCTACTCAGGAGGCTGAAGCAGGAGAATCGCTTGAACCCAGGAGGTGGAGGTGGCAGTGAGCTGAGATCGTGCCACTGCACTCCAGCCTGGGTGACAGAGAGAGACTCCTTCTCAAAAACAAAAACAAAAAAGTCATAGTGAGCCTGAGTCAGAGACGTTGGAGAGATTTGTAATCAGTTAAGAGGAGTAAAAAAACAGCACAGTCGAACAAACTCAGGAATAGTCTTTCTCCTGTAAACTGCAGCCCCTGCCTGGTGAGAAAGTGAAATCACAATCCTAGCACATTGACTGAAGGAGATAGAAGAACACCCAGCACGTCGTAGAGCCATTGTCCTGCTCTGACCCAGATCCCTGCAGAATGAGGTGCTGCCCAACCAGCCTTAGGCTCCCATGGTGCAGTGTGTAAAAAGCCTTCAGAACCTGAGACTTCCAGAAAGTGGACGGAATACTCACCCAGAGGGGAGCTGGGGATTTCCACGGGCACAGTAATAGACTTTGGCTTCAGAGTGAGCATCCAATCGCCAGTAGCCAACTTGCTGACCTTTGGATTGTCCTCCAACATGGCCAAACTTGTTGCAGAGCATAAAACTGAAATACTAAATAAAGATCAAGGCCAAATCAAAGTCATGATGAGACAAATGACCCCGCACAGACCTTTTGATGTCAGTTCTTTTTTTCCCTGAGAAGAAATTGAAACCTCTTGCCTCCTCTTTAGAGAGGGTTGTTAATGGTTTAAATCTGGAAAGGTTTCTCATCAGGGGAAAGAGCACTGGGCTTGGACTCAGAATCCTGGATTCCAGTCCTGGATGTTCAACAGAGAAACCACTCAGCCTCGCTCTGCCTCAGATTTTTCTTATAAAAACAAAGAGAGCTGATTATAAGAACTCTAGGATTTCTACCACTTCTAGAATTCTACCCTTTACCAACATCTTAAATTTGCATTTAATATACTCCCCACTTGGGAGACACCATGCATAAAATTACAGAAGGCAGGATTTGGAGTCATGCAGGCCCAGCTTGCAATCCCAGCTCTGCAGTATTCTAGCTGGATTATGTTAGACAACTCCCCTAGCCCTCCCCATGCTCAGTTTCTTCATCTTTAAAACAAAGGTGATAACAACAGTATCCAACTCAAAAGGACTTTTGTGAATATTAAATGGAATTATATGTATAAACAATTAATACATAGTACCTGGTACATAGGAAGCACTCAGCAGATGGGAGTTACTATCATGTATTTGAGAATGGACAGGCCAGGTGCAGTAGTTCATACCTGTAATCCAAGCACTTCAAGAAGCCAAAAGCAGGAGGACTGCTTGAAGCCAGGTGTTCAAGACCAACCTGGGCAAAATAGCGAGACTCCATCTCTATGAAAAAAAAAGAAAGAAAAACTTAGCTGGATGTGGTGGTGCACGCCTGTGGTCCCAGTTACTTGAGGGGCTGAGGTGGGACAATTACCTGGGCCCAGGAGGTCAGGGCTGTAGTGAGCCATGATTCCACCACTGCATTCCAGCCTGCGTGACAGAGCAAGGGGCTGTATTGAAAAAATAAAAAAGAAAAAAAGAAAAGAAAATGTACACTCAGGAAAATAAAATTGAAGGACTTTTATTAAGAGCTATACCTCATTTTGTGATGGAGGGAACTAGAGTGACTTAAAAATCAACTGGCTAAAAACATTCTATTTTTTAAAATCTCAAAACTGTAAACGACAGTCTCTTAGAGGGAACACAGGCCATCTCATGTTTCCTGCATGATTCAAATTGGTGGATAATTAGTCATAAAGATTTTCTGAGTAAACAGCACCATTTGGTAATACACTGTTTTCTGCTGGTTTGGTTAGGGATGGAGAAATTGTGAATGAAAAAGGAATGTATATAGATGTGTTGTCCAGTACAGTTGCCACTGGTACCATGTGGCTATTCACAGCTTAAAATGTGACCAGTTCAAGAGGAGAGGTGCTGTAAATGCAAAATTCACAGCAGATTTCAAAGATTTGGTACCAAAAAAAGTAAAATATTCAATAAAATGTTTATATTGACAAAATGTTGAAATGATAAAATTGGTAAGTTGGAGTAAATAAAATATTTTAAAATGAATTTTACCTCCTTTTTAGTTTTTTAATGTGACTATTAAGCAATTTTAAATTACATATATGGCTTGCATTATATTTCTATTGACCAATGCAGTATAGAGAGGAAAAATAAGAACACACATACACAAAGAGCAAGAAAAAAAACGAAGTCCCGGGGATGCAGCAATTTTAAAAAAAAAAAAAGTGAGGAAGGCCACAGGCTTGATGATCCTGGCTCCATGCAAAAAAAGTCACTAAAATTGATTTTTCTATTAACAAAGAAGCTGCCGGGCGCGGTGGCTCACACCTGTAATCCCAGCACTTTGGGAGGCCAAGGCAGGCGGATCACGAGGTCAGGAGATCAAGACCATCCTGGCTAACACAGTGAAACCCTGTCTCTACTAAAAATACAAAAAATTAGCCGGGCATGGTAGGGGTGCCTGTAGTCCCAGCTACTCGGGAGGCTGAGGCAGGAGAATGGCGTGAACCCAGGAGGCGGAGCTTGCAGTGAGCTGAGATTGCACCACTGCACTCCAGCCTGGGCGACAGAGTGAGCCTCTGTCTCAAAAAAAAAACAACAAAACAAAACAAAGAAGCTAATAGAGATTGCATTCCCTACGCCTTTTACGTATTTCATTTTGTAACATTTGGTAGAAGAAAGAAAAGAGAAGTTGTGCCTTCCTCACTTCTTTCATTGAATAATCTCTTTTAATCTTATAAAACATTGTGTCCTCTTTTGGTCATAAGTGGATGGAAAGACATAAAAATAAGGAAAGTGCACCCTCTGCAGGCTACTTAGCAATACAGAAATACTAAACAGCAAAGTTCTGTAAAAAATACTGCAGAATGAATAAATGAATGGATGAGTTAACATTTCACATTACTGCATCTACTGCTGTCATCACTGATTCAATAATGGTGAAAATAAAGGCAAGGAAATGGGTCGAATAGTATCAAAATTATTAGGTTATATCAATTCTTTCTTTTTTCCTTCCCTCCTGCCTTCTCTCCCTCCTTCCTGTCTTTCCTCCTTCTTTCTTATTCTCCTTACTCCCTTCCTTTCTCCTTTTTTCCCTTCCTCCCTCCCTCTCTTCCCTTCCTCCCTCCCTCTCATCCTTCCCTCCTTCCTGCTTCCCTCCCTTCCTCCCTTTCTTCCTTCCTTCCTTCCTCTTTTTTCTTGCTTTCACTCTTGAACAGCTTAGACACATCTTGTTTGGAAATCCTATATAAAGACAGAAGGCAAAAGGCCAAACTCAGCCTAGAGATTTATGCTGTTTATTTCAGTACAGTTTCCTTGTGAGGTTAATGCTTCATTCATGTTTCTAAATCCAATCTGGCAGACAAAGTAAAGAAATAATAAGGCCACAAACATCACCAGCCACAAGCTTAATGGTGTCAAGTATGTGATTATAAGCAGCCCCTAACTTAGGAAAGGGTTACCTTCCCAAAGGCAGTTTATATTTTGGTTGTTTGGAACGAGAAATCTTTTTCTCATTTTTTCTGGGCCAGTTCACAAGGGCACAAATACGTATTAACCCATAATGTATGTGAGATAGATAATAATAACATCATTATTTTTACTTTATCAAACACTAATATATAACAGTATTTTTATGGAAAAAGACAAATGTAAGGCCCATCTTGGGCTCTCAGATTATCCTTCTTTCTGCAGGTGGTGTGAGCAGTCTTCTCCCAGTTTCTTGATTCAGAGATGAGGGTTATGTCTGGGAGATCCATGCCAGACAACCCCAGGACCAGTGTCTTTTTTTTTTTTTTTTTTTTTTTTTTTTTTTTTGAGACGGAGTCTCGCTCTGTCACCAGGCTGGAGTATAGTGGTGCGATCTCGGCTCACTGCAACCTCTCCCTCCTGGGTACAAGTGATTCTCCTGCCTCAGCCTCCCAGGTAGCTGGGACTACAGGCATGCACCACCACATCTGGCTAATTTTTGTATTTTTAGTAGAGACGGGGTTTCACCATGTTGGCCAGGCTGGTCTTGAACTCCTGACCTAGTGATCTACCTACCTCGGCCTCCCAAAGTGCTGGGATTACAGGCATGAACCACCACGCCTGGCCAGTATCTTGTTAGCACTCTTTAGTGCAAAACAAGGAAGCTAACTCACAGGTACAGTCACACCCCAAGATTTCTGAACTGGAGAACAAAGAAAAATTAATATCATCATCAGAGAAAGCAGCGCCCAAATGGTAGACTCTCTCTGCTTTCTTCAACACACACACATGCACACACACTTTCCTGTGTCACCAACACTCATTTTATAGATTGGGCATCTGTAGGTTAAGACTGACTGTAATGATAACCAGGCTTCAATAGCTTTAAGAAATACAGCACTAGTGTTATGGAATATATTTCCTATTAGCATTTTTATTATTCACAGCGTAATTTAAGACCAATTTAATTCCTTTTAACCTATTAAACAAAACTAGCGTGGTTAAATTAAACTTTGCAGTGTGTAAAATAACTTAAGGAGAGCTTATGAAAGGGAATTTGGAATAACTCAGAAATTATATTTATTGCTTACACATAATTCAAAACAGTGCGAAAATGTAATGCAATCTGTAAACTTGTGTTTTTGTCAAACAGATTATATATTTTAAAATAAACACTTGCAGGAAAACACAACAAAAGGTGATAGCATTTATTATTTGCTTTTTCTTATGGTTACATTTAAACTTTTTAATCCAGAATATATACAACAGCCTAAATTGTGTGCCTATTAAAGCTTCACCTTTCATAGTTAAAATGCTGAAAAAAAATAAAAGCATCTATCTTGATCAGAGTTATGAGAACACAAGTGAAATGTTTTTCCAGCTCTGCTCTCTCTTGAGTGCAGAGACATACACTTTGGAGCTTTTGAGAAATATGGTCCCTATCTAATGCACAGTGGTTCAACGAAGAAGCTCTTACTCACTTAGTGAGTAGATTAAAATACAATCGTAATTTCCTCTTTGGGAAGCTAAGTGTAGTTTTAAGCTATAATCTTTATGTGATTCCAGGTGTGATGTACAGAAATCTCATAGTGTTGTATAGCATGATCATTAAGAAAATGAGCACGACCGGGCGCGGTGGCTCACACCTGTAATCCCAGCACTTTGGGAGGCCGAGGTGGGCGGATCACGAGGTCAGGAGATCGAGACCATCCTGGCTAACTCAGTGAAACCCCGTCTCTACTAAAAATACAAAAAATTAGCCGGTCGTGGTGGTGGGAGCCTGTGGTCCCAGCTACTCAGGAGGCTGAGGCAAGAGAATCGTTTGAACCCCGGAGGCGGAGCTTGCAGTGAGCGGAGATCGCGCCGCTGCACTTCAGCCTGGGAGACAGAACAAGACTCTGTCTCAAAAAAAAAAAAAAAAAAAAAAGAAAAAGAAAATGAGCATTAGATTTACAGTTAAATCCTGCATAAACCATTTAGGAGATATACGACCTAAGACATAGCTTAACCTCTCTGTTCTTTAGCTTCTTCATCCAAAAACTGAGGTTCATTCATTTATTGAACACTTAACATGTGCCAAGCACTGTTCTGAGAACTGGGAACATAATTAAAAAACATATTTGGTCCAAATTCTCAGGAAGATTACATCCAAATTGGCAGAGATAGAGAGTTTTTAAAATTAATTAATGTGAAAATGTTTAGGGAGTATTAGCTTTTAGGATAAAAATAAAATAGGGTGATGTAAAAGGAATATTGAGGAAGTTCCTGAAGACAGAGTTGTCAAGGAAACCCTCTCTGGGGAGACGAGATTTAATCTGGGACCTGAAGGAGGCATCAACCACACTAAGGTCTGGGAGAAGAGAGGTCCAGGCAGAAGGAAAAGCTGGTGAAAAAGTCCAGCAGAGAGAATGAGTGTGGCATGTCACAAGAACAAAAAGAAGGTAGTGTGGCTGGGGCAGAGCAAGTGGAAAAGACGCAGGACATGAAGTAGGCAGGAGCTAGATCATGCCACTCCTTAGAGGAACTGGTTTAGAGTTTGGTTTTTATTTTAAGTACAGTTCAAAGCCATTGGAGGACTTTCATCAGGATGGTCGTGAAGACTGAGATAACACGCATAAAGCACTCAGCACAATGTGCAGAGTGAATACTCAGGAAAGGGGGACGTCATCATAATCATTGTTGATATATGATAAAACCCTAACATACAATATGTGAAGTCCAAAATATTTATTACTTTAAAACTCAGGGTCAAGTTATTGCAAGATTAATGAAGAAAGAACAGGGCCTTAGCAGAGGATAGGAGTCTATTGCCAATCACCACCTGGCCAGATTCTCGTTACTGTGGGGCAGGCTTTACTATATTTCTTGCCATCATTATCATTCTCACCATCAGCTTTATTATCAATGAAACTTAAGTAAAATCTTAGGCCAGCACTGCTCATCACGGAAGTGAAATGTTGATCAGCCTAGAGCAAAATGAATCTGAAGGAGCAATACTCAATGCTGTGGTCACTATGAAATGACACCAACATTCCTTAATTTCCCCCAGAGCATCATCAGGTAAGCGGACTTTCTGTTTTCCAAGCTGGGTGGGAATCCTTCCACTCATTTTCCAGAGCTGGTGGGCAGCAAACACTTACGGGGCCATGAACCTCGAGAAGTTCATTTCAAGCTGGAACTCACATAGATGTGCCAATGATTTTTCCTGGCCACATTTTATCATCTGTGCCTGCTCTTTCTCTAAGAACACCATATAAAGCAGTCCTTACTCCACGGATCATTTAGTTTACTAAATCATGGTTTATTTTTTCCGCAGGATATCACATGCTATTTTAGAATCAGTTTTCAAAAGGTCTTAAATGACTTGGCTCAAAATTGGTTTTGTATTAAGGGAAAGAACCGGTGTCCCAGAGTTTCAATCAGCACCTTAACAAATAGTCTGCCGACCTCCCACAGATTGCCAACAGTAATGGTTAGCTGAGACTTCCAAGGTCCATTTCTCTCTGCTTCTTTCCTACATTTTTCCCACCCTGTTTTCACTGAAAACAGGATTATAGTCGACAGTTTTACAGGAAGGGGTTGGGGGAAGGCGGACATACCTTAAGATCTGCTGCCTCGTTCCACATAACTTCTAAAGGTGCAATCAGCTGAACCATCTAGTCGCTTTGCATGACAGTAATTTAACCACTCAAGTTGTCTTTCACCTGGGGGATATAGAGAGTTATGATTCTGCATCAAAGCCATCGCAACATTCCTTCAAACAACATACTAACCATGCCGTTGGCATTCAATTAATGTTAAATACAGTAACATTTCATTCACATACAATATTGGGGAGAACGAGGTTTTCTACATAAATGAATTTTGCAGACAAGCAAAGCTCACCCCAACAAGAACCAAAAGATATTAGTAAACTTTGAATCATTTTTGATAGAATTTAAATGCTTTTTTTTTTTTTTTTTTTTTTTTTTAGACAGAGTCTGGCTCTGTCACCCAGGCTGGAGTGCAGTGGCACGATCTCAGCTCACTGCAAGCTCCGCCTCCCGGGTTCACTCCATTCTCCTGCCTCAGCCTAAATGCACTTTTTATGTCCAATGACCACTTAAATAAGGTGCAGGGATCTTTATTTTGTTTATTCATAGCCAATGATCACTTTAAGCATAATACACGGCTACGTGCAATGCAATGGTTTCACCTAAAAGCCTCAATTATGTTTCTCAAGTTCTGGTGAGCAAGTCTCCTTGAAGCATGTCAAGCCCTTGTTGGTCTAGCTGTCACTTTTGCTACTACTGGCAGGTTTGACTGCTCTTGGCTTGCACATTCCCACCCCATTCTCATTTGCTCTGTGTGAGAAGATTATAAAACTTACGAACCTGAGCAGTATTACTTTACAACAATTCTCAGTCCAGAAGGACCCCGGTAAGGGCTTAAGGGTTATTCCACACCTCAAATGAGAGAAAATATGGGCTTAGAGACAGGCATTTTCCTTGCTGACTTTTTTTTTCCTTTGTGAATTTTTGGCAAAGTCTGAGAATCATCTTGAGATAAGTCACTGTGCATTATTACATTTCCCAAACATATTCTCTTCTACTTCTTGTTTCTCACTTGCATTTCCTAAATAAACTTTCTTACTCATCTCAGAAAGTTAATTTCTAATTGCGTTTAGACTATATTTGCCTAAGTTATCAAAAATCACTGTGTGATGATGTCAGGGAATGAAAAGATCTTTTGGAAGGATTTTTGGTAACCATTACCCTCCTTCTTCATTGAGATTCCTGATGTGATTTAACTTTCACCTCGATGGTGCATTTGGCATAGAGTCAGAGGAGTGAATATCTGGTAAGAAAGAAAATAGTCTAATCAAATAGCAATGAGAAAATGTAATTGCTCTAGCAGACTGCTACATAAATAGACACATAGATCCTCCCTTGATTTTATTCCCCTGAGGCTAATGACTGACCCTAATGAAAATCCCAGAGGAAATCATTGTAATAAAAATAGCCAAAACATTAAGAACAGGGCAAGTGAGAATGATGATGGCTGATAAGCATTTGAACCATCAAGCATCGTTACTAATCCAACTACAAAAATAAGTACTGGCTCATGGGCTAAGTACCTAAAAGAAATCAGGGACCATCTTACATGAATCAATTAGTGTGTAGACCTTAAGAAAAAATATTCTACAATGACCCTCTAGTTCCCATTATTGTTTTTAATAGAATCTATATATAGTAATGTAAGAAGGTCTCAAGATTGCTTTTTATGCTTTAGTGTTGTGCTACTTATGATGTGGTAGTGTTTCCAGTTTAAGCCACAAATTATAAATTCTTCCTTCTAAGTAAAAAACAAAATTATTCTAAAGTGAAATTGCTAATCCCTTTAATCAACCCCAAACCATCTGTGAATTCATAAACTAGCAATTTTGGAAAAAAAAATATATACATATTATACATGTATATATACATATAATATTATATATAATTATATTACATATATGTCATAAAATATATACATATACATGTGTGTATACATATGTTATATACAATTATATATATTATATATTATAATATTAAATGATTATTTCAGAATTAGTAAAACAGAGATATATATATTACATAAACAAGAGAGGTAATATTATATATATTACATACACACACACACACATATATACACACACACACACATCCCAGCTGATTCCATAAAGAACTTTATGTGGCTTACAAAAACAAATAAAATCACTAAGGATTTTTTTAAGTTGAGATAGTCTGAGCAAAAAAGAAAGAACAATCAGGAAAATAGTAAAACCAAATGTTAAGAGTGGTAGACAGAAATGTTGCACCAGAGCCCTGTAGAGTTGGTAGAGATGGGCTACACATTTGGCTCTAAGTTTCCAGCAGTTAAAGAGAGAAACAAAAACATTGGAA
Organism: Homo sapiens; assembly: GCF_000001405.40. NCBI lineage: Eukaryota > Metazoa > Chordata > Mammalia > Primates > Hominidae > Homo > Homo sapiens. The sequence goes on along the minus strand of NW_025791813.1, from coordinate 174,326 downwards.
GATTCATAGCGGCCATAAAATATAAAAACCATGGTTGAATGCTGAGATAAATTTTTCCCACAGGTCATATAAAAAGGATACCATGCAATGAAATGATTGACATCCATCAAAAACAGGCATCGAGTAGAGATAACAGTCTATGATAGTTGGCCATTCCTTTTAATTTTCCTTATTATAAGACAATGGCATGATACCAAAATGCAATTTATCAAACTCAGTCCTCCAAAGGACTAAAACTTTAATGGTCTGGCTTCATCCGAGGGCAAAATTAATTATCTAAATGGGAATGTGCTGCACGGCATTGAGGGAATTTTGCTCAAACATAAATTTTTGCAATTAGGCATTTGATAAGGATTGGATAAGGAATGGTTAGAAATTATCTTCTCAAATTGGAGTCCAGGGGGCAGATTTCTGTGTAATAGAGTAAGGCCAAGAAAATTGAGGAATTGCCCAAGGCAAAACACCCAAGTACCTTTAGAAAGGACCAATATCATGCCCTCCAAATATTTCTGAATTCATTTCAAAATATAATTAAATGGGAAAGTAAGACACCAATGCTCTGTGACACGAAGAATGATGACACTAATGTTTAGCTAGAGTTTTTTCAATACAGATATTAATAGTCACCTGCTGTGGTGGCTCAAGAAAAAAAAAAAGCTCAGTGAAACATCAAAATGACACCTTAATTTAAGTAATATTGCTTTCTAGTGAATCCTGCAAGGTAAATTGATCCCAGTATTTTCTTAAGAAACTTGTTGAATGAAGTTGTTGAACACCAAGTAAATGAATGGTGGAAAACTCTTGCCAAAAGCAGGGACTGGGGTTTTAGAGTGGCCGTGGTAGATTGACTGCACTATTGTCCTCAACTTACGTGCCTCCATGTATCTACAGCCTTTGATACTGCCCTGCCACACTGATCCTGGGTGTGGCCACATAACCTACTTCAGCCAATGGGCTAGTAGCAAATTTAACAAGGTGCTTACACATTGCTGCTTGCTCCCTTGGCACCCTCTACTTTCATGAGAGCAAGCCCAGGTAACCTACTAGAGGCTGAGACCATGTGATGCACAGCTGAATTGTTCCAGCTGAGACCTCCAAGCCTGCCAACACTGTTCCCCAACCCCAAGCCCACCCACCAGCTGACTGCAGATACATAAACAATCCCTGCCTAATACAGTAAAGCTTGGTCAGATCAGCCAAACCACCCAACCAGTCCTAGGCATACAAAAAATTTAGAAATTTTTTGTGAGAAATTATTTTGTGAGAAATAAGAAGTAGCTGTTGTTTTAAGCCACTGAGATTTGGAGTGGTTTGTTACACAACAATCGCTAACTAATGCAGTGCCTGAACTTAAGCCATTTCTTTACATAATATTAGGAAATAGGACCAAGAGCTGCTAGAGTCATCTATGAACTTAATAATATTAGTAGAGAATACTTATTACTTTTACTCTCAGTGGAAAGAGGGACAGATTCAGTTAGCTCATCCAAAAGTAATATTATATTATAAAACAAAAAGAAACAAAGTAGTCAAAACATCCCTGTTTTATTCATTTTGAAATAACCATTTAACTTATCAAACCCAGGTCTTTGCACTGGTGTTAAGATGCAAATTCTACATAAGAATCAGGACTGGGTTCAATATTGTACGTAAGCAGGCTCGCCTACAACTGGTTCCTATGCACAGAATCAAATATTGAGTAAAGATCAATAAAAGCTGCAAACAATCTTATCTTGTTATTGAAAGATTTCTGCATAAAATATACAGAAGGAAAAGTAATTTGATGTGGAAGAAACTTGCCAAAAGCCTGCTTCTTGCATAAAACAATGGTCTGAGGAACCCAAACTTGCAATCTGTGGTGGGAAACTGGCTAAAATATAAAAAAGAATAACCAGTAAACTGATGAATTCATAATAAAAGAAAGAGTAAATTTACCTTTCTTTACAAAGGGAGACATGGGAAATATACTATATTTTGGTCCATCAGAACCAAGTTGGGAAGGCCAGATACTTACAGACCATAAACAATTTTTTTTTTTTTGAGACGGAGTCTCGCTCTGTCACCTGGGCTGGAGCGCAGTGGCGCGATCTCGGCTCACTGCCAACTCCGCCTCCCAGGCTCATGCCATTCTCCTGCCTCAGCCTCCCGAGTAGCTGGGACTACAGGCGCCTGCCACCATGCCCAGCTAATTTTTTTGTATTTTTTTTAGTAGAGACAGGGTTTCACCGTGTTAGCCAGGATGGTCTTGATCTCCTGACCTTGTGATCCACCTGCCTTGGCCTCCCAAAGTGCTGGGATTATAGGCGTGAGCCACCACGCCCGGCTGACCATAAACAATTTTAATAGCAGAAAACCTCCTCCAGGTAATTTATATAATTTGGCCTTTTTAATCAGCAAAACTATGAAATGAAATGTTCCCTGCATGTACTAAGGAGAGGAAATTTATCTCAAAATATAAGCCTGAGAAAAGAGGCCCTCTTGTATTTCTAGATACTGTGACTACTTCAACTTTCTTCGTCAGGTTTGTCTTAAAACCTTTCCTGATATTCAATTCTAACTGCCAAGTCTGGGCGAGCCACAATAATTAATTTTAAAAAGTAAAATATTTTTAAATCAAGAGTAAAAACTGGATTTGGTAAGATTCTGAATGACTTCTGAATTTCATTTCTGATGTGAGCTCACAAGCCTGGCCATGGCTGTTTTTAGCTTTGTAACAATCATAAACACAGGAATTATGTCATACAGCATGCAGGAAACAAAAACCACTCAAGCAGAAGGGCTTTAATACAGGAATCAGATCCTTCAAAAATTCTTGATGGGCTAGAGAAGCAAGCTCTAAAATGGGCTTCTGGGAATAGGTCCCAGATGTAACAGAATGACTCACCTTGGGGGCTACACTACGAATGATCAGCAAGGTGGGAGGAATCAAACAACGCCACTAGATGGACCGATATCAAGAACACACCACCAGGGCTTTGACCCAGAAAGCAGGAAGCCAGGATTACGAAGCTGTTGCCAGCCCCACGGCTGCCCTTGTACATCTGTAAGCACGGAGAGCAAGGTGTTATCTTTGGCAAAGAGGTGCCAAAAATGCATCATCTCATCACATTCCCTACACTAAGGTTACAAAAGACCCTGGCCCCTGGACACCCATGAGTGCATCAGGAATTCTGGTTTAAACCACGGCAGCCTTAGGGGCTTATGGCAGAAATGCCAAAACAGCATGAAAATAGGCTTTGTTTTCCTACCACCTTCCAATCCTCACATGAAAGTATCTAATTGGTGGAGGCTTATTTGTACCCACAGCCATAACTGCAACAGAATCCAAGAAACACAGTTTCTGCTTCCCAGCCTTGCAGTAGAAGACCCCATGTGTGCCAGTCTAGCACACTGATCAGGGGAACTATGACAGTAACTTCTATCTTTGCTGAAAGAGAGACTGATAAACACAGTTTTAGTTCATCAACAGTTGATTCATAAAGGCTCAAGAGAACCTTCTCTCTCAAGTCACCTGAAATAAAGATTTCATCTCTAGATATCTAAGGTATCACCAATAGGATTTAAATGCATCTCATTCCATTTCACCCTTCTCGTTCCCATTAATCTAACCAGCTCAATCACACCTAGGCACAAAAGACACCGGGACAACTAAACCAACATTTAAACTAAGAAAAGAATCAATCACTTTCATCCAGTTCAAGATCTTCCCTCTTAGAATGGTAATAAGCAGGGAGTGATTATAATACATTTCATTTCTTGTGACTTTGCCCTAACCTGGAGAGACTTTAAGGGAGCTACTCACTCCAGTACAGCCTCAAGTAGATTGATTGGACTATTCTTGAAACTCTGAATGTAGGCCACACACAGAGCCCACTTTGGAACAAAACAGCCACAGAGCATTCTCACACCAAGGTTACAGATGACTCACATGACCCTGGCCCTCGTTTGCCATTGAGTGCACCACCAATTCTTGCTTAGGCCAAAGCAGCCATGGAAACTTGTATTTTCTGAAAATTTAGCAGAACCTGGGGGCTTTTTGTGGCAAAGCAATAAACTGAACCAATCAGATGCTCCCTCTTGGGATGTTTGAATATGAAACACGTAGAGACCTTTCTGGGGGGAGTGGTGAGACAGTATGGGGAAGCTGAGAGACCCATAGAGAAAAGGAAGCAAGCCAAAGCTAAGAAAGAGCTTGGCATTTGGCCAAGACTCAGATTAGCATGGGCCTTTGCCTGCATGCCCTTTGTGGATACACCAGGGCAGAGCCACTTCCTTCCTGTCTCTTGGCACTGCTTCTCCTGTGGCCTGAGTCTTGGCCAAATGCCTTGTGATCCACCTGGAACACGAGAAGATGGAGACCTGCAAAGAGCTTCTCCAAGGCCATCTTCCTTTCACCTCCTGATCTCACCTGGGAAGCTGTCATGAAGCAGTTTCTCATCACCTCCAGTGTTCTGATGAGACGTGGGTCTTCCTGCTTCACCCTCTCTTAATAGAGTGGCAGAACACAAAACCACCGAGCTGCATTACCCAACTCGCATTGCAATCTCCAAGTCCCTTTGGTTTCAGTGTCATTCTTTTTGATGAGCAGAACAATGACCTCAAGGAGTTGGCACATTTGGCTAGTCTTCCTTTTGTCATCTATGTAATGAATAAACGGTCTGATTCTAAAAAAGTGTCCTTGCATCTTTACCAGTCGAATCAGTCAGGACTTTACCTTAGCCATGCCTTGTCTCATGTGTGCTTGACAGAAACTAAGTGGAGCTGTGGGACCAACATGGTAGTCGTAGGCCGAGTCTCCCCTCAACCTCATCCCCACTCCATAGATAAAAGGCAGAAGAGTGGGAGGGAGGTTTACAGGGAGATGAACAAAAGTAACAATTATATTGAGAGGAGAGTATTGTTTAGTCTTACTCTTTTGGTTACCCCCAGTTCTCGGCCTCTCAATCCACTCCTTCTGACCCACATTGGAAGTTACCTCACTGGTAAGGGATTGACATGGGGCTACCTTTCTTGATTGCATGGAGTTAACCCATTTAAAGTCTCTCCTTCTCTGATCAGTGCAAAGCAGCAATGATGCCCAGCATGCCTGTGCTTTCACCCTAAGCCACGTTCTCTGTAGTCCAGCGAGACTCTGAATTCCAGCCTCCTGACCCCTCTATTTTCTTGGTTGTTTCCAAACTCAGAAAGTGAATAAGGGTATAAATTATTGTGCCCTCTTAAGCCCAAATAAATTCGATTAAAAGAGAAAAAAATTTAAATTTATAAAGGAATATTAAAAGATTTTAACAACAACAAAAATATCCTGAAGCAAAATAATGAGCCAACACAAAATGAGTCAGACTCCAAAGCCAAACAAAAGAATTAAAATTCAACAGAAAAATACTGAAACATAAGATGATATAGTAACATGAAATAAACAATACAAATGGAGGCAGAAAAAGAAAAGTCAGGAGGTTAAGGATTTAATGGGAATTGGGAAAATTAAATAATAATACAAAAAAAATCAAAACACATAGACAAGCCAAAAACATTAAACAATTCTGACGTACAGGGGTTAAAACTTTAACACAAACAAAAAATGAAAAAAACAGAAACAAAGTAACTAGAAACAAATAGTGAACTGAGTCCTTATCAGAATCCTAAGATGGCTCAGACATCCCCAACCCCCAATCCTCACGGCTTTTAGCTCTCCTGGAGGCTGGAGGCCATGTTTTCAGGCAGCACCTAACATGAGGATCCCAGGCTTTTGAATCACTATAACAGAAACCTACAGTCTCCTTGGCGTTTTGCAAACTCTGCGCAAAAACCCTCTTGATTGCTTTGTGTTGTTCTCTGGTTTTACTTCACATACGTCTGGATGGTAAGAATAGAGACCATACCTCCCATGTCTTAATCTGTTTGGGCTGCTATTGAGAGGTGACAGCGTGCTGGCAGTCCTCACAGCCCTCCCTCGCTCTCGGCGCCTCCTCTGCCTGGGCTCCCACTTTGGCGGCACTTGAGGAGCCCTTCAGCCCACCACTGCGCTGTGGGAGCGCCTTCCTGGGCTGGCCGAGGCCGGAGCCGGCTCCCTCAGCTTGCGGGGAGGTGTGGAGGGAGAGGTGCGGGCAGGAACCGGGGCTGCGCGCGGTGCTTGCGGGCCAGCGTGAGTTCCGGGTGGGCGTGGGCCCCGCGGACCTCGCAACTCGGAGCCGCCTGCCGGCCCCACCGGCCCCGGGCAGTTGAGGGGCTTAGCACCTGGGCCAGCAGCTGCCGTGCTCAATTTCTCGCCTGGCCTTAGCTGTCTTCCTGCAGGGCAGGGCTAGGGACCTGCAGCCCGCCATGCCCGAGCCTCCGCGACGAGCGCCGCCCGCTGCTCCACAGCGCCCAGTCCCATCAACCACCCAAGGGCTGAGGAGTGTGGGCTCACGGCGGCGGACTGGCAAGCAGCTCCACCTGTAGCCCTAGTGCGTGATCCACTGGGTGAAGCCAGCTGGGCTCCTGAGTCTGGTGCGGACGTGGAGAACCTTTACGTCTAGCTAAGGGATTGTAAATACACCAATCGGCACTCTGTATCTAGCTCAAGGTTTGTAAACACATCAATCAGCACCCTGTGTCTAGCTCAGGGTTTGTGAATGCACCAATCGACACTCCGTATCTAGCTACTCTGGTGGAGACATGGAGAACCTGTGTGTCTAGCTCAGGGATTGTAAACACACCAATCAGCGCCCTGTCAAAACAGACCACTGGGCTCTACCAATCAGCAGGATGTGGGCGGGGCCAGATAAGAGAATGAAAGCAGGCTGCCAGAGCCAGCAGTGGCAACCCGATTGGGTCCCCTTCCACACTGTGGGAGCTTTTTTTTTCTTTGCAATAAATCCTGCTGCTGCTCACTCTTTGGGTCCTCACTGCCTTTATGAGCTGTAACACTCACTGCAAAGGTCTGCAGCTTCACTCCTGAAGCCAGCGAGACCACAAACCCACTGGGAGGAACAAACAACTCCAGACGTGCCTTAAGAGCTGTAACACTCACTGCGAAGGTTCGCAGCTTCACTCCTGAGCCAGCGAGACCACGAGCCTGCCAGAAGGAAGAAACTCCGAACACATCCGAATATCAGAAGGAACACACTCCGGACACGCCGCCTTTAAGAACTGTAACACTCACCACGAGGGTCCACGGCTTCATTCTTGAAGTCAGTCAGACCAAGAACCCACCAATTCCAGACACACTATAACAAAATACTACAAACTGGGTGGCTTAGAAACGGTAGAAATGTGTTACTCACAGTTCGTGAGGCTGGAAGTCCGAGATCAAGGTGCTAGCAGATACAGTGTCTGGTGAGGGCCTGCTTCCTGGTTCATAGATAGTACCTTCTAGCTGTGTCAGCACATGGTGGAAAGGCAAATAAGCTCCCCTGGGCCTCTTTCATAAGAGCGCTAATCTTTTATAAGGGTGGAGACCTAATGAACTAATCATCTCCCAAAAGGCCCTACGTAATACCATCACTTCAGGGCCTAAGATTTTAACATGAATTTTGGAGGGACACAAACATTGAGACCACAGCACCTTAATTCTTCGATCTCCTCTTCTGGATATCCATTTGGTCACCCAGTAGTTCATTTGATGATGATTTATTGACTCCTTACTCCGTGCATTGTCCAATTACAGTATAAGTGCTGGTGATTCACCACCTACCTGCTGGTGGAGAAAGATGACAAATAATTCTGTCATTACAACTGTGGTAAGTGCTATGAAGGAGAAACACAGAAGCTATGAGAATGACAAACAGGGAATGTCTTGGGAGTCATCAAAGACTTTCTAATGAAAGTGTCTGCATACTGAGGTAGAATTAATTCAGCCATAAGGGAATAGAAGAGCATTTTAGGTAGGAAGAACAGCAGAGGCAAAGACCCTGAGGCAGAAGTGGTAAAGCAGACAGCACGAACTATTCCAGGTACTGGGGCCAGAATACAAGACATTAATGCCAAATGGAGAAGATACCAGTGAGACAAGGACCAGAACCTAGGCCTCAAAGTCACTTTAAATATAGATTAATATATATTAATATGTTAATCAGGTGTCATTTTAGCTCCTTTCAGTTTTATTTCAATTTTATTTTGTGTTAGCTATTTTTATAAGTAATATTATCTCTGAGTCAGAGGAATGTGCTTTTGTTTATTTCTTAGCTAATCCAGGAAAAATCTTGGATTGTTCTGTTGTTCGGGACTGATCATTACAGTAGTTCTCTAACGTATCAGTCTCAGAACACCTTTAGACTCTTAAAAATTAACTTCCCCAAAGGTCTTTTGTTTATGTGGGTTATAGGTATGAATATTTGCTATATTAGAAATTAAAACTGATAAATTTTTAACGTTATTTAAAAAATAATAATCCTATCACATGATAATATGTATGTTTTTATTTAAAATATCTCTATTTTCCAAGAATGAAAAGGGTGGCTGTATTAGTCCGTTCTCGAATCGCTATAAAGAACTACCTGAGACTGGGTAATTTATAAAGAAAAGAGGTTTAATTGGCTCACAGTTCCACAGGCGGTACAGGAAGCATGGCTGGGGAAGCCTCAGGAAGCTGACAATCAAGGTGGAAGGTGAAGGGGAAGCAGACACATCCTACAAGGCTGGAGGAGGAGGAAGAGACAGAGTGGGGAGGTGCCACACACTTTTAAACAACCAGGTCTTATGAGAAGTCACTCACTATCACAAGAACAGCTGGGGATTATAATTCCACATCATATTTGGGCAGGCAATTCAAACATATCAGTGGCATTTACATTTTTGCAAAAATCCAAACCATATCAGTGGCATTTACATTTTTGCAATTTTTTTTTTTTTTTGAGACAGGGCCTCACTCTTGCCCAGGCTGGAGTGCAGTGGCATGATCTCAGCTCACTGCTGCCTCAACCTCCCAGGCTCAAGCAGATCCTCCAACCTTAGCCTCCCAAGCAGCTGAGACTACAGGTGCATGCCACCAAGCCAAAGGGATTTATATTTATCTATAAATTCATATATAAATCAGATATATTTATATAAAATGTGTATATTATATATATAAATCAGATAAATAAATATGTATTTATATCTGATCTTAAAAGAGTAAAAGGGATTTATATTCCCAGGAAGAAGTAGAAAAGAGGAATATAGATAGTGGTTAAGAACCGGCATTTTGCAATAAGTCTGATCTAGATAGGAATTCTAGCTTTAATATTTACTAGCTCTGTGATCTTGGGAAAATTATTTACAGTTTGTGAACTTCAGTTTCCCTTCTACAAAATAGAGACAGTACCATTTAATTTTTAATTTTTAATGGTATCGTCTCCATTTTATGGAAGGAAAACTAAATGGTATTTTAACCGACAATTCATTAATTTTTAAGACTGACCATTAACAGAGATACTGCATGTAAAGCAGATCACACAGAATATGGCACACTTGAGCACTTGATGTGTACTACATTACTCTTAGTGACGACTTTAATTATCGTGCGCATTCCCAGCGCTTCCTATGGTGCCCAACACAGAGCGGACGCCTAGAGACAATTTTGGGGGATGGGGCAGATGCTCTGCCTCGGGAAAAAAAAAGCACACCTGCCCTGACGTTGGTGGCTGGGTCTGGAAGATACGTGGAAATTAAGCTAAGGATGTGTGGCTTCCAGATCAAAAACCGCAAAAATCTAACGCCGTGACTACTGACTACGGTCAGAGAGCACAGACTGGAGCAACCTCTCACGGCCTGGGCTGTCTGCGCGTGCGTGAGCCAGAAACCCGAGGGGCTCCCTGGGCCCGCCCTATCGATCGACCCGATCGGGGATCGTCAGCTTGGTTCTGGCCACAGAGGTTGCTCTTCTCGCGATGCTTCAGACCTGGCGGCAGGGAAAGGGTGGGCTAATTGGAGAGCCAGGAAGAGCGTGAGGCGGCCCCACGCTGCTTTCCCAGAAGGCTGTGCGTGCTCCTCGCTTCCTCCGCGGTCTTCCGAGCGGTCGCGTGAACTGCTTCCTGCAGGCTGGCCATGGCGCTTCACGTTCCCAAGGCTCCGGGCTTTGCCCAGATGCTCAAGGAGGGAGCGAAAGTAAGGGCTGAAGGAAAGGAATGAGGTGGGAGCGTCAGCATAGGGCTGCGGCGGCCGCGGCGAAGTAGGAGGGCCTACTAACGGGCTGAGCGTGCTGCCCTGGCTCAGCGGCCGGGGGAAGAGAAGATTCCAGAAAGGGAGGTGATTTTGGAAGGGCTCGGCCACCGGAGCCTGCGGGCACTTCTCTTCTTCCGCGACCGGGAGAAGGCCGAGGGATCGGCGGCACGATCGACATTGTACACCTTGAAGGTGGACGGATGTGAAGCCGCGCGTGCGTTTTGCCTCCATCCGTAAATGGGGCTAAGGCCCGTCACCCTTAAAGGAGGTTGTGAGGGTGAAATTGAATAACGTAGATGAAATTGTCTTGAGAACTGCGACGTCGATTATCACATAGCTCGCGAGTTGTAGGATGGGGAAGAACGAGAACTAGCCGATCCAGAGAAGAGAGTGGGAAAAAGGGCCGGGTCTTGGTTGCTTGCTTCCCAGTGAGAAACATACGGCTTTCAGCTTAGTTGACAGAAGCCATGCGTTGTAGCCAAATGAGTTCCGGTCCCAACTTATGTTAGCTGGCTTAATCTAAAATGTAACTTTCTTGGGTTTTGTTTCCTTCGTCTTTAAATTATGGAGATTGGACCAAGAGGTGGTGTCTTTGAGTTCTGTGTAATCTGCAGGATAAGTGATAGAGGGGTGCAGATAACACTTTTGTTTAATGGCCTTTTCTTGAACGTTAGTTCGGTAGCATAGTTTTAAAAAATATCTTACTGCACTATTGATAAATTTGTCTCTTGTGCTATTCAAATTGCATTCCTCTGTGTGTCCTCCAGATTTTGTTAATTCAAGAAATAGATCAGTGTGGTTGAATTTAAGGTTTTATGCGAGGTACGGGGAGCATTAACAGTTTAATAGAACTAGGTTCATGTTTGTAGGATGCACTTTTCAAATAATGTCGGTATAGTAAGTAAATGTCAGGGTTCAAGGTAAATGTTGGTGGAATAATCTTTTGAAAATGATATGGGCTGATTCCCTTGAAAAAATCAGGCTGAGATAATAGCTTCCAATTTGGGTTTTTTTCACTAATACAGTTTTGGAAAACTCGTGTATCACAAAACATTATTTGTCATTCCAGTGCTAGTAGTTTTTTACAGAACACTGAGCTATTTCTTTCAATAAATAGGTACTGAAGGAACTGCAGTGAAAGACAAAAGTCCCATTTGTCGTAGAGTTTATGTCCTTCTAAGGCAGAAATAATGATTAAATAAAAGGAGAATTCCAAATAATGATGAAAGAAACTGCACTATAGTAGAGGATGACAGGAGGTAAAAATGTCTGTAAAAGAAGGATCAGGAATAGACAGAACACTTAGACGTTTAGGGAAGAACTCTTAGCTCAGTGCTTAGTGAGAGAAGCCCCTGAGCCTGGGCTGTTTCCCCCGACCTCTTACTTAGGGGGAAATGCCAGGCTCAGGGACTAACTAGTACAAAGACCCTGAGGAAGGAATGATTTTGACCTGTTTTTTTTTTAAAACAACAACAACAACAACAGGTTGTAGGGCTGAAGCTTACCAAAGAAAGGAAGAATGGTAAGTTCAGAGGAGGAGCCATACAAGGGCCGGGATACGTAGGGCCTTGTTTCCTTGAAAAGGGATTTGCATTTTATCCTAAGCTGGTTGGGAAACCATTGAAGGGTCTTAAGTATGGGAATGAGGGGATCTGATCAAATGGTAGTTTCTCACAGAATGGGGAGTGAGGGGAAGAAGCAAGAGTGTAAGCCAGGAGTTCAGACTTAAGTGTTATTGCTGGAATAACAGTTCTTATTGCTGAAGATGCTTTTAAAGCAGTGGCTATTGGCAGGGGTTGGTGGCTCACACCTGTAATCCCAACACTGGGGAGGCCGAGGTCAGTGGATCACTTGAGGCCAGGAGTTCCTGGCCAACATGGTGAAACTCCGCCTCTCAAAAAAATACAAAAAAAACCAACCTGGTGTGGCGCGCACCTCTAATCCCAGCTACTCAGGAGGCTGAGCCTCCAGAATTGCTTGAACCCGGGAGGCCCAGGTTGCAGTGAGCTGAGATCGTGCCACGATCTCAGCTCACTGCACTCCAGCCTGAGCGATAGAGGAGACTCTCTCTCTCTCAAAAAAGAGTAATGGCTATTAACCTTGGTTTTGGATCACAAAATCATGGCTTGTATTGTAAAGCAGTACTATGTAAATAGAACTTTTTGCAGTGCTGGACATACGCTGTATCAGCGCTGTCCAGTGTGATATTCACTACCCACATGTAGCTACTGGGCATTTGAACTGTGGCTCCTGCAATTGAGGAACTGAATTTTTTAATTTTAATTACTTGAAAGTTTATTTTGATTGCTTTCACTAGCCCCATGTATGTAGCTAGTGGCTACTGTATTGGGCAGCGCTTCTCTAAAGAAATGTTCTCATGCACAGTAGATTAGTGAAATATATCTGAGGACCCAAGTAAACCTCAACTCTAAAAAAGTCCAGTGTAGAATTTGTGAGAATTTTTAGTACCGTGAGCAGTTCGCTTTTCAATACATATACATTGGGATAATGTTGCAATTCAAAAAAAGTATTCAGTCTCTAAACACTTCAGTGGCACATACTTAAAGAACTTCTGGCTTTACAAAAGCCCAGATTCTAACACAATAAGAATATTCCACATTTCAACAGTTAGTTAGAAAATACTGATAAATTCTGGAAAGGTATTCTACTTGAAGTACCTCATACCCTTTCTCTAATTAGTCTTAGCATGGTTCCCTGTACTTTTCACTACTTTTAATAAAAAAAATTTTAAGTCTTTTGATGTGTAAGTAGGTACCTGCGGTCCCCCAAAATGTTATACTTTATTCATTCAACTAGAGAGGAAATGTATGCATCATTTATGAATATCAAATGCTGTGTTTTACATTAAAAAATCTTGTTTGATTGTCTCAACAATCCTATGAGTTAGGTACTATTATAATTACTTCATTTTATAATGAAGAAATGTTAAGAAAATTGCCCAAATTTAAAAAGAGCCAGAAAGCTAAGATTTGCAACCAGCCCTCTTGTGCCAAATACCTAAGCTATGCTCCCTCTTTATTAGAGGCAAGATATAAGCAAAGATATCTTGTATTTGAAATTTTTGTTTCACTGTCCTGTCTAATTAGCGGGGTTTTTTGTTTGTTTTTTTTAACAGCACTTTTCAGGATTAGAAGAGGCTGTGTATAGAAACATACAAGCTTGCAAGGAGCTTGCCCAAACCACTCGTACAGCATATGGACCAAATGGTAATTTCTAAATTAATATTTGTAAAGATACAGTAGTAGAATATTGTGTACTACGTCTTCTTTCAGACTTGTTCTGAGGATGTTATGGTATGACTTCGGAAGTTAATTTGATAGCTCAATGATAGTTCATTTCCAATTTTTAGTTATTTCTAATTTTCAATCAACTCACATCTCTTTAGAAAAATGGGGGTCAATATATTACTTTTTATCCTGTTGAGAGGATAGAAAAATTATAACACTTTGACTAGTAAGATAGTACCTAATGTTCATTCTGACAAACACTAAATATAAAAGTGACATAGTTTAAGGAAGAAAATTCTCTCCTTCCTCTTGCCTTCTACCACCAATTAAATTTAAATGATACAGTTTCATGGAATAAACATACAACTAAATATACTAAGTAGATTATTTTGGCCTTTTTACATGTTAATTTCTGTTGAGCACTTGCTGCATGACAGTCATGTTGCAAACAGAAGATAGAAATTGGCAAAAATGTGAGATTTGGCATCTTACGTAGTAAATATTGTAGGACATTAGAAAGGGAAGAAAGAATATGGGTCTGCAGTCAGAGAATGCCCATGGGGCTATAAGATAAACTTGAAGAATAGATAGTATGTGTTTTCTTGCAAAGCTCTTTTTTTAATATACAAATTTATAATTTCTTAACTAGATTTTCCTGGGTATTTGGGGAAGGATTTGATTAATAATGGCTTTCTTTTTCTTTTTTTAACTGTTACTTTTGAGGAATGAACAAAATGGTTATCAACCACTTGGAGAAGTTGTTTGTGACAAACGATGCAGCAACTATTTTAAGAGAACTAGAAGTAAGTTGTTTCTTTAAAAAGTCAAGAAATATTTTGGTGACATCAAAATTAAGTAGATTTTAACTAGAAGAAATCTCTTATTTCAGATTGGATAAGGGACTATTTTTCCAGCTTGAAAATTTATTGTACAGATTGTTCTAATTATAAAGAGTCCTCTTTAGATTGAATGTTTTAGCCACTGAAATCTTAAAAATCTCTCAAGTTATTAATTTATGGAGGGATTGGTTGTGATACATTGCTAATTACGATATGAAATTGATTACCATTGTCTTCATTCTATAGGGTGACTCTGAAGTGAATTATTCCACAGTGCAAAAACGTATACATATAACAGTGGTTTTTAAAAAGATCCAACCATTTGGTTTTGTGAAAATAAAAACAATCAGTTGATGGCATTTTACTTTGTTCAGCTTTAGTTTTACTATTAGAATCTATAAAATAGATACTGCCTGCCAGCAGGGTTATAAGGAAGGTCTGGCACCTGAACAGGCAGAGAGAGCCATTCCTCATTCCCGCCTTGTAATTAAAGGATAACATATTCAACCTCAGGGAATTTTCCTGAAGCTTAGCCCTTGAAAGCACTAGAACTTAATCTTTTGTTTTAAATGAAACGATAGAAGAATCAACATTTTTCTAACCTCTTAAATAATATATTTTTGGTTGGACGCGGTGGCTCACGCCTGTAATCCCACCACTTTGGGAGGTCAAGGCAGGCGGATCACCTAAGGTCAGGAGTTTGAGACTAGCCTGGCCAACATGGTGAAACCCCATCTCTACTAAAAATACAGAAACAAAATCAGCCGGGCGTGGTGGCACACACCTGTAGTTCCAGCTACTCAGTAGGCTAGGGCAGGAGAATTGCTTGAACCTGGGAGGCGGAGGTTGCAATGAGCCAAGATCGCGCCACTGCACTCCAGCCTGGGCGACAGAGCAAGACTCCATCTCAAAAAAGAAAAAAAAATACATATTATATATATAAATTCTTAAAGAACTTAAGTTAAAAGTTAAATTTTAACTCCACAAAACACTTGTACAAGGGTTTGTCACTGTGAATGTTAATGTTGCACACTGATGATCTCAGGAGTTATTAAAGTACAGTGGTGATACCGTCAAAATAATAAAATCACAGGGCTGACTTTTTATAGTTTTCTTGTTGCTCTCAGTTCTTACTCCTTGGCTTGTTTCTGTAAAGGTATCTAAAATTAAATCCTAAGAATAAAATCCACATAAAATTATGTTATATTTGAAGAAAAGTTTTATACTCCCCCTTTTCTTTAAATCACAAATGATAACCCTTACAACAAGAATATATAGTAAAATAGATATTGAGAGTCATGACCAAGTTAAGTGGTATCTATTTTAGTTCTCCTGAAGGCTTTTAAAAAATATCTAGGTTTGGTGGTTGTAATTACTTTGTTTTTTAATTTAGTGAAATATGATATGGTGAAACATATGTGTGGCACTGTATGTGCAGGCCACCAAAAGAGGATGCACTTTGAAATTCTTATTTATAGTGATACATTTGTGCTGATCGGCATAAAGGGACTTGGATTTTTTCTTGTGACCACACTATAAGTAGCGTATAGCAGTGTAGCAGTGTGATCAGATGGAGTTACCTAATCTACAAGAAAATTGAGTCTATTTAAGAAATGGAAATGAACAATTTTATGTTGCTTTAAGGATCAGATGTTTAACTTGATATTACCTTTTCTACTAGGTACAGCATCCTGCTGCAAAAATGATTGTAATGGCTTCTCATATGCAAGAGCAAGAAGTTGGAGATGGCACAAACTTTGTTCTGGTATTTGCTGGAGCTCTCCTGGAATTAGCTGAAGAACTTCTGAGGATTGGCCTGTCAGTTTCAGAGGCAAGTGTTCATTTATAATTTACTCCTACTAAATTTTTGCTTACATATACACCTGCTTAAAACATAAACTAAAATCATTATTATAGTAGTAGCTAACATGCACTGAGCAGTTTGCTCTGTACCAGCCATTATAGTACATATGCTTCACATGCTGTATCATTTTAGTCTCACAAAAACCCTATTAGTGAGGCCTTATAATCCCATTTTATCTATTTTTTTTCCCACTTTATTTTAGATGAGAAAAGAGACTAAAATTAGAAAAATCTTGCCCAAGATCTCATAGCTAGTGAGTTAGGTAGAGTTAAGATTCAAATTTGGGCTGTCATCTAAGCCTCCATTCATAACTAGTAGAGTCTACTATATGTTTTATTCCGAAGTATATTCTTTGTCATTTTGTATCAAAAATAAACATCCATATGCATTGGGTTACCAAAATAAGCTACTTTAAGTCATGTCAGAATAGGAAATGTTGTTTATGTTTTAGGTCATAGAAGGTTATGAAATAGCCTGCAGAAAAGCTCATGAGATTCTTCCTAATTTGGTATGTTGTTCTGCAAAAAACCTTCGAGATATTGATGAAGTCTCATCTCTACTTCGTACCTCCATAATGAGTAAACAATATGGTAATGAAGTATTTCTGGCCAAGCTTATTGCTCAGGCATGCGGTAAGTAAATATCAGTAAATGAAAAGATCCAAAATAAAAATACCTTTAACATGACTAGATACTTTCTCTGTTGTCCCAAAATAATCTTTTGATATGTCTCATTTTCTTAACAGTATCTATTTTTCCTGATTCCGGCCATTTCAATGTTGATAACATCAGAGTTTGTAAAATTCTGGTAAGTAGAAAATGCATTAATGCTACATATCTAGGTCAGTTTTTTTGTGTGCTTTTTTTGTTTTTTTGTGCAAAAAAAAAAAAATGTGTTCATCTAAACCTAAATGTTACTTCATGATTTGAACACTTAGGACTTTTTTTGAGGCATTATTTTTATTTATGTACTTATTTATTTTTGAGACGGAGTCTCGCTCTTGTTGCCCAGGTTGGAGTGCAATGACATGACCTCGGCTCACCGCAACCTCCGCCTCCCGGTTCAAGTGATTCTCCAGTCCCAGCCTCCCGAGTAGCTGGGATTACAGGCATGCGCCACCACACCCGGCTAATTTTGTATTTTTAGTAGAGATGGGGTTTCTCCGTGTTGGTCAGGCTGGTCTCGAACTCCCGACCTCAGGTGATCCACCTGCCTTGGCCTCCCAAAGTGCTGGGATTAACAGGCGTGAACCACCGTGCCTGGCCTTTGAGGCATTATTTTGTAACATTTTGATGTTGCTAAGTTGTAATAATACTACTACCTATTTAAGTTTAAAAGGATATTGACATATTATCTCCTTATAAAGTCATTTTCTGTGATGTCTTGTGGGTTTAAGAATAATGTATAAACAAAATACTAAATTTTTTTTTTTTTTTTTTTTGAGATGGAGTCTGGCTCTGTTGCCCAGGTTGGAGTGCAGTGCCTCGACCTCGGCTCACTGCAACCTCCACCTCCCAGGTTCAAGTGGTTTTCCTGCCTCAACCTCCCAAGTAGCTGGATTACAGGTGCATGCCACCATGTCCAGCTAATTTTTGTATTTTTTTAGTAGAGGCAGGGTTTCACCATGTTGGCCAGGCTGGTCTCGAACTCCTGACCTCATGATCTGCCCACCTTGGCCTCCCAAAGTGCTGAGATTACAGGTGTGAGCCACCGCGCCCAGCGCAAAATACTAATTTTTTTGTGTTCTTCATAATACTCTGAATTATAATAAGCTTATAAGACAGTTTTGAGTGGGGTGGAAATCGTCCTATTCCTCTTCAATAATAGAATTCACACTTTAATGTTAGTATTGAAATATTAAAGTATATTTTTGATAAAATGTGCTTGATAGAGTAAAACCTATCAGTGGAATGGTTTTGGTTTTGCACATTGGCATTCTGATTGTTAATGTGAATTTAGCATAACATAAGTACATGTGCTTTCCCTGAAGATACTCACGTGTTCTATGTTTGCTGTCTCCCTCCACGTACTGCCAGCTTTTCCCATTAAATGCAACCTTGTGAGAACAGAATCTTTGCTTTGTTCTGTGTTGTATTTGCAGTACTGACAGCTGTGGCTGGTATATTGGCACCAAGTACTAGGTAACTGAATGGCTAAGACCAGTTCTCTGCCTTTGGTTCTTCCCAGTACATGGAAGGACCTCCCCTCCCTAAAAGTAGCTCATTCCCTCAGTGATTTCTGCCTCGAGCAGAAGGGTGTGCTGTATGTCCACCACTCCACCCCTTATCCCAGGAGTCACTGCCTTGGTTTATGACTTTATTTTAGAAAGGGATATTTTTGGTATATGGAGAATCAACAGTTTGACCGTAATGTTATTTTCAGGAGATTGCTGATGAGTTTGGTATTCAATTCCTTAGGGCTCTGGTATCAGTTCCTCTTCAGTATTGCATGGCATGGTTTTTAAGAAGGAAACCGAAGGTGATGTAACATCTGTCAAAGATGCAAAAATAGCAGTGTACTCTTGTCCTTTTGATGGCATGATAACAGAAACTAAGGTATGTAGACTTCAAACCTTAAAAGTAATAATTGGGGTTGCACTTTCAGATTGTTTGAGTTAGCTCTTAAACCAGTAAGTACTTCTTAAAAAACTGAACATTGCAGGATCTTACCTATTTTTTTATGCCAGATTTATAGTCTTCAAATATCTAATTCAACTACTGAACATTAAACTGGAAATATAAAGATGGTGGCCGTATTATTTATAATCTGACACACAGCCCTTCTAGTAGAGCTTATACATTCAGCAAGTGAAAGAATATGAGAATGTGAGTATTTTGTGTGCTCTTCACGAAAATAAAGTTGACATTCTGTAGCATCCTAAAACAAGATAAGCTAATGTAATTTGAAAATGGTAAGTATGTTTCTAAAAATACATGTTAGAAAGTTTGAAGTTTGTGTTTATAGTCAATAGTGGCTGACTTCATCTCTAGAATTCTTGAAATCCAAGTTGTTGATAGTTTTAAAATTTTGTAGCATGAGGGGGGTCTGGTCATTTGGTCCATATTTTATTTTATTGTATTTTATTCTTTTTTTTTTTTTTTTTTTTTTTTTTTAGAGTCTTGCTTTGTCACCCAGGCTTGAGTCCAGTGGTACAATCTTGGCTCCCTGCAACCTCCGCCTCCTGGGTTCAAGTGATCTCTGGCTAATTTTTGTATTTTTAATAGAGACAAAGTTTCACCATGTTGGCCAGACTGGTCTCCAACTCCTGACTGCAAGTGATCCACCCGCCTTGGCCTCCCAGAGTGCTAGGATTACAGGCATGAGCCACCGCGCCCGGCCTAGTCCACATTTTAGAAAAAGTTTGAGAACCACAATGTTGTATTGGGAACACTAGTTAGCCTTTGTCAAAAGACAAACACCAGGACACCTACCTACCTGACATATTTAAAATAAAAGCACTTCTCGGCCGGGCACGGTATCTCACGCCTGTAATCCCAGCATAGGCCAAGGCAGGCAAATCACGAGGTCAGGAGTTCAAGACCAGCCTGGCCAACATGGTGAAACCCCGTCTCTACTAAAAATGCAAAAATTAGCTGGGCGTGGTGGCGCTTGCCTGTAATCCCAGCTACTTGGGAGGCTGAGGCAGGAGAATCGCTTGAACCAGGGAGTCAGAGGTTGCGGTGAGCCGAGATCCTGCCTGCACTCCAGCATGGTGACAGAGTGAGACTCTGTCTCAAAATAAATAAATAGATAAAAGTACTTTTCCACCTAAGTACTTATCAAAAGCAGATGCATCTGTTTTGACAGGGGGTTCTAGAAGCAAGCTGAGTTTCTATTTCACACATACAGTATTCTGCTGCTTCATAATATATGCACATATATCTTCATATTTTTTTGCCAAACCTTTATTTCTTCAGTCAACTATTATCTAATGACTTTGAACACCAACGTAGTGAAATGATTTTAAAGGGAATGTTTACTTGTTTTGCCAGGGAACAGTGTTGATAAAGACTGCTGAAGAATTGATGAATTTTAGTAAGGGAGAAGAAAACCTCATGGATGCACAAGTCAAAGCTATTGCTGATACTGGTGCAAATGTCGTAGTAACAGGTGGCAAAGTGGCAGACATGGCTCTTCATTATGCAAATAAATATAATATCATGTTAGTGAGGTAAGAAAAAGCCGATTTTTTTTTTTACCTATATCATAAATGGTTTTTTGGTGGTGAAAACACTAAACGAAATAGACCATGAAGACTGTTAATAAAGGGAAAGTAAAGGTACTAGGTCAAATAGCAGAAGGATTTAGTTTGGGGAGGGGTCAGGAAACACCTCTGAGAAAACATAAATTTAAGCTGAGAGCTTGAAGAACCAATTACCAGATAATTGAAGAGGGAAAAGCATTCCAGGCAAAAGGAACAACTTGTCCAAGAGACTAGACACAAGCTTGGTGCATTGCCTATCAGAGTATGGAGTCAGGAAGATCCCTTTTAATCCATGAACACATTTATGGTGCACACTAGACAACTTAACCCATTTCTACCTACCACCATCCCTAGTACCTAATAAAATGTGCAAAATAAATCACTCTTGTTCACAGAACATTGATTGCACAAAGTAAAGCAAAAATTTTCTATATGCTGTTGAGTTTTGTAAGGGTTTCTCTGGTGTTTTAGAACTATAAACCACTGACATCCTAAAGTGACTTCCATTCTCCCAATTCTAGAACAATGCCATACAACACAGGCTTAAGATGTGGTACTATTGGCCAGCTGGACTCACTCAGAGAGTCAGGAATCAGCTTCCTGGCCTTAGTGTTCATTGCAATCCAGACATGTTCTGAGTTAAAATCCATTGTCAAAGGAATGTGACATGGGGGCTGGTATACAGGTTCCTCTTTAATTTGAACTTTATATGCTATCTGAAATTGATTAAAACTTTTATTAAGGTCTTTGTGTTTTTTAAAGGCTAAACTCAAAATGGGATCTCCGAAGACTTTGTAAAACTGTTGGTGCTACAGCTCTTCCTAGATTGGTATGTATTTTGGAAAACACTAAAAGATAGTTGAACAAGATGGAATTTTTATTACAACAGTCACTTTCTTACAGACACCTCCTGTCCTTGAAGAAATGGGACACTGTGACAGTGTTTACCTCTCAGAAGTTGGAGATACTCAGGTGGTGGTTTTTAAGCATGGTATGTAGGAATGGTAAAACATGTTTAAGTGTAGGGCTTTAGCTTCTTGTATTTAATCACCAAATATATTTAATTTTTTGATAGAAAAGGAAGATGGCGCCATTTCTACCATAGTACTTCGAGGCTCTACAGACAATCTGATGGATGACATAGAAAGGGCAGTAGACGATGGTGTTAATACTTTCAAAGTTCTTACAAGGGTCAGTATCAGCAATATTCTTAGTAGTTTGTAAGGTCTGAGTAATTTGTATGGTCTTAAAAGTACAGTTTGCAGACTCTTGCACATCATGAGAACTTCAGAATGAGTGGTTTATATGAAATGAAGCACCTGTTTTTGTTTTTACCTAAGACTTAAGTGTCCATTGTTAGTGAATATGATAGTTTCCAAAAAAGATTGTACAGAGGAGTTAACAGCAAAACAGAGCTTTAAAAAAAATTGTTTATCGTTGTTTTCCATTGTAATGTACTGTTAGTTGCTAAAGCAGTTCTTAGTGCTATATCTGTGGATATGCAAAAATGATACGGTACTATTCCCATTCTTCACTTTGGTCCTTTTCATACACCAGACACTGTGCACTAAGAAAATTTGCCCCACCCACTCATTTTTACCAAATTTGTAATATGTATTTGAGTAACAATGACTGATAAAAACTCCTGTTTGGTGGGGTACTGGAATGTGAAAAGATTAGAAAACTGCAAACTGATTTTTAGTGAATTTGTTTTGTGTTCATTTTTTTTTTGGTGGGGGCGCTACATACAGGATAAACGTCTTGTACCCGGAGGTGGAGCAACAGAAATTGAATTAGCCAAACAGATCACATCATATGGAGAGGTACAGCTTTTTCTGTATAAATTGACTTTCTTTCCATTGCTTGAATAAAAGACAGTAATTAACGCATTTTTGTTTTAGACATGTCCTGGACTTGAACAGTATGCTATTAAGAAGTTTGCTGAGGCATTTGAAGCTATTCCCCGCGCACTGGCAGAAAACTCTGGAGTTAAGGCCAATGAAGTAATCTCTAAACTTTATGCAGTACATCAAGAAGGAAATAAAAACGTTGGATTAGATATTGAGGTATTTGAAAAAACACTGAACTTAAATTGCTTTATTTGGGGAATGCACAACCTAAAAATAGTATGAGTTTAAAAGAAATATCAATGAGAAACAGTGTTCTGATTTGGGAGCAGATTATTTTCTTAGTTTTTACATAGGTTGTCTGATGGAGGAACGTTTCATTTTCCTTCTGTTTTATTGATAGTCTTTTGTTCTGTAGTGTGTAGTCAGCCCAGTTCTGTATCCATTGATTCAACCAACCACAGATTGAAAATATTTGGAAAAACTAAAGACATTTAAAAATACACTATAACAACTATTTACACTATGTTATATAATTAATCTGGAGACGATTTAAAGTATATGAGAGGATGTGCATAGATTATATCCAAACACCATGCCATTTTATGTAAGGGATTTGAGCATCCACAGATTTTGGCATCCTTGGAGGTGCTAGAACCAATCCTCACATACTAAAGGATGACTCTATAAGGTAGGACTGTGCTTGGTTACTTTCCAGTACTATTTAAGGAGCTATGTGAGGCTTTTTGTGGGTGTAAACATTTTCACATAAAAGGATTTTAAATGAAAGGATGAAAATTGTGTTTGACAGGCTGAAGTCCCTGCTGTAAAGGACATGCTGGAAGCTGGTATTCTAGATACTTACCTGGGAAAATATTGGGCTATCAAACTCGCTACTAATGCTGCAGTCACTGTACTTAGAGTGGATCAGGTGAGCAAAGTGAAATTTTGATCTTTAAAAATACTCATTTGCATACTGTTTAATAGTATATTTTCCCAGAACTAGAACATAGCATAGTTCTAATTCAAAGGATTCTTAGTCCTCACCTATTAGAGATACTATGTGCCCCCCTCCAATTTTTTTCTTCTATTATAAATTGTATTGAATATATAACTTTCAAACCTTTTAGCCTTAGAACCCATTTGTACAAATAATTTAGAGAGTAAATTTAATATATAATACTAACATGGAATTTGGAAGGACCATAAAGCTCTCAAGCAGACATTGCAGACCACCAGCTTGAAGGAAAATGGAGTCTCTAGCTGTCTGCAGATAAGAGGACTGGGCATTGAAAATTTTTTCTGCTATGACAAATTACAGCTTGAGATACTAAAAGATGTTAAAGGTGTTTAAAATCATATTTCTACCCTTTTTTTTTTTTTTTTGAAGAATTGTGGTAGACTGTTCTATATATAGAAGTAAACCTGAAATCATAATTATTTTTCCAAAAGGTATTTTCTGGCAAACTTAATTAAATACATTTCCCCACAAAATTCTAGAAGTAATTAATAAGCAATGACTATTTATAAGTACTTAATAGAAAATTTTAATTTGCTAGAGGGACAGTATACATCCATTAGGTAAAAGTCATATGTCATATTAAAGGTGGAGTAAGTCCTAAGTAGAAATCAGTGGAAAGACATTTCAGCTTTTAAGTACAGTAAGGACCAGTTGGTGGTAATTATAACAAATTTATTGGAAGAACTATGATAGCAAGAGATGACCAAAAATGGAACTGGATATTTAGTTTCAAGTCATTGAAAATAAGCAGAAACTAGATGTTTATGTACCAGATTAACGGGTTTCTCTGTCAGCTTATTAGGTGATTTTCAATGGAAGAATATGTTTGAGTTCTTAAATAGAAACCTAAGAAAATACTTATTCTAGAAATTAGAATGTGGCTAAGAATAAAAGGGGAAACCAAAAATAGCAGGGACGGAAGAAGCTAAGTAGACTGCAGCATAAGGAACGCAGAAATTCCAACTGTGTTAGGAACTTTGAATGTCAATTATTCAAGCAAGACAATAACCACCACCCTTGGTCACAAAGGCAGTTTGAATTTTGGCTTTAAACTAGGAAGTCTGCTTTATCTTATGGTAGGGGAAGTTGTTGGTTGATCTGTTCCCCCAGTCTTTGCACTCTATGTGAAGTATGTATCTAAAGAACCCATCCAACTGTATTAACCAGTTTGTGTATATAGTGTATAGTATAATGAACCTAAATTTGTATAGTATATATTCTAGAAAAGGAATTGCACATCAAGCTTTAAGCATTGGATAGTGTAGTACGGACTGGATTAATCTTTGTTGGAATGTCTATTTCACTAGTTCTCAAAGTATGGTCCCAAAATAGTATCAACATCACCTGAGAACTTGTTAGAATGACAGTTCTCAGCCAGGTATGGTGGCTCACACCTGTAGTCCCAGCTACGCAGGAGGCTGAGGTGGGAGGATCACTTGAGCCCAGGAGTTGAAGGCTGCAGTGAGCTGTGATCACATCATGGCACTCCAGCCTGGTTGACAGAGTGACACTCCATCTTTTAAAAAACTAAAAATAAATAAGAAATACAGATTCTTGGAGGCCAGGCGCGGTGGCTCACGCCTGTAATCCCAGCACTTTGGGAGGCCAAGGCAGGAGGATCACGAGGTCAGGAGGTTGAGACCATCCTGGCTAACATGGTGAAATCCCGTCTCTACTAAAAAAAACAAAAAATTAGCTGGGCGTGGTGGCAGATGCCTGTAGTCCCAGCTACTCGGGAGGCTGAGGCAGGAGCATGGCATGAACCTGGGAGGTGGAGCCTGCAGTGAGTAGAGATGGCACCACTGTACTCCAGCCTGGGCGACAGAGCAAGACTCCATCTCAAAAAAAAAAAAAAAAGAAGAAATACAGATTCTCAGATGTCACTCCAGACCCACCAATATCAGAAATGCTGGAAGAGGCCTAGCAGTCTGTTTTAATGAGCACTTTTGATTATGGTGCCCACTAAAGTTTGGGAACTACTTGTTTTAGTGTTTGTTTCTTTTTTTTCTTTGAGATGGAGTCTTGCTCTGTCACCAGGCTGGAGTGCAGTGGTGTGATCTCAGCTTACTGCAACCGCCACCTCCCAGGTTCAAGCAATTCTGCTGCATCAGCCTCCCGAGTAGCTGGGACTACAGGCGCATGCCACCATGCCCACCTAATTTTTTTTTGTATTTTTAGTAGAGACGGGGTTTCACCATGTTGGCCAGGATGGTCTCGATCTCTTGACCTCGTGATCTGTCCGCCTTGGCCTCCCAAAGTGCTGGGATTACAGGCATGAGCCACCACACCCAGCTTTTAGTTACTTTTTAAAATCAATGTGCACTTAGGTTCTAAAATTATGCTTAATGCCTTTAATTCAGTCTGAAATTACTCTCAATTGGTAACATGTTATTCTGAGAATTTCAGGTTTAGGTATCTTTTTTGTTGTTGTTGTGATAAGGTCTTACTCTATCACCCAGGCTGGAGGACAGTGGCACAATCATAATCAGCTCACCACAGCCTCAAAATCCTGAGTTCCAGTGATTCTTCTGCCTTAACATCCCGAATAGCTGGGACTGTAGGCAGGTGCTGTCATGGTTGGCTGAGATATATATCATATATATCTGATATGTATATATCACACATATCATATGTATATATCATACATATGTATATATCATACATATCTCATATATATCATATATATCTCATATCATACATATACATGATATATATATCATACATATATGTATGATATATATTATATATGATATATGTATGATATATGTATCGTATATATGATACATATATCATATATATATTATCAAATGTTATATATATATTTTATATATATATATATTTTTAGTTTTTGTAGACTAGGTCTCACTTTGTTGCCCAGGCTGGTCTCAAACTCCTGGCCTCAAACCTTGGCCTCCCAAAGTGCTAGGATTACAGGCATGAGCCACTGCCCAGTTCAGGTTTGCAGATGGTAATTAAGATGTTTTCCAGCCGAGCGCAGTGGCTCACACCTATAATCCCAACACTTTGGGAGGCTGAGGCGGGTGGATCATGCAGGAGTTTGAGACCAGCCTGGCCAACGTGGTGAAACCCCGTCTCTACTAAAAGTAAAAACTTAGCCGGGCATGGTGATGGGCACCTGTAATCCCAGTTACTCAGGAGGCTGAGGCAGGAGAATTGCTTGAACCCAGGAGGCAGAGGTTGCATTGAGCCAAGATCGCGCCACTGCACTCTCTAGCCTGGGCAACAGAGCAAGACTCCGTCTCAAAAAGAAAAAAAAAAAAAAAGCTAAAACCTATTTATTTTAGATAAAGTAAGGTGAGGTTTGTGGCGCTTTTTTTTTTAAGTTGGGAACTTAGATTTTTGTTTATGAAAATTCCTGGCTGCTTGAATGATTCTCATTTACAGGTTTTAGAAAATTTCAGTGTTAAACTTTGTATATACTTATGTATCAACTACTTTAGATTATAATGGCAAAGCTGGCAGGTGGGCCTAAAGCTCCTAAACCACAAGGAAATTGGGACAGAGATGGTTGGCAAGACACATCTCATATATAAATAGCAAATCAGGTGCCAAACTGACCGACTTACACCAGTGATGCATGCACATATTTTCACTTTCAGCTTTTTGAGTTATTGAAGTGCATGTCTTGGAATGTTCACTAATCTCTGTGGATTTTATTGCGGTTATCCATAAAAGCAGTAAACTTTCTCATGCGCTGAAAGTTTACAATTGAATTTCTAACAAGGGAGCTAGCAAACTCTGTGCTGTAGTGTTTTATATGCAGTACATAATTATACCAAGAAGACTGCTTAATCTTAAATCATGCTAATAGAAGCATTCTTTTCATTCTAAAGGTTAAGTTGATAAGCATACTCTTGTGTGATTCTTTTTTATGCAGATCATCATGGCAAAACCAGCTGGTGGGCCCAAGCCTCCAAGTGGGAAGAAAGACTGGGATGATGACCAAAATGATTGAAATTGGCTTAATTTTTACTGTAGGTGAAGGCTGTATTTGTAGTAGTACTCAAGAATCACCTGATGTTTTCTTATTCTCCTTAAATTAAGAGTTATTTTGTGTTTGTATTCTTGGCTGGATGTTATAATAAACATATTGTTACTGTCAAAGCCTTATTGTCTAATGACCACGGTTATTGGCTCTAAATGACTTGTGTTCCTCTCAACCTTGTTAATCACATTAGCTGTGGGACTTAAGGCAAGTCACTTATGTAAGTAGAGGCCTATTACCCATGTATATCTGGCCTACTGCCTGTTTGTGTAAATAAGTTATTGGAACACAGCCATGCTCATACCATTACATATTGTCTGCAGTTGCTTTCTAACAAGGGAGTGGCAGAGTTAAGTATCTTTATTTTTGACAGAGACCAAATGGGCCTACAAAGCCTAAAATATTTACTATCTGGCCCTCTACAGGAAAGTGCTGCCAACACCTGGACTAGATTTCCAGTGTTTTTGTCACAGCTCTGGAATTCCTGACTCAAGGTGACTTGTTTCAATAGCAATTAATAATTTGTTGAAGACACTCGACTTAGCAAAGTACAAAAAAAATGCTTAGAAAATAGATAAACTGACATACAAAATTAAGTCAGTTTTCATAAAGCAGATTCTATTTTGTTAAAATCAGTAAGGAGTGTTGAAAAAGCCAAGAACATTATAAATAAATTATTATAAATAATCATACTGAATTTTATAGGACATGTGCTACTATATGTGTTGGTTATGTAAGGTCCTTAATACTGTTTGAAATTGTGTGTGTATGTATTTCTTGAGACAGGGTGTTGCTCTGTCGCACAGGCAGTGGTAAAATCTCAGCTCACTGCAACCTCTGCTGTTGGGCTCAGGCAATCCACCCACCTCCGCCTCCTGAAAAGCTGGGGACACAGGCAAACACTACCACATTTGGCTAATTTTTAAGTTTTTTGTAGAGATAGGGTCTCACTATGTTACCCAGGCTGGTCTCAAACTCCTGGGCTCAACGTTTCCTACTGCCTTGACCTCCCAGAGTCCTGGGATTACAAGCATAAGCCACCGCACCAGCCTGTTTTTAGTATTCTTTCCAAGAGATTTTAGAAGCAGTATGACTGACTGGGTATTACATAAACTCAACAGGTGTTTGTTAGGAATGATACAACTCTCATTACTGCCACAGCAAGTTAGAAATGTTCATCGTATGTCGAAGTTGTCCTCAGAGAACCTTTCAAGAAGTTCAGAGACGCTTGGTGTCCCTAAGCTCTTTGTGTTGCATGTAACTCAAACAGTGGCTGACTTGGGACAGTTCACAGGCTTTCTCTGGTATGCTGGTATTAAGGGGTTTGGTACCCAATTATACTCATAGGAGTGAGACTGGTTTGTCTTACATCTGTCCAAAATCAGTTGACCACTGGCACAGAGCAAATACAGAGTAAGGCCTTGTATACCCCAGCTTATGCACACTATGGCATCAGAAGGCTTATAAAGAAACATTGCTCCCATTTATATTCTGCTGTCAATATAGATGCTTATAAAATTAACACACTTGTATGGCCCAGCGCGGTGGCTCAAGCCTGTAATCCCAGCACTTTGGGAGGCCAAGGCAGGTGGATCACGAGGTCAGGAGATCGAGACCATCCTGGCTAACACGGTGAAACCCTGTCTCTACTAAAAATACAAATAATTAGCTGGGCGTGGTGGCGGGCGCCTGTAGTCCCAGCTGCTCGGGAGGCTGAGACAGGAGAATGGCGTGAACCTAGGAGGCAGAGCTTGCAGTAAGCTGAGATCGCACCACTGCACTCCAGCCTGGGCGACAGAGCAAGACTCCGTCTCAAAAAAAAAAAAAAAAAAAAAAAAAAAAAATTAACACACTTGTAATGAAGCTTCATTAGCCAGTCTGATGAAATATTTTTTAAAGTGTTACCTAGTAGGATAAGTCAATAGAAGTTAAAATCTTCCCAGTAATAAAACAAGATTTTAGGGTAAGTCAGTTTATTGATGTGTTGTGATCCATCACCCAGATATATTAAACACAAAGTACTTAAGTAATTCAGGATTTCCTTTCCAGAAACAAAGCAGGAATAAAAACCACTATGACAATATAAAACCTTTGTACATTTTTAGGTATTTTTCCCTTCAATATTTAAATAAACATGATTTCTTCTGGCATGTATTTAATGTTAAGTGAACATGATTTTAATTAGTCTTTTTTTATCGTTATTTCAGCCATTATAAAAGCCATAAATGTGTTTCCAGAAAAAGTGCTTTTGATATTATTACAGTATTCTCTCATAAAATAGGAGGTACGCTTGTGAGTTTAGTACTTTAGTTGTAGGCACAGCTTGCACATGTGTGTCGCTGATGTGAAACCACTGCCCTTTTGATTCCATTTCAAAATCTGTCATGAGAAAATGAAAAATCAAACATAAATGGAAAGATTCAAGTTGATTACTTTTTGGTTTTGCCGTAATCTGCTGAGTGCCTGAATTTTCCAAGACATCTTACCTTGTGGAATATCACCGTGAAGAACAAGATTAGAGAGATGACTATTTGCGGTTCTTGCCTTGGCATAGGCAGTGTAATGCCCCGACCTCATAGTACCACTGTGTTCAACAACTCCATATAAGGAATAGAGTACCCTTGTATTTTCTTCTGCAACATTCTTTAAAAATGAGTAGAATCCAAAAGTTAGTTCTAGTTCCATTTACACAGATGTCATGGGCAAGACAAGTTTACACTATGCAAAGGGTCTTTAACCATTACTTTGAGAGTGCAGAAATCATTCATGAGTCTACTCTTTTCTCCATACCTCTTCTCAGCCTGAGACACTTCTGTTTTTATTATAAATTCACCATTGTTCCCCTGGTAGAAAAGCTGTAAGCCACAGGCCACTTGATGCAGTTACCTGGCTCAGATACCAAATAACTGAATTCAACTTGCCAGTTTCTTTAGGAGCCTGAGGATAATTCTTAACAACCCTAGCTATTAACAACTCTGAATACCCTGTTTAAAAAAAGGTAAGCCCTGAACAGGAAGAGAACAGTATTTTAGGTTGTGCCAAAAATTACCCCTTACATCTTTAAATGTCCCCAAGGGAGTTGGTGAGAAGCACATTCAACCTCTCAAGTGTTCACTTTCCCCACGAGAGAGTGCACGCTGCTTATTCTTTCAGGACTCTATATGCCATAGGGCTGGCAACAGGAACAGGCATTCTCTGGGCCAGGAGCCACTTTTCAGACAACTATTTATGTTCTCATGTAAAAGTCCGTAACAGGCATCACGGCCCTTCAGTAGTACTGTCTCCTATACTCAGCTTCCCAATCTGTGCCTCCATATTCACTGAAGAACTTAGTACTTCTCCGTCCATCTATGATTCTCACAGGACTTTAAATGCCATTCCATTTTAGTCAACCACACCCAGGACTAGAGTCTGGGCTTGTCATCACTCAGAATTGTTCAACTTCATAAAATTTTTTTTGAGACAGGGTCTCACTCCGTCACCCAGGCTGGAGTGCAGTGGCATGATCTCAGCTCAATGCAACCTCTGCCTCCTGGGCTCAAGTGATCCTCCCGCCTCAGCCTCTGGAATAGCTGGGACTACAGGTGCACACCACCATGACCTGCTAAATTAATTTTTTGTAGAGATGGGGTTTCAGCATGTTGCCTGGGCTGGTCTCAAACTCCTGAGCTGAAGGGACATAAATCTTATTTTTAGTCTTAGTCCACAAGTCTTCTATTTATTCAACTCTCATCTCACCTATTCTGTACTCTTTAACCTAACAGGATCTCCAATGCTCATATTCTCCTCACCTATGAAGACTTTTGGCTTCATTCCTGATATGGTTTGGCTGTGTCCCTACCCAAATCTCATCTTGAGTTGTAGCTCCCACAATTCCCACATGTCATGGGAGGGTACCCGTTGGGACGCAACTGAATCATGGGAGCAGGTCTTTCCCATCCTTATTCTTGATAGTGAATAAGCCTCATGAGAGCTGATGGTTTCTTAAGGGGGAGTTTCCCTCCACAAGCTCTTGCTTTGCCCGCTGCCATCCATGTAAGATGTGACGTGCTCCTCCTTGCCTTCCGCCATGACTGTGAGGCCTCCCCAGCCATGTGGAACTGTAAACCTCTTTCTTTTGTAAATTGCCCAGTCTTGCCCAGTATATCTTGTCCAGTATATCTTTATCAGCAGCATGGAAACTGACATAATATAATTCCCATATGCAGTCTAGACCATTGCTATTCAAAATGTGGTCCATGAACAGCCAGCATCAGCATCACCTGAGAGTTTACATTAAACATGCAGAATTTTTGATCCCATACTAGACCTACAGAATCAAAATTTGTAGGTCTGATTCCCACATACACATTAAAGTTTGGGAACTTCAATCACATGTATCACTTACAAATAATCTCCTCCATATCCAATTCATCACAAAACCTCACCCTGAATCCTATAATGTACCTGCCATGCCCCAAACCCAGATGGCCACTACTGCCAAGAAACAAAAGTATAATAAATGATCATGTACCTTGTCATAGTCCTCAATGTGACCATAATCTTATAAATTGTCCTTAGCGGCCTCTTCCATTATGCCCATCACAGCAACTGGCCCAGACTTTTTTTTTTTTTTGAGGGAGTTTCTTGCTCTGTCACCTAGGCAGGAGTGCAGTGACGCAATCTCGGCTCACTGCAGCTCTGCCTCCCAGGTTCCAGCAATTCTCCTGCCTCAGCCTCCCGAGTAGCTGGGATTACAGGCGCACACCACCATGCCTGGCTAATTTTTGTATTTTCAGTAGAGACAGGGTTTCACCATGCTGGCCAGGCTGGTCTCGAACTCCTCACCTCAAGTGATCCACCCGCCTCGGCCTCCCAAAGTGTTGGCATTACAGGCGTAAGCCACCACGCCCAGCCCCAAATTCTTCAACATGGAGATTCTTTGAGATCCTTTGTGGTGTCCTCACTTTCTACCCCTGCCTCTTCCACTCAGATACTTAGGAGGGTCCTGTCATTGGCCATCTCCTTTTTCTCTCTTCAGACTCTATACACAAGGGATCCCATCTTCTCATAGTTTAAACTGCCACATATGTACTGATTTCTAAATCTGTGCCCTGGGCCCATCCTAACCTCTCTGCTATAGGTCTCAGATATGTATATCCAAATGTTTTCTAGACTAAGCACATTAATTTCTCAAAGGTATCTGACACTCAAATGTATCTAAAACTGAAGTCATTATCCTTTCTCTACCTGCTTTTCTCAACCTGCTTTTCTCCCTATATATCCTATCTCAATTTACAGCACTCCCATCTGTCGTGCCAGGCCTCAGGAATCATCCTCAACCCTTTCTCTGCCACCCTCAGCATCCACTTATAAAAGGCCTCTGCCTCACCTTACAGTGCCAATCAATCATTAAGTCTGGTTAATTCTACCTCCTGAAATATTCCTTCTATCTCCCCATCTCCTGCCCAACTTTAAGCCCTCATCAACTACTGGCTGAATTAATACAACAGCCTCCAAACTCACTTCCCCACCTCTAGTCTTTCCGTCCTAAAATTCAGCCTTCATACATCAACAAGTAACCTACGTCATATGAAGATCTGACCATGCCACCCCAGTGCTTTAAACTCCTCAGGGCTCCCCACTGTATACCTAATGAAGTCCAAGTTCCTCACCATGAGAACCCTCCAAAACTTCATTCCTATCTCACTTCTCTGGCTTCATTTCTCAACTCTCCCTATAACCTTGTACTATAAACTCTAGAACTACATACGTTACCAGTCTCTGGCAATCACCATCCTATTTTACACTGCTGTTTTTACTCCTGCTGTTCCTTCTGCCTGCAAAACTCATTTCATCTTGATTCATCATACTTTTACTCCTTCTTTAAATATAGTTGAGGCATGGTTTACTTTACAAAGCCATTCCTGAACCACCAACATGCTGGGTTAAGTGTATACCACTCCTGACCTATGTTCACCAGCCTTAACATTCAACCACATTAAACAGATTATTCATTAATAGATCTGCTCACCTTTAGTTTTATGCCCTCCGCTCACAAGACAATGTATGCCATAATAAAGGGGATTCCAAACGTTGAACTGAAATAACCCATTCTTCAAAATGATTCATCACTAATCTTCAAATTATAAAGGTACAATGATCAAAGACCCACTCTACTCAATAAGTGTTATCAACTTCATACTTAAGTGAGTTGCTACTGGAGCATTAGGTAAGCCACAATTTGACTTTAAAGGACTTTCCTGAAAAAGACCACTTTGACTTACCTTACATTTAAGGGTGCAAAAAGGAGCCAAATCTAAGATTTCCGGAAACTTTATGTGTTTGTTAACTTTGCGTAGGTTAAAACCAGCCTAAAAGAGAAGCATAACAGATTGACTTCTTTTCTTGGAAAAGCAATACAGGTTAAGTAAACCGAAGTCCCCTCCGACGTCCAAAAGAATATCAACATTAAGTCCTAGTTCAATTTTCTTTGGAGACTCAATTCTTCCTGAACACTAACTGATTCCAAGTTGGTTTGCTTTTGCTAAGTACACATGTATCACACAAAAAACACACACCAACACATTAAGAAAGCTATTCCCAGCTGGACACGATGGCACATGCCTGTAATCTCAGCACTTTGGGAAGCTGAGGCAGGAGGATCACTTGAGCCCAGGAGTTCGAGATCAGCCTGGGCAACACTGTGAGACTCTGTCTCTACAAAAAAATTAAAAAATTAGCTGGACATGGTGGTAGCCACCTATAGTCCCAGCTACTATAGAGGCTAAGGTGGGAGGATCGCTTGAGACTGGGAGGTCAAACCTTCAGTGAGCCATGATCGTGTCATTGCACACCAGCCTGGGTGACAGAACAAGACTGTTTCAAAAAGAAGAAAAACAACTTTTCTCGTGAGAAAATTCTCAATGTTTCTGCTTCAGCCATCCAGAAATGCCAGATTAGACCACAGGTTCTGAGTGCTTAAAACTCAGCGATAGCATAATACTTTTCTGTGAAACACACGCTCTCAGCCTCATGCTCAAACCAAGCTTAGTGAATTGTTAATAAAGGCCCACCCAATTAGTCAAGCCCATACCAACCACAAGAGGCAAAACGTTCTGAAGATACTGAAAGTACTTTCGGAATTTGCAACACAGTTTAGAAGTTATACAGCTATAGCAAAAGTTTTCCAGAAAAGATGAGGTCACCAAAATGATGACAATCCAAGGCACCAATGTCTTTTTATCAAGGGTCCGTAAAAACAAGATGCCACACACAAAACAGAAAAAATCACTAATATTCCTAAGCATGAGATATATGTAACACACCAGTCTTTTTCTTTTTTTAACCTGAAATAAAAGTAAGATGCCAATCGTACTAAAAAGAGGGACATAAATGAGTTCTAGGAAATCTGAGGAGATTGTGCCTCCATCTTCACATGCGCCTCTGCCTAGCCCCTATGTTTTTCCCTTTCTGACTTCATTGACATTACAGTTAAGAAACAACAGAAAACCAAAGAAACAAAGTAGTATGTTGAGACAGTAATGAAAAAAATAGGTAATAAAGTAGGTGTTACATATTTAAAACAAATTTTGGGTAACAAGGAGTACCTGCTGAAATCTCTTTAAATGAAGAGTAAGAACAGGAGGAGCAAGAGAAATTAGCATCTGCTTTTTGGCATTGGTGTAAACATGCTTCCTTTCACCTAAAGAAAAGAAGAAATTTTTAACAGGGAGAAAATCATTTTAGACCCCTAAAGCATTCAGATTTGCTATAAAATCATTCCAAACATCTAAAGCAAGGATCAGTAAACTTTTTCTATGAAGTACTAGATAACAAATATTGTAGAATTTGTGGAGTAAGAGGCAAAATCAAAGATATTTTATAGGTATTTATGAGATTAAAATGTCCATAAATTCTTACTGATGAAATCAAAATACAGTAATAACTGAGAATGATTACAATCAGAGCAAAATTGAATTACTGTGGAGAGACACAATATTTTGGTTAATGAGGTTGAAAGTTTAGTATATTCCATCACATCAAATCATTTGCAAATGCTCATCTATAAAAAATATTTTTTAGGCTGGGTGCGATGGCTCACGCTGTAATCCCAGGACTTTGGGAGGCCTAGGCGGGCAAATCACTTGAGGTTAGGAGTTTGAGACCACCCTGGCCAACGTGGCGAAACCCTATCTCTATTAAAAATACAAAAATTAGCCAGGTGTGGTGGCGGGTGCCTGTAGTCCCAGCTACTTGGGAGGCTGAGGCAGGAGAATCTCTTGAACCCGGGAGGTGGAGATTGCAGTGAGCTGAAATTGGCCACTGCACTTTAGCCTGGGAGAAAGGGCAGGACTCTGTCTCAAAACACACACACACACACACACACACACACACACACACACACACACACACACGTATCGTCTCTGAGCTGATATATATACAGACAAAAAGTAAGCCTATTTTTGTATAGTCTCTGAGCTTATATATATATACATACACACACATATATATATATACATACACACACATATAAGATACATACACACACACACAGGCTTACTTTTTGTCTCTATATGTAAATAAATAAAATTCTACTTAGAATTTTAAAATGTTTCAACAATTCTACTAAAAATCCTTAGGAATCCATGGCCCCTCCACATCCTATTTACCCAAACTCAAAAAAAAAAGCAATGGGGAGATAAGGGAAATTGTCAGTATGATCCTTTCTCCCATTTGAGGAAGACTGTAAGAAAGCACTGTCTTCCCAGTGCTTTGCACTGGGCATGTCATATTAGTTCACTGATAAATTCAAGTGTGGCGTCCTGGGTGCAAAGGAGGTAAGGGTGGAAAAAAATAGCCACTATGTGTCAGGATGCTGTGGTGACTGCATTCCAAGGGGATAATTTACCCACAGGGAGAGATGTCAGGGAGAAAACTGTCCCATTTAACTGCTGCTGGGATGTCACAGTGTATTAGCCACTTCAATAAAGTCCTACTTTTCCATCCTATTAAAATATTTACACAGAAAAGGACACTTATTCATGCCATCCAAATCCTGATACAATTAGGAGTACTCTACCTATGCAGTGCAAAATGTGCCCCTGAATATTAATTTTACTTACAGTGAGAGCATTAAAATACCTTTTATATTTGCCTTTGGTCCATTACACTGTCTCCGTGTGCATACTTCACAAAGCAGTTTATTCGCATCTCGAAGTTTCTCATTACGGGTGAACTGATATAAACAATGTTGGATTGAACACTCATCAGTATTGAAAACTTCCCTGTTTGCAAGAGTACAGAAAGCAGTTTCTGGATCTTCATTTACAACCTCATACACCTTTGTTCCAGGAGTATGACTATCATTCAGAATCTCTATATTTATTTCATCAGGATGAAGAGCAGCATTCAAATTTAGGTTTTTGAAACCATTGGAAATGTCCACTTCTCCATTGCTCCCTTCCGTTAGGTAGGCACCATTTAAATTCCTAGTGGGAGAAGATGTTAAAACCTCCAGATCATTATCCATGTTGATATTTTTCATATCTACTTCCTCTGTGGATTTTTGATTGTCAGTTACACTTTCGATCATTTTTGCTTGGCCATTCAAATCTTTCTGGTTGACACAATATTCTTTATGCATAACACCCTCTTGTGAAATATGGTTGGATTTAATATTTACTTCTCCTTGAAGTGACATTTCAGCTTCATATTCACTGTCTTCAGGATGGTCAATAGTACAAATATCATTTAAATGAAGAACTTTTCCTTGAATTTTTTGTTGTCTTCGTTGGTTCTGGGTAAAAAGTATACGGCATCAAAAAATAAAGAAAAAGAAAGAGCGGGAGAAAAGGAGGAAGAGAGATAGAGGAAGAAGGACAAAACACACACATGTACTATATCCAGTTTTGCTGCTTGTCAATCAAAAATAATTTCCTAAGGAAGAGTTCACTCTCACAATCTGATCCTAAAAAGTTCCTTTGCTATCAAGGATCAAAAAAATTATGACGAAATTGGCTGGGCATGGCGGCTCACACCTGTAATCCTAGCACTGTGGAAGGCCAAAGCAAGATGATCACAAGAGGATCACTTGAGGAGTTTGGGACATGCTTGGGCAACATACTGAGACCCCATCTCTAAAAAAAAATAAAAATAAAAATTAGCTGGGCACGTTGGTGTCCACCTGTAGTCCCAGCTATTCAGCAGGTTGAGGTGGGAGGATCACTTGAGCCCAAAAGTTCAAGGTTACTGTGAGGTATGATCATGCACACTATACTCCAAACTGGGTGGCAGAGCAAGACTCTGTCTCAAAAAATAAATTATGAAGAAAAGTTATTTAGGCCAGGTGTGGTGGCTCACACCTGTAACCCCAGCACTTTGGGAGGCCAAGGAGGGCATCTCACTTGAGGTGAGGAGTTTGAAACCAGCCTGGCCAACATGGTGAAAACCCATCTCTACTAAAAATACAAAAATTAGCCAGGCGTGCCTGTAATGCACACATGGGTGGTGCGCGCCTGTAATCCCAGCTACTCGGGAGGCTGAGGCAGGAAAATAGCTTGAACATGGAAGGTGGGGGTTGCAGTGAGCCGAGACCACACCACTGCACTCCAGCCTGGGCAACAAAGTGACTCTGTTCCCAAAAAAAAGAAAGAAAAAGTTATTTAAATGAAATCAGGAATAAACCATCACCAACCATCAAAAAACCACCCTACTGTAGAAATAAAAATATGCAAGACATGGTCTCTGTGCTAAGGGAAGTAATCCAGGCAGAGTACTAAGACTGTTAAACCCAGGCAGTCAAATGTTATACCACACGGTGGGTCTGACTCCACACTAACAGAAAGAAATGTATCCATATGAGTTACTGGGTCAAGGTTTCACTGAGAGAAAAAAAAAAACAAACTGAAAGAAAACTCAAGGATGCACAAGTACAGGACTGCTTTGGTCAGAGGAATGGACAAAAGTATTCTGGGAAAAAAATGGCCTGAAGTTAGCAAAGAAGCAAGGTAGCCACACATACAGAAGAGAGTAAAGAACTTTTCCCTTTAAAATCACTCTTGCCACTTGCAACCTACTTCCAAATAGAGGAAAAGAAGGCATTTCATCAAGATTCCTGTTACTGAAATGCCTAAAAACCCAAAGGCATTTCTGGTTGTAACAGAAAGAACTGAAAGAACAGCCCCTGTGAGGCTACTCTGTAATACCAGAAGAATGAAGGGCAGCAAACAGGATGGGAACCAAACATTTTCTGATGTGTTTCCGTAAAAACAGAGGAACACATGAATAAAAAATAAGAAAAGAATATAAGCAAAAACTTCAAAGAACATGAAATGCAAATGGCTCTGAAACATAAAAATATGCTTAATCTAATTTATATTAAAATAAATGTAAAATAAAACTGCACTGAGATAATATTTTCCATCTAACATACCAATCAAAATCTGGAAGTTTGATAACACACAGCTGTCAAGGGTCAGGAGCAACCTTTGTGAAGGACAATTAGTATCAACCAAAACTACAAATGCAATCCCTCTTCTCAAAATTTACCCTACAGATGACTTATGTGTAGGGTTATTCACTAGAGCACTCACCATTATAGCAAAATACTAGAAACAACCTAAATCAATAGAGAAATGGTTAAATGAATTATGGCACATCCATAACACAGAATCATGCAACTGTTAAAAAAAAGAAAG
Organism: Homo sapiens; assembly: GCF_000001405.40. Taxonomy (NCBI): domain Eukaryota; kingdom Metazoa; phylum Chordata; class Mammalia; order Primates; family Hominidae; genus Homo; species Homo sapiens. The sequence goes on along the minus strand of NW_025791813.1, from coordinate 135,500 downwards.
AAAGAAAGAAAGAAAGAATGGGCCAGGCACGGTGTCTCACATCTGTAATCCCAGCACTTTGGTAGGCTGAGGTGGGCAGATTATCTGAGGTCAGGAGTTAGAGACCAGCCTGACCAACATGGCGAAACCTGTCTTTACTAAAAATACAAAAGTTAGCCAGGTACGGTGGCACATGCCTGTAATCCCAGCTACTTGGGAGGCTGTGGCAGGAGAATCACTTGAACCTGGGAGGCAGAGGTTGCAGTGTGCCAAGATCTCGCCATTTGCACTCCAGCCTGGGCGACAGAGTGAGACACCATCTCAAAAAAAAAAAAAAAAAGAATGAAGAAGTTTTATATACTAAAATGGAAAGGACTCCAAGAATCTAAGTATAAACAAACAACACAATCCAGAATGGTGTGAATGGTGAGAAAGGGGGAAAAAAACCAAGACTGCATATTTGTATTTGCTCATATTTTCCAAAAGAAACTCCAGAAGGATACGTAAGAAAAAACAAAAATGTTTATCTTTGTCATAAAAGGAAAGTGGTGGTCGGCCGGGCGCGGTGGCTCATGCCTGTAATCCCAGCACTTTGGCAGGCTGAGGAGGGAGGATCACTTGAGGTCAGGAGTTTGAGACCAGCCTGGCCAACAATGGTGAAACCCTGTCTCTACTAAAAATATAAAAATTAGCTAGGCTTGGTGGCATGCACCTGTAGTCCTGACTGCTCAGGAGGCTGAGGCACGAGAATTGCTTGAACCTAGGAGATGGAGGTTGCAGTGAGCAGAGATCGTGCCACTGCACTCTGGCCTGGGCGACACAGCAAGACTCCATCTCGGGTTGGAAAAAAAAAACAGTGGTGGGAGGGGGACTTATTGTTTACCTTTATATATTTTTAAATTTGTGGATGTCAATAATATTAACTCGAAAATTAAGTTAATTAAACTTACTACAAATACTTGTTACAAGCAATGCAGGATTTAAAAAAAAAGAAGCACGACGTTTTCTTCACATATACTCAAAGCAATTTCCCTGCAGAGAATACTAAATGAGCTAAATTCTGTAATTGTCAAATGAAAGTGCTGTATCTAAAATAACAGACATGTCTAACCAATGTCATTCAGACTACAAACTCAATAGCTCAAAATATAAAATTACAAGCATATGATTTTCCTCCTAATTACCCACCTTGGCTTGCTTTTTGGCTTGTTTCTTTGCTTTTTTCTGTAAGTGCTTACTTGTTCCAGAAGGAATATCACTTCTCTCTTTTATGTAACTGTCGTTATCTTTTTCTTCCTCACTATCTTGATCTTCATCCTCCACTGTCTTTTTCAGATTTTTATCATTTACACTTTTCTTACCACTCTTAAAATATAGATAACATAGGTCAAAAACAAAATTTTACAACTACCATTTGGTGAAAAAAAATCCACACTATGTAAATATTTTTCTACTTCTATTATGTATTAGCTTTTTTTTTCCACAATATTTGAAAATAGATGAGACAAAATTCGTTTATCTCATACACTAGAAAGCAATCTTCACATAATGAGAAAACAAGCAAACCAACAAAACAGCAAAAGGCAACATCACATGTAAGTGTAATAGAAATATAACGAAATTTATTAGATACATGCTGTGTCACACTGTAAATACGTCCATTTCCAAATACATTTTCTAAGTGACTTATGTAAGTCACCACGGTGTATTCTTTTTTATTCTTTTCTTTCTTTGCATGCATATGACAGTTTCAGAAAAACAGAAAATAAAATTTGGTGAGACTTTAATTGCCAAGTTAACAAGCCAAGGGTCTCATAATTCATATGAAGTTGAAGAATGATTTATCCAATACTCATAACATCTCTTCTTTTTTCCTACTACTATTTAAAAGGAACCAAATTAAAACAAAATAATACTCTTTAACATTTATGAACTTAGGTGTGCAAGGGATTCGTGATTAGTCTTAAATAACAAAAATAAGTATTAATTTTAATATAAGGAAAATACTTCACTGTATGGAAACCAATCAAACTAATTACTTGTACAGAATTCTGAATACATCATCTTTTTTTCCATCCTTGTTTTTAAAGTAGTTACCCTGTTCTTTATTCAAATCCTAAAATGCATTCTACCTCAAATTAAGAAAAATTTCTGCATGGGCTAGTAATATACAAACTTAAAAAGAGTAACAAGGCTTCCCCCCACAAAATCTTACAGGAAAAAAAATCTACTTGAATAAAATAAATTCAATAGTCTTACCTGATCATCTAAAACTGGGAGGGACAAATCAAGGAAAGATTCATGAACCAAGGAGACCTTAACCAATCAGAAAAGACAGTGTAAAAATGTAAATACTGTAAATGTTACATAGTAAGATCCTCCCTGCCCTGTGGGATGGGGAGTAGGGGATGGGTTTTAAAATAAACAAAGGCTTAAGAAAATTTGAAATGAAAAATTACACAACATTGAGGACTTTGGGTTGGGGGAAATAAATCAAACTGTTTAACGTCTTCAAGATTTAAGGAGTGCTGACATTTCCCACAAAGAACCATGCACATCTGAATAGCATCTGAATAGTTTAAAAAGATATCCTATGAAGGTAGAGATTTCTGCTTTTGAAATAAACAATTGATAAACTGTTGAATATTAGCAAATAAACCCAGTATACATGACATCTACTTACAGTTCTGCATTGATCACACATGATCATACTAGTTAGTTCACCACCAAAGATGCGGTCAACAAAACTTGGCATTGATTTTTTCTTCTCATAATCTATGGAGAAAAAAAAGTCTATCAATTACCAATTACCGTTATATAATTAATTAAACAAGAAAAGCTAAAACTACTTACCTATCTAACTCTAAAATTTTATTTTAAATTTCCTGTCCCACAGACTTCTTCCTCCATTCATAATCACCTTTTTTAAGCAATAGAAGTCAGTATTATATATTCCACCTCTGAGCATAACATAATTGAACACAATCGCCTTTTATGAATAAGACAAAAAAGTCCTTATCCAAGATCTAGTCAGTGGGAAGTAAACTGTGCAAGTCAGTGAGACTTCTATGTCTTTCTCTCTCTCTCCATTAGTATAAAATGAACAGCTCAGAGTAGGCTGAATGACAGCCTAGTTCCTTAGTTCTAGCTCTAACATTCTAACATTCAAGACTGATAAAAGATACCAGAGTAGCAAACTGGGAGAGAAAATGCATGTAACTTGTTTTGTGAACTCTAAGACTGAACTCCTTTGATATTTTAAAAACAAAAGAAAAACCTCAGGAAAATATTTCAAACAAAATCTTCCTTTTATTTTCCTATGCTCCCAGAAATAATCTTGATAAGTTTAATATAACTAAAAGCCATAATTTTACTACTTGATCAGCCAATTTTCCAAATACGTGAAACCTATAAGCATTATTCAAATGATAATTTATGCAGAACCACACTTTTCTGACAGAAAATGCCAGCAGGGGTAATTCTCTCCATTACTGGCCAGGCTCTAAAGGGCACCAAGGAGGCAAAGAGTTGCTATGAGTTGATTCAAATCTGTGCTTTATAATACAGTGCCCTTAGTCACTTACGGCTATTTAAATTTAATTACAATTAAATAAAAATAAAAATGTAGTTCCTCAGTTTCACCAGTCACATTTCAGGCGCCACACGTGCCTAGTTGCTTCTATATGGAACAGCAAAGGTATAGAGGAGTTCCATCAACATAGGAAGTTCTACTGGGCAGATCTGCCCTAAATCTTTACACGCCACATAATAAGAACTAAGTTGGCTCCATGATTAATAAACCAACTACTGACAACTCACAGTAACAAATATAATTCATGTATTACTGCTAATTATAATTTTAAGCTTTTGAAAAGTAAAACTGTAATTCATCATAGTTCTATCTTTAATACATAAAAAGAATACACCATGGGGTAAAACTGTTCACTTCTGGAGCACTGAATAATTTTTACTAATCAACGTTGATAAAGAGAAATTATACATTAATAATTGTGGACTTGGAAATATATGTGCCAGCAATCTTGTCCTAAGGTACAGAGGAATTCAACTATAGTGTTTTAGTTCAAAAAGTCAGACATTACCTTTAACTTTATTTTTTAGTTCTTCATCCAACTTTTCAGTAGAATTACCAAATGCTTTAAGTATTCCTTTACTCACTCTCTAAAAGTAATAAAATGGATATATATATACTATTAAATTTTAAATTTTATTTTCCTTAGAAATATGTAATCAAGTCAAGAAAGTGATCAGGATACAGCTCCCCATATTTACTAAATAATTCCAAAATCACATTTTCAAACTTAATTCAAGGAGCTAAAAAGGAATTATGTCACAAAGCAATCACTAACCATTGAATAAAGGTATTATCTTATCATTTCAAGATCTTAAACCTCTTCAAGCCAAAGGTTTTCAGAACATGCCCACCACCTTTGAGAAGAAACTGAAATAGCTTGTCCTACAAGCACAATGATTACATGACAGCCACAGGGTCTGACTCCAGTGCTTAAAGCCCAGCTCCATTATTTCTGGGGGACCTTAAACTAGGTACTGAACTTCTCTACAGCCTAGATTCTCAATCTATGGAATAGGAAAAAATCACAGTATCCACCTCACAGAAACTTTGTGAGAACGAAGTAAGGGAATTAATACAAAACACTGAAAACAGTGATTGGCATAAAAATAAGTGCGAAATAAATATTAGTTATTATCACTATTATTAGTACTCATTAATTCATACCCCAAATACATTTTTTTATATCCTGGCAAGTAACAAAAATTTTAAAATGCAACCAATGTTCCCTGACTCTTACAAAATGAAAATACTTCCTAGGTTCAAAAAACAGTATTAAATCAGACTCAGAATTAAAAGTAAGGGTGTGCTGCACCTGGGTTTGGGAGAAACAATTTCCAATATTTGGCAGCTCTCTTCGTATAGGTTAGTACAACAGAATCTTTAAAGAACATTAATGCTGTAAACATCAACTAAACTTAAGCCATCATGAGAAAGAGAATTACTGCTAATTCTCTGGATTCATTCTAATGGTGAAAACATACTAGTTGAAAAAGCTGGTGTAAGAAAAAATTTTAAAGTATGATGGCCTTAATAACTAGCTTTCATTGTTTTAACTCGTAAGATATCAAATGAGACAGAAAGCTTATGAAGATAAGATCATAAAATACAATGGTCATAACATGCTAACTTGGTGTTCTTCTGCTCTCATCCCATCCAATAAGTAGCGAAGCAGCTCCTGGCTGTCTTGCTGCTGATAGCCTTTAAACCGCACTGCTCTAGAGAAAAACAAAAAGACAGAAAAGCAATCTTCAGTCTACTAAGCTCTGAAGCTATTTTTAGAAAATCTTAGGATCATATCCCAAATCTCAGAGAGTTCTGGTTTCTACAAATTTCCGTTTAGTCCATTAACACCCTTGGGAGATTTAACTATCACATAAAATATATTTTAAAATCCAAATGAAAAAAAACTATGCCTTTTGTATATAGAGGGTTGACTAAATGTAATGCTATTAATATTTTTATATTTTACTATTTAATATTAATATTATTTCTCAGCATCTCACTGAGGCACTGAAAGCACAATCGAAGTGGATACTCACTTTTTACAGACCTGAGAAAAGAGTTCTTTCGGTGTCACAACCCCCTTTTTGGTCTCTTGCATCTCATTAAGAAACTGGCTCATGGCTAAAGTAAGAGGGCCTGGAGGCTCAAGGTTTATTTCTAATGGTTCCTGAATATGGGAAAAGAAATTACTTTCTTCAGTCAAATTCTGGAATCACTGACTTTACTAAAATCTAATTAGTTAACATATACTACCAATGTTCCTGACAGAACTGCCCCATTTAAAAGTTTAAAATGTACATCAAAAGAGATAGAAACTGTTTGGTCACAGACTGTCTTATGCAGAATTCAGCTCTACTATTTTAGTTTTAGATTATCTGGAACACTTACTACCTAAGAATTGAAAGAGCCAAAGCAAAATGTAAATAATAAAAATGGATAAGGTAATATTTATTTGGTTACACAGCTCTTAAGTCACCTTAAAGATGTTAAAAATAATAATGTAAGCCTAAGGCTTCTCAAACATATACACATTCCCAAGAAGGAAGCTTAACACTCGAGCATAGAAAAACAGAGCACACACACAGCAAACAGATGTAATGCCTCCTTATAACTTCTATTAGCCTGAAACTGTTTAAGTTAGTAGCCTAAAGTAAAACAAAACAAACAAAAACAGTGGAAATGAGTGTCAGTTATTTAAAATAATTTAGAAAACACACATTCAGAGAGGAAAGTTACAGACTAGAAAAGTTTAAAGAACATACTGTTAATGCCAAATCAGGTGGTTCAATTTTTACAATTGTTCCAGACATTTTCACTTCTTTTAGTAGTTCTCTAAGCACTGGTGTTTGTGACAAGTTCTAGAATGTAGGGTGAAAAAAAAAGAGAAAAATTATTTAAAGGCAAATCAACTCTGACACTTCTTAAGTGTCTATTCTATCAAAACAGAAAATCATGACCAACACTGAAAACTCTATACTTGGAAAATGAAAAGTTACAGATGCTTCTCTCCCTACTCTATTTGGGTCATAACTACTTCAGTTCTGAGCTTATTCATCACCTCAGTGGGGCATTCTCCCACCACCCAATCAGAAGTAGCTATCCCCAATCCTCCACCATGACTCTCTCACAACCACTTACCACTACCTGTAGGTACGTATTTGCTTCTATATGAGGTTATCCTGTGTTTCCTCCACCCAAGTGCAAGCTCCATGAAAGAAGCAGCAATATTTCTTTCAAACCCACTGCACCCGAGTGCTCACCAAACTCTCTTACTGTCATGCAATAAAACTTTCCTTAAGTTTTCTTTGGCCAGGCATGGTGGCTCACGCCTGTAATCCAAACACTTTGGGTGGCCAAAGGGGGTGGACGGCTTAAGCCCAGGAGTTCAAGACTAGCCTAGGCAACATGGCGAAACCCTGTCTCTACAAAAGATACAAAAACTAGCTGGGAGTGGTGGCGCATGCCTGTAGTCCCAGCTACTCTGGAGGCTAAGGTAGGAGGACTGCTTGAGCCCAAGAGGTAGAGGCTGCAGTGAGCCACGATCGTGCCACTGCACTCCAGCCGAGTGACAGAGTGAGACCCTGTCTCAAAAAAAAAAAAAAAAAAAAAAAAAGTTTTCTTTGGATACATAGAAATAAATTACTCAGGTGGAAAAAACTCAATAATGTAAGTAGCAGATTCTATGAGGAAAAGGACAGCTTTTTTAAAGGGAAAAAAATGACAATGTACCTGCATAACTGCATTGAAGAAACATGTGTTTCCCAAATTACTGAGTCCTTTCACGGTTATTTGGCAAGGAGAATTCATGGGAGGATTCTCTTTAGCCATGTTTTCCTTCTTTTCTCTCTCTTGTTCATTCTTACTCTCTTTTTCTAATTTTTTATTTTCAAGTTCAATATTTCCATTATCTTTCTCTGCTTTAAAAAAAGAAAAGATTTAGCAAAATGTGTAATACAGTCATATCGAATGCAGAAGTATACTTGGGAAACAGTACTAGAGTTTGTGAGTTTACCTGAAGTCATTCTTTCCAACCCACCCACCCATTTGATTTTAAATAGATACAGGTAAATTGCCATCCAGAAAAAAAACACAAAACCCAGTAAACAAAAAATACTCAGACCTAAAGTAAGCATTAGTTTGATAAATGAAACCAAACAGTATGTGCTTTGGTATAAATCTCCCTTTTTTACTGCACGAAAATTCTTTACAAATGAACACATCTTACCTTGTGAAATTAAGAATATAAAACAATCAAGAACATGGACATGAAATAAATTTTTTAATGAATTCTGTGGGTCAAAAATCAATCCTAAAGTAAAAAACAAATAATTCTGGCTCTGACAAAGATACTTGTGACAATAAAAACTTAAAAAACATGCTTAAAGCAAATGCTGTATGTCAGCCAATTAATTTAATTATGCATGGAAAGAACCTAAGAAATATCTGACCATTAGAAGGAATCACAAATGCTTTATGTTATCCCAGCAGACAGACTGAAATCTTGCTATTACAAAATGTACGACAGTAAGAACAGTGTAAGGCAGGTCTATAGTAAGCCTGGCTAGGGTTATGGGAATTACCTTAGTCTTAGCATTAATGGCCATTACCTTAGTCTATGGCCTTCATCACATCTGACTAGATCATTTCTCATATCCCTTCTAATACCTTATAGTTAAACCAAAAATAGTTTCATAGTTTGCAATCAACCATAACTAATGTTACTCAGCTGTATGTAATGCTAGGTAGTATAACAAATCTAAGTATCAGCAGATACACAAATCGACATTTGGTGTATATTAAAGAAACAAATTATTTTACCTGGCTTTGGAGTTGTAATGCTGGCTTGTTTTCTGACATAATCAACCACTTGACCCAACTGGTTTGAACTACAATACTGGACCTCATTATCACATACGTAACACCTGTGACCCAAAAATCAGAGATGAAAAATGACAAAATGACAACTAAAAAGGGGGAGACAAATAATAATTCCTGGAATCAAAGTGTGTAACTGCCAACTTATTCTATTAAAGAAACCGAACGTAAAAATTCTGTTTTCCTGAAGAAGACTATGCATATTAACTCTGGTTTATTATTAATAAAATTAGCCAGAATTATGGCTGCATATAAGTAGTATGATGAAATACTCCAAACGTTTTACTTTACTGGTTATAACATTGAAGTCAAAAGATTGTTTACATATATTTTAAAATACAGAATAACACTAACAAAAATAACAACTTTTTTTTGTTTGTTTTGTTTTTTGGTTTTTTTTGAGACGGAGTCTCGCTCTGTTGCCCAGGCTGCGTGCAGTGGCAGGATCTCGGCTCACTGCAACCTCCAGCTCCCTGGTTCATGCCATTCTCCTACCTCAGCCTCCCGAGTAGCTGGGACTACAGGCACCCACCACCATGCCCAGCTACTTTTTTTTTGTATTTTTAGTAGAGATGGGGTTTCAACGTGTTAGCCAGACAAAAGTAACAACTTTTACAATTGAAAGATGCCATTCAAGCCAGGCACGGTGGCTCATGCCTGTAATCCCAGCACTTTGGGAGGCTGAGGCATGCGGATCACAAGGGGATCACGAGGTCAGGAGTTTGAGACCAGCCTGACCAACATGGTGAAACCCCGTCTCTACTAAAAATACAAAAATTAGCCGGGCGTGGTGGTGCATCCCTGTAATCTCAGCTACTCGGGAGGCTGAGGCAGGAGAATTGCTTGAACCTGGGAGGCGGAGGTTGTGGTGAGCCGAGATCACACCACTGCACTCCAGCCTGGGCGACAGAAAGATTCCGTCTCAAAAAAAAAAAAAAGATGTCATTCAGTGAAGACTACTGTGAAAATGATTTTTAAGACGTAAAAATCTGTTTTAATGATGTTACAATGCAGCATCTATAACATACCAGACTGACATTTATTTTCATGCAAATTCATAGCCAAAATTTTATTACAATTTTATCTGAAATTTGTTCTTAGCGTCCCTATCTCCACTATATGCCTTATAATATCACAAGCAAGAAAAACAAAGGGGTAAAGATTCTTAAGTCTTCTATGTTACAATGTTTGTGCTTGTGCAAACGTCCAAGTAAAAGCTTCTCATAATACTGCATTCTTTAGCTTTGTGAAAGTGATGGTATTTTAAAACATACTACAAAAATTTTAAATTGCTTTCTTCTTAAACATATTTAAACATTTCCATTCTCTAATATTTCAAATAATTTCCACCCAAGAGGCAGAGGAACTGAAACTCACCATACACTCCAGTTGTCCAAACTAAGAACCAGACAGTGAGGTTCAGATCTTGGCGTCAGATAGTGCTTCAAGGCATGCTGCTCCTGAGAATTTCTGCCACAGCCCTAAAAAAATCATAATCATAAACCTCAAAGCCATAAAAACTCAGCAAGAGGGGAGAATGCATAATCTATCATAAACAAGGAAGTGGCTCATGAAATTCTGCCATTCTTACAATCTTGAAAAGAAAATGTTAGACTCTAGAATCAATATTTTGTTAAAACTTACATATGCACAGGCAACTGAGAACATTTAAGTCAACAAGTATTTAGAAAACCATGCACTCGCTAGGCGCGGTGGCTCACACCTGTAATCCCAGCACTTTGGGAGGCTGAGGCCAGGGGTGGGATCACCTGAGGTCAGGAGTTCGAGACCAGCCTGACCAACATGGTGAAACCCCATCTCTACTAAAAATACAAAAATTAGCCGGGTGTGGTGGCGCACATCTGTAATCCCAGCTAATTAGGAGGCTGAGGCAGGAGAACTGCTTGAACTCAGGAGGCGGAGGTTGCAGTGAGCCAAGATCACGTCTGGGCCTGCACTCTAGCCTGGGCAACAAGAGCAAAAACTCCATCTCAAAATAAAAAAAAAAAAAAAAAGAAAACCATGCACTCAAAGTACTCTTCTTGTCCAACTTTCCAGCCCAGATTAAACCACACTAATGCAGTCAAGTCTGGTTTGGATTCCTTAACAGTCTCCTAAACATTCCCCTAACTTCAGCCTCCTTCTTCACATGCATATTCTTTCAGTTTAGTGTTCCTAAAACAAAGCTCTGTTCATACACCATTCAAAAATTATGAATTGCACTCTTAAACTCCTAATAAACAAACCTGACATCCTCTGACCCCGACATATCTCTCCAGTGTTAACTCCCACATTCTCTTATTCACATACCAACGACCAGCTAAAAACACACTGAGCGCTTTTCACAACTATGCAATTTTGTTCACATTATTCTATTTATCCAGAATCCTTTATGAACACTGCTACCTAACCAAATCCCACCCACTCTTCAAGATCTTGCTCAAAAGCCACCTCCTCCCAGAAGCCTATACTTATCTCCCAGATGAGAAAATACTGTCTCCTTCCTTTAAACAAATTCTATAAAACATGGCATGAATTCCTAGTGGCATTCCTTATTTTTTACCTTGTACTAACGTTATTGATATTTATATCCTTTCTCACCTGGTCTATAAATCCCAAAGGCTCAAGGCAGTAGACTTAATCTATTACCAAATATTCTAGAACACAGGAGGTGGTCAAAAAACACTATTTAAACAAGTAAATGGGAGACTTTTACCTAAAAGATGTATAGGCTTATTCATAAAAGAACATGACCTAAACTTCTGCTTTCAGCTAGTCAGATCACTGCTGAGAAACATATCTTCACTGTGTATCTACTGGAACCAGTCTATCAACTTTTGGATCACAGTACAACAACCGGTCGTGTTTCCATTGCCGCTAAATATATACTTTGGAGAAGAAATATACATTGGTAATTTCTAATTCCTTAACTATGATCCCAAACACTATTCGCTTAATTTATCCCACTGAACATTTAATTACAAAATAAATGAATTAACATTTGATACTATTTTTGAAAATTACAACATCATTTGAGATCATTTGAAACATAGTTGTCTTGAGACAACAGTTAAGAATCATTAGCTAACAGTGCCAAAGGTATCTAGTGGGAAAAAAGTTAGCAGTTAATACTGACATGTCTTATTCTTACAAATTAAAAAGGTAGCACAAAAATTTGTAACACAAAATATATTCTGAAAAACTGAAATAGCAAAGCATATTCATACTCACCATATGTATTTAAAAGGTTACAATTAAACCTTTCAAATACAAGTAAACAGTATCTTTTCTAACATACAGATTTTTTTAACTGACCACAATGAGATATCAGTATATAACTATCATGATGGCTAAAATAAAAAACTGTGACAATTGTAAATGCTGGCAAAAATGAAGAAAAAGTGAAAGTGAATCATTCATACACTGCTAGTAAGAATATAAAAGGTAGAGTCACTGTGAAAAAACAGTTTGGCAGTTTGGCAGTTTCTTAAAAAACTAAACATTAAATTGCCATAGGACCCAGCAATTGCACTCTTGGGCATTTATCCTAGAGAAATGAAATCTAAGTTCACACAAAAACCTGTACACAAATGTTAACAGCAGCTTTATTTGTAATCACCAAAAAATGGGATCAGCCCAGATGTTGTCATTCGACAGGTAAACAGTAAAAACAAGCTGTTGTACTATATGCCATAAAATACGCTCAGTAATAAAAAAAGAGCAAACTTGATACACACAGCTTTGATAAATCTTTGGGTGATTATGCTGAGTGAAAAAGCCAATCCTGGCTGGGCACGGTGGCTCACACCTATCATCTTAGCACTTTGGGAGGCCCAGGGGGGTAGATCACTTGAGCCCAGGAGTTCAAGACCAGCCTGGGCAGTATACCAAAACCGCATCTTTAGAAAAAATACAAAAATTAGCCAGGAGTGGTGGCATGCAGGTGTAGTCCCAGCTACTCAGGAGGCTGAGGTGGGAGGATCACTTGAGCCTGGGAGGTGAAGGCTGCCGTGAGCCGTGATTATACCGCTGAACTCCAGCCTGGGTGAGAGAGTGAGACCCTGCCTCAAAAAAAGAAAAAAGCAAAAGCCAATCCCCAAATGTTGCACACTGTATGACTCCATTTACATAACATTTTTGATGAAATGACTAAATTTAGAAATACAGAATAGAATGGTAGTTGCCAGGGGCTGCAGAGAGTGGTGGCAGTAGGGAGGTGGGTATGATTATACAAGGGCAACACAAGAGATCCCTGTGATGTTCAACTATTTAGTATCGTGACTGTGGTGGTGAATAATCTACACAGGTGACAAAAGTGTACAGAATGTAATACACATGTACACATACACACATGCACAAAAAAAGAAGTCAAACTCAGGAGATCTGATTGCGATTGGTGTGTTGTTTCAATCTCAATATCCTGGTTGTGATATTATACTCATTTTGTAAAATGTTACCACTGGGGGACTCTGAGAAAAATGCATAGGGATTTCTCTGTATTATCTGTTAGATCTGCACATGATCTATAATAACCTCAATAAGATTTTCAATTTGAAAACGTGAAAAAACAAAAAATCCTGGCTGGGCGCAGTGGCTCACGCCTGTATTCCTAGCACTTTGAGGGAGCCAAGGTGAGTGGATCACTTGAAATCAGGAGTTTGAGACCAGCCTGGCCAACATGGCAAAACCCTGTCTCTACTAAAAATACAAAACTCAGCCAGGCGTGGTGGCACACACCTGTAATTCCAGCTACTTGGAGACTGAGGCAGGAAAACTGCTTGAACCTGGGAGGTGGAGGCTGCCATGAGCCAAGATTGTGCCACTGCACTCCAGCCTGGGTGACAGAGTGAGACCCCATCTCAAAAAAACAACAAAAAACTGGCTATCTGCCTGATCTTGAAGCCTCATGACTTCATGACTACTGCCTAGTAGCCCAATTTCCTAACATATAAGCTTAACTTGCCACCACTAAGGGTAACTGAGAGACCCTGACTTTAGTACCACGGTAATAACTGTGAGCTGGTAGAGTAGATACTGTGATGTGCCAGCCAGACATGCCCTCACTGCCAAAGATCAAGGTACTACTCATTCCCCCAGGTGCTGAGAATGTGGCCGGCTGAGAGCTCACAGTCTAGTCCATCCATCCCCAGGAATCAGTCTCAACAAAAGGGAGCTGCCTTGCCCAAGGTTACTTCCTGCTCTAGGGGCAGGCCACATCCAATGACTGGTCTATGCACAGGTAGAAAGGTCTAGCTCCTTGCCTCAATTCAGGCAAGAGATCACTGTGGGATTGGCTGAGACCCTGTTGCCACTGCCTCTTCATTCAACTTCTCCCTATGCTTAATCTTGCTTCCCTTACTTTTACTGGTGTGGTACCAGAGAACACTCCACCACCTATACACACATCTCAGAACTGGTTCTCCAGAGAACATGATCTATGTTACTAGTATCCTTTTATCCATACTGTACTTTCAGGTAATACCTTCTAAAGTAAGTTCAAAGAGTTTTCTAAAATCCCATATTGATCTTAAAACGTAAGCATACCTGATGGCCACATTTAAGACACAGCCAAACTGAAGGCTTTTCTTCTGTTTCTTCTTCAGCTTTATCTTTCACTTTATTGTCAGTCTTACAGTCTTGGCAGATATTCCATTCCACATTCACTAAAGCCTTTTTCAAATTACCTTGTTCCAATCCTTTTCTAATGTGTCTGCACACAGGTTCTATTAAAACAAATAATAGACAAGGAATATATAAGGTCAAAAATGACTTTCTTCAGTTAATCTCAAAACTTACCCTCGATTCACATTTCAAAAATGAAATTTACTCTATAAACTGTTAAGATATTCTGAACTTAAAATTGTTTGATATTTGAATAATATGAGATAAATATGTGAGAAAGAGATTTGACACAAATTTGTGAAGTTTCGCTTTCTTGAAGTCCTAAATATAACCACCACTGTCCCCCACTACAAATTCATTTCAATTTATTTGGCTATTTCCTTTAAATTAAGGCCCTTTATCATACTTATGATTCTCTTTATCTTTAAAGATTTGTAGAAAACGTCCTTCATTTAGTCAATAATACACCTACTATAGGGCAGGCACTGTGCTAGACGCTCAGGAGCCCAAAATTGACCAAGTCACAGCTGTTTTCTTTGAGTAGCTCACATTCTGGAAGGAAAGGCAGCTAAATAAATTAATGTATAAGAATCTCCGAAACATGGTATAGCAGCACAAGCAGAGAAGGCTAAAGTCACCAAAAGTTTCACAGGGGAGGTAACATCTGTGCAATCCTAGAAGATAATAATAGTAATAAAAATTGCTGATATTAATTAAATATGTCCTATGAACTTTGTTAAATGTTTTGAATACATTATCCCATTTAATCCTTACAATCACCCTAGAAGACACTATTATTCCCAATGACAAATGAGAAAACTAAGATTTAGTACCCACATAACTACTGAGTATCTATGCCAGAATTTAGACTCAAGTCTTTCAGACTTCATAGCTCACACTTTAAACTGCGACCTCAGGGAGTGAAGGGCAATCTGAAAATGCCCATGCCAAGAACAAAAACATGTGAAAGTGCATGCTGTCTCCCCAGATGATGGAGTTACACAATGTGCAAAAATGAGCAGTTGAACCTGAGGCTGAAAACTCTGTTGGGGCCAAGATAAGTAAAGAGCTTTGCAAACCACTCTACAGTGCTGAGTTGTTCCAGGAACACTGGAGGTTTAGAAACTAGTCAAGTGGCATAATTAGCTTTATGTCCAATGATCTTGCACCAAGAAAAGAAATATAAATGCAAATGGGATCAGGTGGAAAAACTACCAAATCTCAGTAGTCAAAGAAATACAAACTAGAAAAAGAAGGTACCCTTTTTTTTCTTTTTTCTTTTTGAGACGGAGTCTTGCTCTGTTGCCCAGGCTGGAGTGCAGTGGCACAATCTCGGCTCACTGCAAGCTCCGCCTCCCAGGTTCACGCCATTCTCCTGCCTCAGCCTCCCAAGTAGCTGGGACTACAGGCGCCCGCCACCACGCCCAGCTAATTTTTTGTATGTTTAGTAGAGACGGGGTTTCACCGTGTTAGCCAGGATGGTCTCGATCTCCTGACCTCGTGATCTGCCCGCCTTGGCCTCCCAGAGTGCTGGGATTACAGGCGTGAGCCACCACACCTGGTCAGAAGGTAACCTTTTTTAACTACCAAATCAGCACAGATGTTTACAGATGATACTAACCAGTGCCGATGAAGGTTCAGGGAAATGGGCACTTTACTACGCTAATAGGGGGCCTGGAAATTAGTAAAACATTTCTGGATGGCAATTTAGCAACAGGATCAAAAGAGTCTTAAAAATGTTTACACCCTTCGATTCAAAAATTATGTATGTGTATTAGGAAAATATTTGGATGTACAGAGAGATTTAGCTATAAAGTTGTTTACTACTGAGCCATTCATAATACTAAAAAGTTAAAGATTACCTAAATCTGTAACAGTAGAAAATTATCTAAATAAATTATGAAATATACATCCATGGTCTTTGCTAAATGCAATAATATGCCATTAAAAATGTTGTTGAAGGTCGGGCGCGGTGGCTCACGCCTGTAATCCCAGCACTTTGGGATGCTGAGGAAGCGGATCACTTGAGGTCAGGAGTTCAAGACCAGCCTGGTCAACATGGTGAAACCCTGTCTCTACTAAAAATACAAAAATTAGCTGGGTGTGGTGGAGCACACCTGTAATCCCAGCTACTCATGAGGCTGAGACAGGAGAATCGCTTGAACCCTCAAGGCAAAGGCTGCAGTGAGCTGAGATCACACTACTGCACTCCAGCCTGGGCAACAGAGCCAGACTCCGTCTCAGGAAAAAAAACAAAAAAGATGTAGAAAGTCAGGTGCAGTGGCTCTCACGTGTAATCCTAGCACTTTTGGAGGCCAAGGCAGGCGGATCACTTGAGGCCAGGAGTTCAAGACCAGCCTGACCAACACAGGGAAACCCCGTCACTATTAAAAAAAAAAAAAAAAATTAGCTGGCTGTGGTGGGATGTGTCTGTAATCCCAGCTACTCAGAGGCTGAGGCACGAGAGAACCGTTTGAACCTGGGAGGCGGAGGTTGCAGTGAGCTGAGATTGCACCACTGCACTCCAGCCTGGGCAACAGAGCGAGATTCTTTCTCAAAAAAAAAAAAAAAAGTAGAAGACTATTAAATGACATATAGATACAAACATTATATTAAAATGCAGATAATATAACAATAATATGCAGCTTTATACCATTTTTACATTTTAAAACATATTCATTTAGAGATATAAACATTAAAGATTCAATCAATGAAATATACCTAAAGTTTCAGAGGAATCATCGATTGGAACAGTTTTTCCCTTTGTCCGTTTCTTTCCCATGTTGGCACTTTATGGATTACTTACTGACACAAAATAACAATCTAGAAAACAAGATAAAGTTAGCTTGACCAAAAAAAAAAGTATGTCTTATATTTCTCTAGGAGACAGTAATATAACTAAGCCACGTATATTATGCATGTCTATCACATTGTAATTTACAAAGACCAATCACATATAATCATCTAATTTTCAACAGGAACTCAAGTAGATAGAATAGTTATCTCCCGTTTTTCATAGCATAGGAAAGTGATTCTTAGCAAGCTTAAGAGGTTTTCAATATATGTAAAGGTCAGGAGAGAACCTTGGTCATCTTACACAGATCTTGAACAGTCTCAGAACTTGATACTCTTAGGAAGGTGACTCCTCACTACATACATGTGAAATAATGGCAGCACTTTAATCAGAAAACTGATTTGCTTCCCTTCTAAGCTACCTTTCTTAGCTCTGCAGTCTATGCAAATTAAACTGATAATTTCTCTAATAAAAATTAAAAATAATTCTAACAACCTCCTGAAGGGAGTTAGAAAATTTCCAAAATGGCTTCAAAGCCAAATACAAAAAGTGATACACTGTTGTACATTTTCCACACCAGGATTTCCTATGCGTATCAGCTAAATGAAAATTGATTACAACTGCATTCTCAACTATTTACATTATTATATTATTGCCAAAACCACTTTGGAAGGCTATTTGACAAATCTAGCTGCACATCAAATCTTCACTTTTTTAGTCAACAATTCAAACTTAGAAAACATGAAAAGTGCTAAAAGTACATACAGGTCTACCTAATTATATAGAATTATAGATTTTAGAAATAAATACATAAAATAGCACCCAAGTTCTTGCCTCCAATCCAACTCACTCTAATCGATGTGGGAGTTCAGTACTAGATTCATCTCCCAGTTATGCCATTTTTATCATATCACTCTCTTGATCGGAAGCATTTAACAGTTTCCTGGACCACACTCCCTAAACTTTGCACTCATAGGCCTTTATAAATTCGGCCCCATTGCTCGGCTAATCCTGACTTTCTATTACACCTCAACAACAACAAAAAAAACCACTAAAGTTATAACTATATAGTGCTTTTGATCTTCAAAGCCCTTTCACAAACATTATCACATCGGATTTTCATAACAACACTTTAAATAGAGGCATTTCACTCAAGGAGAAAAGTCAGGAAAAAAAAATGGTGAAAGATCACACAAACGATGAGCTAAAAGGCAGATGTTGTCTGGGTGCGGTGGCTCACGCCTGTAATCCCAACACTTTGGGAGATCGAGGTGGGAGGACGGCTTGAGGCCAGAAGTTCAAGACTAGCCTGGGCAACAAAGCGACACTCTATCTCTACCAAAAAAAAAAAAAAAAAAAAAAAAGGTAAAATGCAGATGTTTGGGTTTCAAGACCACCACTTTTTACCTGCCAATCAAGTCTGTCTCTTTTTTTTTTTTTTTTTTTGAGACGGAGTCTTGCTCTGTCGCCCAGGCCGGAGTGCAGTGGCCCGATCTCGGCTCACTGCAACCTCTGCCGCCCGGGTTCAAGTGCTTCTCCTGCCTCAGCCTCCCGAATAGCTGGGATTACAGACGCCCACCACCACACCCGGCTAATTTTTGTATTTTTAGTAGAGACGGGGTTTCACCATCTTGGCCATGCTGGTCTGAACTCCTGACCTCGTGATCCACCTGCCTCGGCCTCCCAAAGTGCTGGGATTACAGGCGTGAGCCACAGCACCTGGCCAAGTCCTTCTCTTGTACTCCACTCCAAAACACTTTGTACCCTCCCCGCCTTGATGTCTTTGATTTCTAGCTGTAATATTCTATCTAAATCTTACCAATCTTGGAAGCTCTCCATTTCAAGGAAGCCTTAGACAATCATTCTACTCTAAATAAACCTCTCCACTGAACTTCCCCAGTATTTATGGTATGCTCTAGTCATCTTGTCCCCTTATCCCATATTCTAGTGAATTTCTTAAATCTTTAATCTGGGTTTATGTTATTTCTGTAAGCAGAATCTAAAGTTCTTAGAAAAATAAATGGTTTCAAGCACAGTTTTGGAACTGCCTATAATATCTAGCATAATGTTAGTACATAGCAGGTCCTGAAGAAATACTTCTTGCATTGAAATAGAAAAATAGAATAGTACCTGAGGCATAAAGGATGATTACAAGGTGCAAAGGTAGGTACATAAGAATGAAGCAAACAAGTTCTGGTGAAAAAGAAAAGGGTGAAAAATGAGAAGTCAGAAGTCTGCAGTAGTGAAGACAGCACTAGTAAATCTGGTTTGAGGATTGCAGCAGCTTAGACTCCATAGGAAAACTTGAAAGACGAATTGTTAATTACTGCAGGCAGAGGACAGAGGGGTCACTCCAGTGCTGCGGAAAGAGCCTCAGTAAAGTTCTGACAACTATAAAGGCAACTAATGAGTCATGAGGAGAGCATATTGTGACTTCCATCAGCTATAAAACATCAATAAACTTAATACACTTTTCAAGTAGTGTCATCGGATGAGCATTAACGTCTTAGTGAAATGACTCTTCGCAGGACTCCATACAAAATCTAAATCAAAGATAGTCTTGCCGGTTCTCATATTATTCCAAGTCTCTTCACTCTCTGCCCTCCCAGTCTTCCCCTGCCTACTCGGTTCCATTAAAAATGTAAGCGTGTGGAAAACTTTGTCAGCAGGTGTTAACGTGGCTTTCAAGTTTTGCGTATATCAATCCCCTCCTAGATATAGTCAATTGGATAAGTGACAGATCCTGCTTTTCCTACCAGCCGTATGAACACGGCTGCAAATCCAGCTCCAACCCATAGGGAAGTCCCTGCCACGCGCCACCCACCCATTTGCTCGGCGCCTGCCACACCTTCCCTCTCCTCCCCTTCTAACTGCTCCGATCCCACGGGGGAACCTCTGGGTCCACGGGGTCGAGAAGGCCGCCAGCAGCGGCATCTCATTGGCCAGCTTCTGGAACTGACAGAACATGCAGCCAATGAGATCGCAGTACCGGAAAGTAGCCGGGTTACGTGCTTAAGGAGAGCGGCCTTCAAGAAGAGAACGAAGTTGGGGCGGAAAACAGGAGCTCTCCCAGCGCAGAAAGCCAGGCGAGCGACGACTGCCAGGCAGTGGGACCAGAACTCACCCACGGCGACAGAGCCCATAACTGCATCCCCTCATGGGCCTTTGGGCTGGGCAGCCAGCTCCGTCTTCCTCCTGGTGACGAATTGAGAGCGACGGAGTCGAAGCCAGAGTGACCCCTGGAAAGCAATAACTTCCGGAACGCGGCATTATGGGAAGTGGCTAGGCCACCACCACCCCACCCCCACCTCCCGGGACCATCGGCTCTGACGCTAGTAAATCTGCGCCTGCGTGCGGCTTGCGCCGGATGTTCGGGTTTAGGGGTTTGGTTGTCAATGGGTTTTCTCGTCTCTGACATAACCACGAAGTTATATAAATGCTCCTGAAGTGTGGGCATCCGGTGGTGGTCTGAGCCTTGGAGTTTCCTAGATGGTTACCTTTCTGGAACACATTATATTTGGAGCTAAAAGGGGGAACGCTTAAATTTGTTTCCGTAATTCTGTCCTGTCGACTTCTAAAACTGAGTACCTAAGTTGTCTTGAATTTACCTTCCTGCACCATGTCAGAATAAAAAACGCAGCGAGTGATTTTTTGTTTGTTTGAGACGGAATATCCCTCTGTCGCCCAGGCTGGAGTGCATTCTTCTGCCTCAGCCTCCCGAGTAGCTGGGACTACAGGCGCACGGCACCACGCCCAGCTAAAATTTTTGTATTTTTAGTAGAGACGGGGTTTCACCAATTGGCCAGGCTGGTCTCCAACTCCTGACCTTGTGATGCGCCCGCCTCGGCCTCCCAACGTGCTGGGATTACAGGCGTGAGCCACCGCGCCCGGCCGCGAGAGTGAATTTTTAAAGCAAAACCGAAAGACGGTGTCAGATAAATTGCGGGGGAGGAGGGGATTTTCAAATATTTACTGTCCATTCTTTGAAAATTTGTAAGTGCGAGCCCTGGCGCGGTGGCTCACCCCTGTAATCCCAACACTGGGAGGCCGAGGCGGGTGGATCACGTGAGGTCAGGAGTTCGAGACCAGCCTGGCCAACGTGGTGAAATCCCGTCTCTACTAAAAATACAAAAAATTAGTCGGTCGTGGTGGCGGGCGCCTGTAATCCCAGCTATTCGGGAGGCTAAGGGGGAGAATCGCTTGAAGTCTGGAGGCAGAGGTTGCAATGAGCCAAGATCACTCCATTGCACTCCAGCCTGGGCAACAAGAGCAAAACTCCCTCTCAAAAAGAAAAAAAGAAAATATGTAAGTGCACACTTTGTGCCAAGCCTTTCCTCAAATGAATTAAACATAGGCCTCTCTGCCCTGGAGTCTTAGTTTAGTAGAGAAGATAGTAATCGCTACCGTGGGGGTCGGGGGAGTTGCAGATAGCTATAGAAAAATAGATATGTAAACAGGTAATTCACCATAAAAGAACAATTGGTCATAAAATAAATGTCCATCCTTACTAATCAGATAAAAGGAGTTTAAGATGGTGGCATACTAACCACCAGAGTAACATTTGGTTAAATTTGGGGGAAAACTAGCTCTCTTGCTTTTTACTGCTGAGATAATTTTTGTTTTATTTACTTATTTATTTATTTATTGAGACCGGGTTGCACTCTGTTACCCAGGCTGGAGTGCAGTGGCACGACCTCAGCTCACTGCAACCTCCACCTCCCGATTCTCCCACCTCACCCTCCCCAGTGGCTGGGATTATAGGCACGTGCCACCCCACCACACAGCTAACTTTTGTATTTTTTTGGTAGAGGCAGGGTTTCAGCATATTGGCCAGGCTGGTCTTGAACTCCTGGCCTCAAGTGATCCACCTGCCTCGGCCTCCCAAAATGCTGGATTACAGGCATAAGCCACCGGACCCGGCTTAGTTTCATCTTTCTCTGTATTCTGACAACATTATGACATTACAGTCCAAGAGATATTGGGCTGGTCCTTGTTTGGTCTCTGGTGATTTAGATGAGGCAGGACTGAGCCCCCACGAATGTATTATCTCAAAAAGTTAGTAGCAGCTACTGTGCAAAGTTCGAAGGCCCAAGTCAAATCCTGGGCATATCCACGGATGTGTGGTAGGGCATAGGCTCCAGCTCTCATGCAAAAAAGAACAGGAGTGGGATGAGATAATTTTTTAAAGCTTTCTTCTCCAAGCTCCAGAAATGCAGGCTTTTTGCCCCCACGCATTTTAAAACAGAGCCTTAGGGTCATTGTACCACGTGCTTCCTGTCAGAAAGCCTCTTCCCCCTGATCTTCCGGGGTTGGTATCTTATTGTCATTCTGTTCACACCTTATTTTTAATTTATTTATTTTAGAGACAGGGTCTGGCTTTGTAGCCCAGGCTGAAGTGCAGTCATAGTTCACTGTAACCTTGAATTCCTGTGCTCAAGTGATCCTCATGCCTCAGCCTCGCGTAGCTGGTACTGCAAGTGTGTGCCACCTCATCAGCTAACTTTTTTTTTTTTTTTTTGAAGTCACCGTGTCTCTACAAAAGCCTGCTGCCCAGGCTGGTCTCAAACTCCTGACCTCAAGCGATACTCCAGCCTCAGCCTCCCAAAGCACTAGGATTCCAGGTGTGAGTCACCACACCCAGCTTCTATACATGCCTTAAAAGTCACTTCCTTCCAGTTACAGGGCAATCTAAGTAACACAGTCATCTGATCACTCACATCACCTTACTTTACTTCTCTGCCCAGCAGTTTATCCACTATCTGGTAATTTTCTTTCTTTTTTTTTTTTTTTTGAGACAGAGTCTCACTCTGTTGCCCAGGCTGGAGTGCAGTGGTGCAGTTACAGCTCACTGCAGCCTCAACTTCCCAGGCTCAGGCAATTCTCCTACCTCAGCCTCCTGAGTAGCTGGGACTACAGGCCTACAGGCACACGCCCCCACACCTGGCTAATTTTTGTGTTTTTTGTAGAGTTAGGGGTCTCTGTTGCCCAAGCTGGTCTCAAACCCTGGGCTCAAGTGATCCTCCTTGGTCTCCCAAAGTGCTGGGATTATAGGCATGAGCTATCATACCCAGCCATAATTTTTTTTTTTTTTCTTTTTTTTGAGACGCAGTTTTGCTCTTGTTGCCCAGACTGGAGTGCAATGGCGTGATCTCGGCTCACCACAACCTCCGCCTCCCAGGTTCAAGCAATTCTCCTGCCTCAGCCTCCCCAGTAGCTAGGATTACAGGCATGCACCACCATGTCCAGCTAATTTTTGTATTTTTAGTAGAGACGGGGTTTCTTCATGTTGGTCAGGCTGGTTTTGAATTCCCAACCTCAGGTAATCTGCCCGCCTTGGCCTCCCAAAGTGCTGGGATTACAGGCATGAGCCACTGTGCCCGGCCCATAATTTTCTTTTATTTTTACCTTTATGTTTAGCCCTCTTCATACATACACAGAAATGTGCAAATATAAGCTCTTTGAGAGATGCGACATCTTTGTCTTGTTCATGGCTATAATTAGTACCTGGAAATGCCTGGAATATAGTAAGTGCTCGATAAATATTTATTGAAAAGAAAGTCATGAGCAATAAAATGCTATATAAGAACGTTCACAGCAGCTTTATTTATAATAGCCAAAAAACTGAAGACAGCCCAGGTTTCTATCAAAACAAGAATGGAACTGGTATATTCATATGATGGAATACTACTGAGCAATCAAAAGAAAGTGATACACATGATATCAGATGAAAATATTACCCTGAGTGAAAGAACCCTTACACAAAAATATCTATTGCATGACTCCAACCATATGACGTTCTATAACAAGAAAAATAAGTATGGTGGGGGAAAAAATCAGAACAGTGGTTACCTTTGGGGAGAACTGGTTGGGAACTAAGAAAGGGCATGAAAGAACTTTCTAGGGTGATGGTAACGTTCTATATGTTAATATGGCTTGAGTTCCATAGGCGTGTGCATTTAAAAACTGATGTGTATTTAAGGTATGCATTTCATTTTTACCTTAAAAAATCCTTAATTTGAACTCCAATGATGTGCATTAGAGGTACTTAGAAGCGTACTGTCTGCAGTTTACTTTTAAATGTATGAAAACAGATAGATTGATGAGGTATGTGACAAAGCTGGTAGAGTAAAATTCTGTACTCTCCAGGTCAGTGTTTTTCAACCTCAACACTATCAACATTTTGGACCAGCAAATTTGTTGTTGTCGGGGGATGTCCTGTTCATTGTAGGAAGTTGAGGAACATCCCTGTGCTCTACCTACCCCATGCCAATACCATCCTTCCAGTTGTGACAACCCAAAATGTCTTCAGACACTGCTAAATAGAGGGGAAATCCATCCTTCCCCTTCTCTTGAGGTCTGCTCCACTGTAAAATTCTCTCGACTTCGCTTTACACTTGAATTTTTTCATAATAAATGTTGGAGGAAAAAATAAATTATGACATTGAAAAACGCTCATGAAACACTATGCAGAAGACGTAGTTTATGAAGACCTACAATACATACTGTCGTATTTTTGTTTAAAAAAAAAAAGTGGAGGGGAGACCTAGCAGTGATATTTAGTATTGCTAAATGTCAATGTTTACAAATCTTATCTATGACATTTCTAAAATGAATATTATAAAGTGTATTGCATATAGTTGGATTGGGAAGAAAAACATTTCTAATTATTCTCCTGTCAGCATCTCCTTCAAACTACCCTTTTATTAACAGGGATAGATATGCATTCACACGGTTCCTCCCAGCTTGGTTAATGGGCAAGAACACCTAAGATAGCCAAGGCCACCATGCATCCAGGCTCACATCTCCCTAATTGCCCTCCTCCATGATTCAGGGACAAGGAGGATCACCATCGTGTGGGAAGATACTAGAAATGTAGAATTTGGAACCCCACCCCTACCTACGGAATCCTGATCTGCACTTCAACAGGATCCCCGAACTATTCCTAGGCGCGTTCGAATTTGAGGAACATTAACGGACCAATTCTTTGTCCCTGAAAAGTGCCCGTTATAGAGGCGGCCGCTGGGAAATGACAACGGGGTTGGCATGGAGAGGTATTAAGTAGAAAAACTCCGGCCGGGCACGGTGGCTCAGGCCTGTAATCCCAGCACTGTGGGAGGCCGAGGCCGGTGGATCACCTGAGGTCAGGAGTTCGAGACCAGCCTGGCCAACATGGTGAAACCCCATTTCTACTGAAAAATACAAAAATTATCTGGGCATGGTGGTGGGCGCCTGTAATCCCAGCTACTCGGGAGGCTGAGGCAGGAGAATCGCTTGAACCCAGGAGGCGGAGGCTGCAGTGAGCCGAGATCGCGCCACTGCACTCCAGCTTGAGAGACACAGCGAGACTCCGTCTCAAAAAAAAAAAAAAGGAAGAAAGAAAGAAGAAGAAGAGAACTCTGCGACTGAAAAGTACCTAGCAGGGACAACGCATTCCCTACGTCCTTCCAAGTGCAGACACCAACACCGGCGGACGCGGCTCCCAACAGGCGAGCCCCAGCTTCCGGTCCGCGGCCTTGGACGCGCATGCGCCGCATGCTTTTTTTTTTTTTTTCCGGTAGGTCGCCAGCTGAGGCGGTTTGTAAGTTTTGGGTCGCAGTATGCTAGAATTTTGAGGCTCCCTTCTGATGAAAATTGAGCTGTCCATGCAGCCATGGAACCCGGGTTACAGCAGTGAGGGGGCCACGGCTCAAGGTGAGTCTCGCCTCAGCTAGCGCCAGTGGTGACCGCCACGGGGGTTTCCCACGCTGCAGCGCCCAGTGCAACCCTTTGGGAACGTGCCCGGCATGGCGGCCCCGGTTCCCCTCACTGCATGCGCCCATCGGTCGGCTCGGTCCTCGGCGTTGCTTCCCGGCTTCTGCAGCCCTGCTCCAGCCGGGGACCTCGCCCCGGGGGCAATCAGGGTGCGAGGGCGGCTGCGTGCTGGGCTTTCTTCCTGAGAGCGTCTTGGCTTGGGTCGCGGGGTACCCTGCTCTGTTCTTCAAAAAAAAATCTGCAAGGAAAAGATATTATTCCACTCAGAAATCTCAAGTTTCAGTCTGCGTTCTCTTAAATATATTTTATTTTTTAAAAAAATAATAAAGGCGAGCTCTTACTATGTTACCCAGGCTGATCTTGAACTCCTGGGCTCAAGCAGTCCCCCTTCCTCTGCCTCCCAAAGTGCTGGGATTACAGGCGTGAGCAATCGCGCCCGGCCACAGTCTATTATCTTACAGCATTCGCTGAAATCTTGAATCATAAAATTATCTTGAGGGTTTTTTGGAAGGACTGAAATCTCTTAAGCGAAAATAATTTGGCAGATAAATGACCTGTGACATCACTCCCGTAGTTGTCCGTTCAAGAGTCCCTCCGTCCCGTTCTTCTTTGCTAATCCCATTTCATCTTCGATACCTCCAATTCAATAGCACCCTCTCCCAACTTTACTCACTCCCTGGGAGACTTTAAACAAATATATAGTTCCAAATAAGTGTTGACTCCCAAGATTATATATCTAGCTGAGTCTCTCGTAGACTTCAAAACTATACATCTAACTGCCTGCTAGACCTCTCTATTTAACAGGTGTCTTAGTAGGCACTTCATTACTTGTGTCTAAAACCAAGCTTCAGCTCCCCATGACCATCAACGTCTAAATAAATGGCAGATCCATACTTTCAGTACCTTAAAGCCCCGGAGTCATTCTTCCGTGTCTCATGTAATTCATCTGTAAATCCTGTTGCCTCTGTTCTCTGCATGTATCCAGAACCTGAAGCTCACCAACTTGACCACTATAATCCTATCAAAGCCACCATCATCTCTCCCTAGTTATTGCGGTGTCTATATCTGGTCACCCCACTTTTCCTTTCACTTTTCTCCATAGCAGCAAGTGTGGGGATCTTCATAAGTCAAACCTCTCTTGTAGCTCTTACATGTCAGTCGGGATAAAATTCAAAATTCTGGCCATGCTTTACTAGTCCCAACATAAACTGCCCCACATTTCCTTACTAAACTCTTCTATTCCCCGTGTCCTCAGCTCACTGTGCTCTGGCCAGCTGTTCTAGCACCCTCCTTCCTCAAGGCCTTTGAATATGCTGTTCGCTTTCCCTTGAACACTCTTGGCCAAGAAAAACACATGGCCTCCTTTTTCAGTTCCTTAAAGTCTCTTCCCTACAGTCACCTTAGGAGAAAGGCCTTTCCTGACAATGCTGTGTGCAGTCTCACCCCTGCTGCCTCATTGTTTCCCTTATCCTTGTTTTCTTTTTCAGGTTTCTTCATAGCAGTTATTCACTGGGTACAAAAATTCTTTTTTGTTTTTTTTTGAGACAGTCTTGCTCTGTTGCTCTGGCTGGAGTGCAGAGGTATGATCTTAGCTCACTGCAACCTCCGCCTCCCCAGTTCAAGCGATTCTCCTGCCTCAGCCTCCCTAGTAGCTGGGACTACAGGCGTGGGCGACCACACCTGGCTAATTTTTGTATTTTTAGTAGAGATGGGGTTTCATCATGTTGGCCAGGCTGGTCTCAAACTCCTGACCTTAGGTGATCCGCCCACCTCATCCTCCCAAAGTGCTGGGATTACAGGCGTGAGCCACCACCGCACCTGGGCTGGGCGTATAAATTTGTTTTTGATGTCATGGTATCCTCCCACCAGTAGAGTTGTTTTATTACTTTCATTCATTGTTATCTTAGTGCCAGTGCTTGAACGTAAGTGCTTGAGAAACATTTGTTGAAATGATGACCAATAATAATAATAGTAATAAGCAGCCGGACACGGTGGCTCATGCCTGTAATCCCAGCACTTTGGGAGCCCAGGGCGGGTGGATCATGACGGCAGGAGTTCGAGACCAGCCTGGCCAACGTGGTGAAACCCCGTCTCTACTAAAAAACCCAGAAAGCAGAGGTTGTAGTGAGCCGACTCTGCACTCTGGCCTGGGTGACAGAGCTAGACCCTGTCTCAAAAAAAAAGGTTTTTTTAATTAATAATAATAGTAGCAAGCACGCATATAAAATTTACTGTTGCCAGGCACTTTCCACAAATTCTCATCTAATCATCACAGCAACCCTCTCATCCCAGTTATGGAGTTGGGGAGACTAAAGCACAGATAAATTAAGCCACTTGCCTAAGGTCCTGCAGTTGGTAAGTGGCAGAGCCAGGAGTCGCACCTTGGCAATCTGGTAATAGAATCCAAAAACACTGGTAACAGAGCCACGCCAACAAAAAAACAAAGTAAACCATTTCCTCTAATAACCACCCAAGTAGTTGTTTTTTATGTTTCTCAACTCCAAAACAGACCAGCAAATATGTATATGGAATTCCAATAAGTCCAGGGATTTTAAGTATGTATGAGGATTTTGTTTAAAAAAAAAAAGGCCGGGAGCAGTGGCTCATGCCTGTAATCCCAGCACTCTGGGAGGCCAAGGCGGGTGAATCACCTGAGGTCGGGAGTTTGAGACTAGCCCAACTGACATGGTGTAACTCCATCTCTACTAAATACAAAAAATTAGCTGGGTGTGGTGGCGCATGCCTGTAATCCTAGCTACTTGGGAGGCTGAGGCAGGAGAATCGCTTGAACCTGGGAGGTGGAGATTGCAGTGAGCCGAGATTGCACCATTTCACTCCAGCCTGGGCAACAAGAGCGAAACTCCGTCTCAAAAAAATAAATAAATAAAAAATCGGAAAAAAAACAAAAGAAAACATTGCGATTAAAGGAGGGAGGAATATTTGCAGTTCCAACAGTTATTAGAAGAGGAAAACTTCAAATTAAACATGAATAGACATATTAATAAATATATGTTAATATATGTATAAATATTATCAAGGCTACCCACCATCTTTTATGATACTTTAAATGCTTATATTTAAACTACTTAAATTCAGGTAACTACATGGCAAAATAAGGAATCCTGCTCTGTTCTGTGGAGAGGAGGGCTAATGTCATTTGGCCTGGAAAAACATGTTCTGGAGTCAGACAGAATACTGAACACCCCTCTTGGAAATTCACAGTTTAAGACTCTGAGAAGTCACAAATAAGAATTGTGCCCATATAGTCTCTCGCCTAATTAGGATTGCTTTTGTCTAGGATAAATACCTAAACCATATGGGGCTGGGCATGGTGGCTCACGCCTGTAATCCCAGCACTTTGGAAGGCCAGGGTAGGTAGATCACCTGAGGTCAGGAGTTTGAGACCAGCCTGGCCAACATGATAAAACCCTTTCTCTACTAAAAATACAAAAAATTAGCTGGGCGTGGTGGCGAACACCTGTAATCCCAGCTATTCGGGAGGCTGAGGCAAGAGAATCACTTGAACCCAGGAGGCGGAGGTTGTGGTGAGCCAAGATTGTGCCATTGCACTCCAGCCTGGGCAACAAGAGCAAAACTCCATCTCAAAAAAAAAAAAAAAAAAGACTAGGTGTGGCGGCTCACACCTGTAATCACAGCACTTTGGGAGGCCAACGCGGGTGGATCACAAGGTCAGGATTTCGAGACCAGCCTGCCCAACATGGTGAAACCCCATCTCTACTAAAAATACAAAAATTAGCTGGGCGTAGTGGTGTGCGCCTGTAATCCCAGCTACGCAGGAGGCTGAGGCAGGAGAATTGCTTGAACCTGGGAGGTGGAGGTTGCAATAAGCCAAGATTGCACCATTGTACTCCAGCCTGGGTGACAAAGTGAGACTCCCATCTCAAAAAAAAAAAAAAAAAAAAAAACGCATCATAATCAAACTTCTGAAAACCAAAGACAATGAAAAATTCTTAAAATTAGTGACAAAAATGAACCTTATCTGTAAAGGAAAACAATTCAAATGAGAGTGATTTCTCATCAGTCACCAGAGAGGCTAGGTGAAGAGGCACAGCATTTTTCAATTGTTGAAAGTAAAAACCTGTTAAGCCAGAATACTGCATCCAGTGAAAATATTCTGCAGAAATGAAGGGGAAATCAAGACATTCTAAGATGAAGGAAATCTAGGAGATTTGTCACCAGCAGACCTATCCTAAAAGAATGGTTAAAATAGGTTCTCTAAACAGAAAAGAAATAATAAAAGAATTATTATTAAAGAAATATAATTTAGACCTATTTTATTTTACTTTATTTATTTTTATTTTTTTATTTTTAGAAGGAGTCTCGCTCTGCCGCCCAGGCTGGAGTGCAGTGGCTGTATCTCGGCTCACTGAAAGCTCTGCCTCCTGGGTTCACGCCATTCTCCTGCCTCAGCCTCCTGAGTAGCTGGGACTACAGGTGCCCGCCACCACGCCCGGCTAATTTTTTGTATTTTTAGTAGAGATGGGGTTTCACCATGTTAGCCAGGATGGTCTTGATCTCCTGACCTCATGATCTGCCTGCCTTGGCCTCCCAAAGTGCTGGGATTACAGGCGTGAGCCACTGCGCCAGGCCATTTAGACCTATTTTAGGACTGTTAAGACTGAGATGGTCTCTGCTGTGGTTTAATGTGTGCCCCAAAGTTCATGTGTTAGAAGCTTTATCCCAAAGCAATAGAGTTGAGTGGTGGGACCTTTCAGAGGTGATTAAGTGATATGCAGGGATATAACAAAAAATGTAACATTCCTGTCATCAGCATTTCAGAAGAAGAGAAAGAAGGCAGGGTTGAAAAAGTTCCCAAAGAACAGGGCCCTCACAAATGGATTAATGGTGTTACTGCAGGAGTGGGTTAGTTATTGTGGGAGTGGGTTCCTGATAAAAGCATGCATTTGGCCCCTTCATCTCTCTTGCACTTGCTCTCATTCTCTCTTGCCCTCTGCCTTCCGCCATGGGATGACTCAGTAAGAATGCCCTTGCAAAATGCAGGCACCATTCTCTTGGATTTCCCTGCTTCCAGAACAATAAGCCAAATAAATTTCTCTTCATCGTAAACTACCCAGTCTCAGGTAGTCTGTTATCGTAACAGAAAATGAACTAATATAACATCCAATAGAAATATACAGATATAGTTAAATTTACAAATATGGGGCTCGAGAATTTGGAACATCCTAAGAATTTGAGAATTGTGAACATTTAATATTCAGTAATACTTGGTACCATGAGACAATAGAGAAGATAAAGATGTCCTCAACCAAACCTTAAGGGATGCTAACATTTTAAAGATCTTGCTTGGCAGTAGTATGGTATGGCATATAAATTATACCTCATTAAAGCTATTAAAAAAACTACTGAAGGGAAAATTCTACGTTATAAACATATCGTCTTTTTCTGTATTAATCTTTAATTTCTTTTTTTTTTTTTTTTTTGAGACGGAGTCTCACTCTGTCGCCCAGGCTGGAGTGCAGTGGCGCGATCTCGGCTCACTGCAAGCTCCGCCTCCCGAGTTCACGCCATTCTCCTGCCTCAGCCTCCCGAGTAGCTGGGACTACAGGCGCCGGCCACCACGCCCGGCTAATTTTTTGTGTTTTTAGTAGAGGTGGGGTTTCACTGTGTTAGCCAGGATGGTCTGGATCTCCTGACCTCATGATCCGCCCGCCTCTGCCTCCCAAAGTGTTGGGATTACAGGCGTGAGCTACCGCGCCAGGCCTAATCTTTAATTTCAATGCAATTACCATTTTTTCTTGTTTTCAAAACTTAACAAAATTATTCTAATGTTTATATGTGAGAAAAGCCAGGAAATACCAAAAAAGAATTCTAGAAAAGAAGAGTGATGGCTATGAAGAGACAGAGTAGGAGCAATTTACTAACCCATCATAGTGATTTCAAGAGTTGAGTATTAGTTAGCTGGGTATGGTGGTAGCATGACTGTAGTCCCAGATACTTGGGAGGCTGAGACAGGAGGATTGCTTGAGCCTAGGAGTTCGAGGCTGCAACGAGCTATAATCGCACCACTGCACTCCAGCCTGGGTGACAGAGTGAGACTCTGTCTCAAAAAAAAAAAAAAAAAGAGTATTAGGACATGATATTATAGACAGATCAATATAACAAAATGGAGAATCCAGAAAAAGACTCAAATACATATAGGCACTTAACATATGTTGAAAGAAACATTTCAAATTTATTATAAGATGTACTGGTAAAAATGGCTAGTTAACTGGAAAAAAAAAATAAGCTGGAAACTTCCGTCACCTTTTAAAGTGAAGTATATCCCAGATGGATCAAATATTTAAATGCAGAAATTGAAAATGTATTCCAAATAGAAAATAGAAGACTTTTTTTTTTTTAATTGATCATTCTTGGGTGTTTCTCGCAGAGGGGGATTGGGCATGGTCACAGGACAATAGTGGAGGGAAGGTCAGCAGATAAACAAGTGAACAAAGGTCTCTGGTTTTCCTAGGCAGAGGACCCTGCGGCCTTCCGCAGTGTTTGTGTCCCTGGGTACTTGAGATTAGGGAGTGGTGATGACTCTTAAGGAGCATGCTGCCTTCAAGCATCTGTTTAACAAAGCACATCTTGCACCGCCCTTAATCCATTCAACCCTGAGTGGATACAGCACATGTTTCAGAGAGCACAGGGTTGGGGGTAAGGTCACAGATCTACAGGATCCCAAGGCAGAAGAATTTTTCTTAGTACAGAACAAAATGAAAAGTCTCCCATGTCTACCTCTTTCTACACAGACACAGCAACCATCCGATTTCTCAATCTTTTCCCCACCTTTCCCCCCTTTCTATTCCACAAAACCGCCATTGTCATCATGGCCCGTTCTCAGTGAGCTGTTGGGTACACCACCCAGACCGGGTGGTGGCCGGGCAGAGGGGCTCCTCACTTCCCAGTAGGGGCGGCCGGGCAGAGGCGCCCCTCACCTCCCGGGGGGGGGCTGACCACCCCCACCTCCCTCCCGGACGGGGCGGCTGGCCGGGCGGGGGGCTGACCCCCCAACCTCCCTCCCGGACGGGGCGGCTGGCCGGGCAGAGGGGCTCCTCACTTCCCAGTAGGGGCGGCCGGGCAGAGGCGCCCCTCACCTCCCGGACAGGGCGGCTGGCCGGGCGGGGGGCTGACCCCCCCACCTCCCTCCCGGACGGCGCGGCTGGCCGGGTCGGGGGCTGACCCCCCCACCTCCCTCCCGGATGGGGCGGCTGGCCAGGCGGGGGGCTGACCCCCCAACCTCCCTCCCGGACGGGGCGGCTGGCCGGGCAGAGGGGCTCCTCACTTCCCAGTAGGGGCGGCCGGGCAGAGGCGCCCCTCACCTCCCAGACGGGGCGGCTGGCCGGGCGGGGGGCTGACCCCCCCACCTCCCTCCCGGACGGGGCGGCTGGCCGGGCAGAGGGGCTCCTCACTTCCCAGTAGGGGCGGCCGGGCAGAGGCGCCCCTCACCTCCCGGACGGGGCGGCTGGCCGGGCGGGGGGCTGACCCCCCCACCTCCCTCCCGGACGGGGCGGCTGGCCGGGTGGGGGGCTGACCCCCCCCACCTCCCTCCCGGAAGGGGCGGCTGGCCGGGCGGGGGGCTGACCCCCCCCCACCTCCCTTCCGGACGAGGTGGCTGCCGGGTAGAGACGCTCCTCACTTCCCAGACGGGGTGGCTGCTGGGCGGAGGGGCTCCTCACTTCTCAGACCCAGCGGCTGCCGGGCGGAGGGGCTCCTCACTTCTCAGACGGGGTGGTTGCCAGGCAGAGGGTCTCCTCACTTCTCAGACCGGGTGGCCGGGCAGAGACGCTCCTCGCATCCCGGACGGGGCGGCAGGGCAGAGGTGCTCCCCACATCTCAGACGATGGGCGGCCGGGCAGAGACGCTCCTCACTTCCCACATGGGATGGCGGCTGGGAAGAGGCGCTCCTCACTTCCTAGATGGCAGGGCGGCTGGGCAGAGACGCTCCTCACTTTCCAGACTAGGCAGCCAGGCAGAGGGGCTCCTCACATCCCAGACGATGGGTGGCCGGGCAGAGACGCTCCTCACTTCCCAGACGGGGTGGCGGCCGGGCAGAGGCTGCAATCTCGGCACTTTGGGAGGCCAAGGCAGGCTGCTGGGAGGTGGAGGTTGTAGCGAGCCGAGATCACGCCACTGCACTCCAGCCTGGGCACCATTGAGCACTGAGTGAACCAGACTCCGTCTGCAATCCCCGCATCTCGGGAGGCCGAGGCTGGCGGATCACTCGCGGTTAGGAGCTGGAGACCAGCCCGGCCAACACAGCGAAACCCCGTCTCCACCAAAAAAATACGAAAACCAGTCAGGGGTGGCGGCGCGCGCCTGCAATCGCAGGCACTCGGCAGGCTGAGGCAGGAGAATCAGGCAGGGAGGTTGCAGTGAGCCGAGATGGCAGCAGTACCGTCCAGCTTCGGCTCGGAATCAGAGGGAGACCGTGGAAAGAGAGGGAGAGGGAGACCATGGGGAGACGGGAGAGGGAGAGGGAGAGGGTTTTTTTTGGTTTTTTTTTTTTATTTTTATTTTTTGAGACGGAGTTTCACTCTTTTTGCCCAGGCTGGAGTGCAATGGCACGATCTCAACTCACTGCAACCTCTGACTCCCAGGTTCCAGTGATTCTGTCTCAGCCTCCCAAGTAGCTGGGACTTCAGGCACGCACCAACACACCCGGGTAATTTTGTTGTATTTTTTAGTAGAGACAGGGTTTCGTTATGTTACCCAGGCTGATCTAAAACTCCTGGACTCAAGCTATCCACCCTCCTTGGCCTCCCCAAGTGGTGGGATTACAGGTGTGAGCCACCGTGCTAGGCCAAAAGGAACTATGTATTAAGAATTTTCTTTTAAAGAAAAGAAGCAGGGGACTGAGTACAATTGTAAATTTCTGTTCTGTATGGCAACTTTCTGGAAAGTAACTTGGCAATATCTATCAAAATTTAAAATGTACATGTTGATACAACAATCCACCTCTGTAAGTTTATTATTGAATACACAGTATTCAGTTTACCATACTATATATATAAAAAGACCTTGCATTATAGGATTGTTCATATTAGTAAAAATGTGGAAACAACCCAAGTGTCCATCAATAGGTAAAGAATTAAATAAGTTATGGCATATCTACATGATTCAGTATAACAGCCGACAGTTACAAAGAATGAGGTAGATCACTATATGTTGACAGTGAATAGATCTACAAAATATATTTGGTGGGGAGGGAGATAGGAAATAGGAGGAAAAAGTATATATTATCCCCTTTGGATTTAAATATGTATACTGTATATATCTCACATTGTACATATTTATACATTATACCAGCATTTTTCACATATATATATGTATAATGCTTAAGATGTTTTAATGTTAACAGGGGTGACTTAAGCTACAGGACAATTAACACTTATTTTCTCTTTATGTTCCTCTGCTTCTTAAAAACTAATAAATAGGCCGGGCGCAGTGGCTCACACCTGTAATCCCAGCACTTTGGGAGGCCGAGGCGGGCGGATCATGAGGTCAGGAGATCAAGACCATCCTGGCTAACACGGTGAAACCCCATCTCTACTAAAAATACAAAAAATTAACCGGGTGTGGTGTTGGGCGCCTGTAGTCCCAGCTATTTGGGAGGCTGAGGCAGGAGAATGGCGTGAACGCGCCGAGGTGGAGCTTGCAGTGAACCAAGATTGCGCCACTGCACTACAGCCTGGGTGACAGAGCGAGACTCCGTTTCAAAAAAAAAAAAAAAAAAACTAATAAATGCCATGCACAGTGGCTCATACCTGTAATGCTAGCACTTTGGGAGGCCAAGGCAGGAGGATTGCTTGAGCCCAGGAGGTCAAGACCAGTCTGGACAACATAGCAAGACCTTGTTTCTACAAATAAAAAATGAAGCCGGGCGTGGCAGTGCATACCTGTGGTCCTAGCTACTCAGAAGTCTGAGGTGGGAGGATTGCTTGGGCGTGGGAGGTTGAGGTTGCAGTGAGCGGGGATCATGCCACTGCACTCCAGCTGTGGTGACAGAGCTAGACCCTGTCTCAAAAAAACCTAATAAACATTAATATTTACTTAAAAAGAAGAAATTGACCATCCACGTAACCAAACTCTCTGACTGACTTTGTTCATTCTAGGTTTCCAGTGTAACCAGTCATATCCTCTCTTCTGGCTACATTATTGATACAGCTTTTTGACTACATAATTGGTTTACTTTGATGAAATTGCCCATTATGGTAGCTCAAGTTGTCCACTCAACTATCTAGACACAGAAGAATGTGGTGTCTACTTACTATTAAGAGTTTTTTTGTGTTTGTTTTTTTATAGATGGTCTCAGTATGTTGCTCAGGCTGGTCTTAGCATAGGACTTAGCATATTATATCTGAAAGTAGAGTAATAGGGAAAGAGACTAATTAAATTGTACAATTTATGAAGAAACCAAGTACAATTTTAGTAAGTACACATGTTGATGTATTCATTTCTTCCAAGATTGCATATGTAAATTGTCTCTCTTATCTTTACCTCCTTAGAAACTTACACATGTCCAAAAATGATTGAGATGGAGCAGGCGGAGGCCCAGCTTGCTGAGTTAGACCTGCTAGCCAGTATGTTCCCTGGTGAGAATGAGCTCATAGTGAATGACCAGCTGGCTGTAGCAGAACTGAAAGATTGTATTGAAAAGAAGACAATGGAGGGGCGATCTTCAAAAGTCTACTTTACTATCAATATGAACCTGGATGTATCTGACGAAAAAATGGTAATTCAGTTTTGCTTTTAGAGGGATTGAAACATGTTGAGACTTAAAACATTGGTTAGTGCACTTTTTCTTCTTCTCTTTAATCAGGCGATGTTTTCTCTGGCCTGTATTCTTCCCTTTAAATACCCGGCAGTTCTGCCTGAAATTACTGTCAGGTACGTTACAGAAGCTCTGGCCAACTTTGGAGGTCAAAATTAATCTGAGAATAAAAGCAATTCTCGAATTTGTTTTCTGTTCCAAGACAATATTTTTCTTGTATCTTTTCTATTAGATCAGTATTATTGAGTAGATCCCAGCAGACTCAGCTGAACACAGATCTGACTGCATTCCTGCAAAAACATTGTCATGGAGATGTTTGTATACTGAATGCCACAGAGTG
The DNA here is from genome assembly GCF_000001405.40 of Homo sapiens. Taxonomy (NCBI): domain Eukaryota; kingdom Metazoa; phylum Chordata; class Mammalia; order Primates; family Hominidae; genus Homo; species Homo sapiens. Next base: position 98,749 of record NW_025791813.1, on the reverse strand, counting down.
GGTTAGAGAACACGCCTCTGGCTATGTCAGCAGAGATACTTCATCTTCACCCACCACAGGAAGCACAGTCCAGTCAGTTGACCTCATCTTCACGAGACTCTGGATCTACAGCCATCATATCTATAACAAATGCAAAAGAAAGAATATTCTAGAGTGGGCAAAGGAGCTTTCCCTGTCTGGGTTTAGCATGCCTGGAAAACCTGGTGTTGTTTGTGTGGAAGGCCCACAAAGTGCCTGTGAAGAATTCTGGTCAAGGTTTGCTTTTACATATGTATATGAAGTCATGTCAATAATGTTAATACTAAACAAGATACAGTCATGTGCTGCCTAGTGACGTTTTGGTCAACAGTGGACAACACATAAAACAGTGATGCCATAAGATTATAATGGAGCACATATAGAAACCTGATATATGGCACTTGATCTTCCCACTATTGAATATCAGAATGATATTCAGTAATGGTGCTGGGACATTTGGTTTTCTATATGAAAAAATATAAATGCAAAAAAAGTACCATCTAGGTTTGTGTAAGTACACTCTGTCGTGGTGGTACAACAACAAAATAGCCTAAAGATACATTTCTCAGAATGTATCCCCGTTGTTAAGCAACACATGACTATTAGAGATGTGGAGATAAGTATGTCCCAGGGGTTGTGTCTTTATGGGGATTCAATCTCAAGTTGATGGATATGGCAGAAATCACATGTAGTCAGCATTTTCCCCGTCACCTGACAAGTGCATGTAGGAGACATTCTGTAAATATGCACTGAATGAATTGAGCTCCTGCCCCAGACACTATGACCCCATCCACTTCCATGGATCTGGTCCTTCCCTCATTTTAGTGATGCTGCAAACTGTATACCCTGTGAAGTAAGGAGCTTTCTAGAAGCATTAGAATTGCCACTAGTCTCATTTCTCTACTGATATACTAAATGAATTTCTGAGAAGGTCCATAGTAGTTTGGGATTCAGTAATTCCTACATTTCTAAACTACTGATACATGGCTGTAGTAAGGGCAACAAATGAGTTCAGAGATGAGATTATGACCAGAATCATATTTGATTAAAATAAATCCCTGTGAGATAAAAGTAGACTTCTTGGACGGGGTGTGTATGACTCACACCTGTAATCCCAGCACTTTGGGAGGCTGAGGCCAGAGTATCACTTGCAGCCAGGAGTTTGAAACCAGCATGAGCAACATAGCAAGACCTGCCTCTACTAAATCAATAAGTAAAAGTTATAAACATTTTAAAAAGTAGACTACTTCTAGGAAAAGGCATTGATAAATCTGTTTTATAACTTCTGTTTTAAATGCTCTAGAATATACATTTTGAAAATGTTTACTTTGGAAATTTCTTTTCAGACTCAGAAAATTAAACTGGAAGAGAATTTTAATTCGCCATCGAGAAGACATTCCTTTTGATGGTACAAATGATGAAACGGAAAGACAAAGGAAATTTTCCATTTTTGAAGAAAAAGTGTTCAGTGTTAATGGAGCCAGGGGAAACCACATGGACTTTGGTCAGCTCTATCAGTTCTTAAACACCAAAGGATGTGGGGATGTTTTCCAGATGTTCTTTGGTGTAGAAGGACAATGACATCAAGAGTAGTTGAAAGTATCTTGCCACTGTTGGCCTTTTGATTTTTTTTTCCCACTTTTTCTTGAAAGATTAAGTAATTTTATTTTAGTTCCATTCTAGAATGTTGGGGAGTGGGGCACAAGAAAAAATAGTATAGCTGAAATGCATCTGTTAAAAATGTCATGATTGAAAGCAGAACTGAGTTTCAAATTACAACCTTAAAATTGTTGTTAGATATTTCTTCACATATCAGCTGCCCATTTTGAAAAAGAAATTATCCATAAAGGTAATGTTGGTGCTCCAATTTGCCAGCCATTCCCAACCCCCTTCTCCCTTACCTGCCTTCACTAAAGAACCCAGAAAAGCTAATTGCTCCCCTTTCAGCCTCTGTTGCAACTAACAACTCTCAGTGGCCTCAGGACACAGCTTTGGCCTTGGGAATTCTGGGAAAACTTTTACTTCCTGATTAAAGATACATATGCAGCTAGGCCACCTCCTCCCCCCCTTACTGCCATAAACACCAAAGTGATGACTGGAGCTGGAGGAGTTATTTGAACCACGACGAAGGGCCAAGAGAACCACGAAGATGCCAGTTGCCACATTGTTGAGCTGCTGACCCAACACCAGCCATTGCCTGTCTCTAAACATCTTATGAAATAAAACCAGTTTTGTTTAATTTCTAGGCTTTTTTTTTAAATAGACGGAGTCTTGCTCTGTCGCCCGGGCTAGAGTGCAATGGTGCAACCTCCGCTCACTGCAACCTCCGCCTCCCAAGTTCAAGCGATTCTCCTGCCTCAGCCTCCCAAGTAGCTGAGATTACAGGCGCCCGCCACCATGCCTGGCTAATTTTTGTGTTTTTTAGTAGAGACAGGGTGTCACCATTTTGGCCAGGCTGGTCTTGAACTCCTGACCTCAGGTGATCCTCCCACCTCGGCTTCCCAATGTGCTTGGATTACAGGCATAAGCCACCGTGCCTGGCCAATATCTAGGCTTTTTACTAGCAGTTGAAAGCTAGTTTGTCAAATAGAGTTTTTCAGAGCTTTAGTTTTGCATTTACCCCAGCCTTTTGATACACAAATAGGTGAAGTTTTTCTGAAGTGGAGTTTGCAGTTCCCCACTTTTTGTATACTCACGCTCTGCCCCTGCTCCTGGGCTTGCCTCAGACAAGGCTGAGGCATTAGTAGGGCTTAAACTTTTTTAACAAGCCTCAACAATTCATCAAATTAGTAATTTAGAAAATTTGTTTGGCAAATTGTATTCTGACATTTTTTGTTCTGGAAATGGCTTTCTGTACATTTATTTTTGCCAAATTGACCTAGCATTAAATAAACACACCACCCAGTTTTTGAGGACCTCCATAAACCAGTTAGTTCCAAAAGCATTTATTATTTGCTAATTTGCTAGCATGCAGGTTGATGCAGGTTGATACCAGGTGTTGGATATTTCTTGACCAGTCAGACTTGGTTAAGGAATGGAGTTGGGGTGAGAGACAATGCATTAAGTTAGTAAAAGGTTGTAGGCAAACTATGCTTATCACAAAATGAATCAGTTAGTAAAAGACAGCATATATTATGTAATACAATGTAGAAATCTGAAGGAATAAAATGGAAGAAGGCAATGTGGATAGATCTTAAATATAAAGGTGGTTAAACATAAATGAGAATCAGAATGGTATTTAAAGCACAGTGCTTGTATTGGACCTAAATCTTATGTACGTCCCCAGATTTCCTCCCTGCTGCCCTGTCCTATCGCCCCGTCAGTTGCCCTGGAAATCCCAGTTCCTCTGCTGCCACCAGACAGCCAGGTGGACCAGTTGTGTGTCTAGTTTCTGATTCCTCCAGCGACTAACAGATTTGTATGAAATACCCTACAGAGAATGGAATCTGACATCCCTACCACCAAAGGGGGCAGATGATGCATATATTACTTTAAGCAGCTAAAGTGGCAGCTAAACTGCTAAAACTTTTTCAGTCTCTCTACATTATATTAAAAACCAGATTGCTATGTATAATATGCAGATCTCAAATGTCACATAAACACATAGAATGCAACAGAGTAGTTTTATAAGTTTTCTTTCCTGGGACATCTGTCAAATTTAGACATTTATGATTAAGTCATATAAGCCAGGGAAGTACAGATTTTCCAATCTTGTGATGACCAACTTCCTTTGAGAATGGATAAATGTAGTTAAATGTTAGAAATGTTAGAGTATAAACAATATAGCTTTCTTAGGTTTCTTTCTCTTTTTTTTTTTCTGGAGACAGAATCTGGATCTGTCACCCAGGCTGGAGTGCAGTGGCGCAATCTTGGCTTACTGCAACCTCCGCCGCCTGGGGTTCAAGCGATTCTCCCACCTCATTCTCCCGAGTAGCTGAGATTACAGGTGCGTGCTACCACGCTCGCTATTTTTTGTATTTTTAGTAGAGACAGGGATTCACTATGTTGGCCAGGCTGGTCTTGAAGTCTTGACCTCAGATGATCCACCTGCCTCAGCCTCTCAAAGTGCTGGAATTACAGGCGTGAGCCACCGCGCCCTGCCCAGTTTCTGCCAATGATTATATACTTGATATATAAACATCCTTAAATATAAAATGTTCCGTATGATTGCACATAAAAAATTTGTTCAGCAACGACAATTTGTCAACATATTAATGTAATAAATAGTTTGAACTGGAATCACCTATAAAAAATGATAAATCCTGGAAAGAAACCGTTTCAAGTCAAATTATGTTTAAAAGTTACATTTTTCTAAAGAAAACAAGTATAGGCAGGGAATACTGGCCACATGCCTTGTTTTTTTTTTTTTTTTTTTTTTTTTTTTTTTTTTTTAAGACGAAGTCTCGCTCTGTAGCCCAGGCTGGAGTGCGAGTGCGGTGGCGTGATCTAGGCTCACCACAACCTCTGCCTCCCAGGTTCAAGCAATTCTTCCTCAGCCTCCGGAGTAGCTGGGATTGCAGGCGCGCGCCACTGCACCCCGCTAATTTTTGTATTTTTAGTAGAGAGGTAGGTTTCACCATGTTAGCCTGGCTGCTCTTGAACTCCCGACCTCAGGTAATCCGCCCGCCTCGGCCTCCCAAAGTGCTATTTATTTATTTATTATTATTATTATTAAGAAAGATGCGTATCAGGGAAACTAAAAAAGACAGACTATGGGTGAAATTCCATAAAAGCGGCAATGCAGCCAAGGTTTAAAGGTATTTAAGGGCAGACGCAGAAATTACGTTCCCGCCCCACCCCACCCCCCCAGCGATAATTAGAACTACTTGGGAAAACTAAGTCCATAAAAACTCAGCAAAGGGGCACCACGAGCCTTCCACTTTAACACAATCTGCCAATCTGAAGCCATCAGATCCGGGAAGGGATGTAGGTCGTAATGTCCTTTGCCATCCCTGCGAGGGACAGAGCTGGGCGAGGAAAGATTCCAGATCAGCTTGGAAGTGTCTCCTGGCTGCCTACAGACACCCGGGTATCGCAAGGCGCCCAGATGCTCTGGGGCTGTCATTGACAGCTAGGCTTTCTCTTGTGACCGCGGCAGCTCCCGAGCACTCGCAGGCCTCACACGCAGCCTAAGAGTGCGGAGTGAAGCTCGCTATGCTTCGCGCGTGCGCCTTCCTGGGCCGGGGTGACCCGGAAGCACTAGCTCGTAAGTTGCCGGGATGCTGTGAGCACGGGGACTTATGAGCAGGTCGCGTCACTGCAGCTGCGAGCGCTGCGTTTCGGATTTCGGCAATAGCTTCCGACCCCGGGCTTGAGTCCTAAGCTGCGGACTCGCCTCCCCAGTGGGCATCTCGCAGGCCAGCCAGATGCTGCTTTGGGGCGGAGTTGGACTTTTTATTTTTTTGTTGTTGTTGACGCTTATTATCTTTTGGAAAAACAGGCATAGATCCCCATTCTCGGGACTTCCCAGATGTTGCTGCAACTGGGGGATTAGAGGAATGGTGCACCCTGGGACCCAGGTGGTGCCTTCGAAGTCCAGGGTGTTCCTCGATTTTAACCAGGGAATTACCGAAATGGAGGGTTTTTTCCCCACTGGGGCATTTGGCTTTTCAGATTTTGTAAACCTGCTTTCCCTTGTTCCTCCCACCAACAAATTATATATATTATTTATATGTTATATATAACGTATTACATATATGTATTATATATATGATTACACATAATATGTATCATTATAGGAAGAGTAGAAATAACTGGATTTTAAAGTCACCCACAATCCTGTGTCCAAAAAGACAATATTAAATTTTGGTTTTACATTTTATTTTCTAGTATCTTATTTTTGCATGTGTGTATATGCGGGGTTTTCTTTAAAAAAAAAAAAAACAAATTAGGCCGGGTGCGGCGGCTCACGCCTGTAATCTCACCACTTTGGGAGGCCAAGGTGGGTGGATCACCTGAGGTCAGGAGTTCGAGACCAGCCTGGCCAACATGGTGAAACCCTGTCTGTACCAAAAATACAAAAAATTAGCCAGGTGTGGTGGCAGGCGCCTGTAATCCCAGCTCCTCGGGAGGCTGAGGCAGGAGAATCGCTTGAACCCGGAAGGCAGAGGTTGCAGTGAGCCAAGATCACGCCACTGCACTCTAACCTGGGTGACACAGCGAGACTCCTTCTAAAAAAAGAAAAGGTGCAGCAATGACTAGCCTTGTGCATTCATTTTTCTCCCCCCCATCTTTAACACTTATTTCTTTAACAGAATTATGGAGCGACTATAATTGAAGATGGAAGTTTCGTGGGAAGGGATATTCAACATAGTTAACAACCAATATGACCTGATCACCATCCATTGGAATAGCCATATGTCTAGGGCTGGAATGGGGTTTTAGAAGCCTGATAAATCAGCAATTCACACTTTAGCCAGGAATCAGGGGGAGGTCAGAAACATCCTAGGGAAATGGGAAGGGCAATGAAAGAACATTTCAGAGGGTATCAGAGAATTTTACTATTCTAACACCCATTTAGTTAAACGTGTATAATAATCATCAGCCCAATTTGTATGTTTGCTATTGAAAAGATAAGGATTATAATCTGATTATCTTGTCCTCTTGTGTCCAGAATTGGTGGGTTCTTGGTCTCACTGACTTCAAGAATGAAGCCTCGGACCCTCATGGTGAGTGTTACAGCTCTTAAGATGGCACGTCTGGAGTTTGTTCCTTCTGATGTTTGGATGTGTTGAGAGTTTCTTCCTCCTGGTGGGCTCGTGGTCTCGCTGGCTCAAGAGTGAAGCTGCAGACCTTCGCAGTGAGTGTTACAGCTCTTAAGGCAGTGTGTCTGGAGTTGTTCGTTCCTCCTGGTGGGCTCCTGGTCTTGCTGGCTTCAGGAGTGAAGCTGCAGACTTTCGTGGTGAGTGTTACAGCTCATAAAAGCAGTGTGGACCCAAAGAGTGAGCAGTAGCAAGATTTATTGCAAACAGAAAAAAAAACAAAGCTTCTACAGTATGTAAAGGAACCAGAGCAGGTTGTCACTGCTTGCTCGGGCAGCCTGCTTTTATTCTCTTATCTGGCCCCACCCACATCCTGCTGATTGGTCCATTTTACAGAGAGCTGAGTGGTCTGTTTTGACAGGGTGCTGATTGGTGCATTTACAATCCCTGAGCTAGACACAAAGTTTCTCCACCTCCCCACTAGATTAGCTAGGTACATCCACACAAAGGTTCTCCAAGTCCCCACCAGAGTAGCTAGATACAGAGTGTCGATTGGTGCATTCGCAAACCCTGAGCTAGACACAGGGTGCTGATTGGTGTGTTTACAAACCTTGAGCTAGATACAGAGTGCCGATTGGTGTATTTACAATCCCTGAGCTAGACATAAAGGTTCTCCGCGTCCCCACCAGACTCAGGAGCCCAGCGGGCTTCATCCAGTGGATCCCGTACCCGGGTTGCAGGTGGAGCTGCTTGCCAGTCCCCCGCCGTGTGCCCGCACTCCTCAGCCCTTGGGTGGTCGATGGGACTGGGAGCCGTGGAGTAGGGGGTGGCGCTTGTCGGGGAGGCTCAGGCTGCACAGGAGCCACGGAAGCGGGGAGGGGAGGCTCAGGCATGGCGGGCTGCAGGTCCCGCGCCTTGCCCCGCGGGAAGGCAGCTAAGGCCCGGCGAGAAATTGAGCACAGCAGCTGCTGGCCCAGGTGCTAAGCCCCTCACTGCCCCGGGCCGGCGGGGCGGGCAGGCAGGCCGCTCAGAGCGCAGGGTCCGCCGAGCCCACGCCCACCCGGAACTCACGCTGGTCCGCAAGCACCGCGCGCAGCCCGGGTTCCCGCCTGCGCCTCTCCCTCCACACCTCCCCGCAAGCTGAGGGAGCGGGCTCCGGCCTTGGCCAGCCCAGAAAGGGGCTCCCACAGTGCAGCGGCGGGCTGAAGGGCTCCACAAGTGCTGCCAAAGTGGGACCCCAGGCAGAGGAGGCGCCGAGAGCGAGCCAGGGCTGTGAGGACTGCCAGCACGCTGTCACCTCTCACTGTGAAATTGGAGGAAAACTCATCTGTTGAAGTCAAGGAGGAAGGTAGAATGATCAGAGTTTTGAAGAAGTGTTCAAATAATTAATTGCTGGGAGTCCTAAGACATTACGGAAGTATGGTACATTTGTTGGGCTGTATTGAAGACACAACTAAGGTATGGGATAATTAATTCTTAGTGGTCTAAAGCTTGTGTTGACTAAATTGTTTGTTTTCCAGGTAGTGTTCAACTTTTCTCTGGAAAAAAAAAAGCTGAAAACAAATAATTGGCTTTGTGTAGTGTTTGGTTTCTCCAGATGAATAGGCTGAAAGAGCAGATGTACAAGAGACTTCGTGGTATTGGCAAGAGAGTGATTGACACAAAAGATCATGAACTCTAAAGTGAACAATGAAGAGAGTAAAGAGAAAAGAGTCCTTAAAGTTAGCGAGAAAATATAAGGGCCAATGCAAGGTTAAGATTTCCTTGAAGAATGTCTAGGTGGAAACAGTTAAATGAGGAATCTGGCAAGAGAGATTGTGACCCAAGAGTGGGGTGAAATTGGGAAAATTTAAGTATTAATATCAGGATGTGACTGTGGTGTGGTAGATGAAGTGGAATGGAGGAAAAGGATATGAGAGATGAAGATTTTTATAACTGAGAGGCCAAGCAATGGACAGATATGCCACATGAACCTAATTAGGACTTTAAAAAGACCATCCAGGATGATGTTTGGAATGAGGGTGGAGAGCCAAGTGCTAAGTCTTTAGAGACTAAAAGGGAGTGACCAGGAGGCTGGTAAGAGGACAGATGTCAGAAGGTGTATTCTGTTGACAGCAGCCCAAAAACAATGATTTATTGTTTTAAGGAAAGTGGAAGCAAAGAAGATCCTATTCTTATCTGCAGACCCCTGAGGTAGGTAGGATTTTAGACAATAAACAGCACTCATGAGAGGCTGCTATGGAAGCACTGTCATTAGCCAAACTGTAAACACGTGTTGAGGGTGAATATTGGCTCATCACCGAAGCTGCAATTCCAAAGAATATGTGGGAAGAAAGGGCTTTGTAGGGCACATAGGAGTAGGGGTTAGACCAGCAAGAAAGGACACAGTTTTTTTTTGTTTGTTTGTTTTTTTGAGAGGGAGTCTCGCTCTGTCGCCCAGGCTGGAGTGCAGTGGTGCGATCTCGGCTCACTGCAAGCTCCACCTCCCGGGTTCACACCATTCTTCTGCCTCAGCCTCCGGAGTAGCTGGGACTACAGGCGTCCACCACCACGCCCGGCTAATTTTTTGTATTTTTAGTAGAGACGGGGTTTCACCGTGTTAGCCAGGATGGTCTTGATCTCCTGACCTCGTGATCCACCCGCCTCGGCCTCCCAAAGTGCTGGGATTACAGGCATGAGCCACCGTGGAAAGGACACAGTTTTATGTGGTAAGGAAATAATATATACATGTGTCTGTATCTCCTTCCTGCCTTCTTGACTTCCTGAGTCCAGACTCAGTATTACAGTTTCCTTCTAGATTCCGGAAGTCTGTTTTTCATCAGTTTTAATTTTAGTTGTGTTGTTTTTGTCGTCTTCAATGTTTTCATCAATTTTTTTGTGTGTATGTGAATTTGAGAGGGGCTGCTAGCAGATGCTATTTTGAACTGGAAATTCACCTATATATTCCTCTAGTACTATTATGGTTATTTTCTTTTCTTTTAAATCCCTCTGATATAGTTTGGACATTTGTCCCCACCCCAATCTCATGTTGAATTGTGATGAGTTACAGCTGGTATATACTGAAATTATTCTTATTGTACATTTATTTTGTAGTGTTAGCAAACTATTATATCTTATTTTCTCAATTGACTCTCTACAGATCTCAGTTGACAAACAAATGCTCTGCTGGCATATATTACCTATGTAGTGTTGCTGCTATTTAAATAAGAAGTTTGCTTAAAAAGAATTTAAAAATACTTTTTTCCTTCTTTCCAGCGTTCAAGATGTCAAAGCGAGGACGTGGTAGGTCCTCTGGTGTGAAATTCTGGATTTCCTTGGGTCTTCCAGTAGGAGCTGTGATCAACTGCTGACAACACAGGAGCCAAAAACCTGTATATCATCTCCGTGAAGGGGATCAAGGGACAGCGGAACAGACTTTCTGCTGCTAGTGTGGGTGACATGGTGATGGCCACAGTCAAGAAGGGCAAACCAGAGCTCAGAAAAATGGTACATCCAGCAGCGGTCATTAGACAACCAAAGTCATACCGGAGAAAAGATGGTGTGTTTCTTTATTCCGAAGATAATGCAGGGGTCATAGTGAATAATAAAGGCAAAATGAAAGGTTCTGCCATTATAGGACCAGTAGCAAAGGAGTATGCAGACTTGTGGCCCTGGATTGTGTCCAATGCTCGCAGCATTGCATGATTTTCCAGTAGATTAAAAAGAAAAAGAAAAACTTTAAACCCATTAAAAAGTATTTGTACCCCCCCCCAAAAAAATACATCTTAATAACAGTTGAAGGTAAAGTACCACCAAGTTTAATAAAGATTAATTAATGCTGAGTTGTTTTGTTTTGTTTTGAGACGGAGTCTCGCTCTGTTGCCCAGGCTAGAGTGCAGTGGCACGATCTCGGCTCACTGCAAGGTCTGCCTCCTGGGTTCATGCCATTCTCCTGCCTCAGTCTCCCAAGTAGCTGGGACTACAGGCGCCCACTACCATGTCCAGCTAATTTTTTGTATTTTTAGTAGAGATGGGGTTTCACCATGTTAGCCAGGATGGTCTAGATCTCCTGACCTCATGATTCACCCGCCTCGGCCTCCCAAAGTGCTGGGATTACAGGTGTGAGCCACCTGGCCCAGCCGAAATATATTTTTAAGTGCTTGATGTCTGATTTTCCTCCTCAGAAACTTGTCTGGATGGGTAAGATTATTTTAACATCAGACTTCTGTAAGGCATGCCCAATATTTACTTAGGGAAAAAAGGCTATAATTCTGATGTGTAACTCTTAATCTGTGAAAACAAGAATTTATAATATTAATAATTATGAATGAAGAAGGGAGGGTTTCAAGTCTCTTTTTTTTTTTTTTTTTAACTCCCAACCTGGTTTCTGAAGAGTTTCTAATCTTGGCCTTAAAAGTATTGACATTTCTTTTTTCTTTTTTTCTTTTGAGACAGAGTCTTGCTCTGTTGCCCAGGCTGGAGTGCAGTGGTGTGACCTCAGCTCAGTGCAACCTCTGCATCGTGGGTTCAAGTGATTCTCCTGTCTCAGACTCCTGAGTATGTAGGATTACAGGCACGCACCACCACGCCTGGCTAATTTTTGTATTTTTGGTAGAGACAAGTTTTCACCATGTTGGCCAGGCTGGTCTCGAGCTCCTGACTTGAGGTAATCCTCCTGGCTTGGCCTCCCAAAGCATTGGGATTACAGGCGTGAGCCACTGCACCCAGCCGACATTTCTTGACATAAACATTAACATTTTGACAAAAATTAAACATTATTTTTAATGTTCTTCTGTCCAAACCTTTTCTGCCTATCACCTACTGTATTGATAGAAACAATTATTTTCTGATTTCTAAAACCTTGTATGAATCAATTAAAACAAATTTGCGGGTATCTACTTTGGCAGGCACTGTTTAAGAGTACCATGGAGATAGCCTCACCTTCAAAGGATTTACAGACTTGCTGGAAAATCTAAACATGAGAAACTGTTAAATCAATGAGACTATTTTCAAGTTCCCAAAGCAGTAATATCCTACTGACTTCTGGGTAAAAAAATAAACCAGTTATAAGTTGATGTCCTAGGAAAATCGAAGAGAGATCTGTGTGGCCTGGAGTAGTTGAGGAACATGGCAAGAGGCATGGATCCCTGTTGCAAAAGGTGGAAAGTCTCGTCAGAATACAAGGAAATGAAATGAAGAGATATTTCCAGCAAGAACAGACAAAATTTAGGAAACAATTAGTAAATAGGAGCACAGAAAATCATTCCAGTCTTGTCCTTCAAGTTTTTTTTTTTTTTTTCCCCCTGGGTAAGTCTGCACTGAAGTTAGGCTAGATTCTTGACTGTCCTTTCCGAAATCCATGCTAATCCAACTCACTGTCTCTGTCCCTCTCTCGTCCCCATTTTGAATGTTCTCCCTTTTATTTTACTTTTCCTAATGTTTTCCAAGCTTTGGGCTTTGGCTTGGAAAGCCTATCTGACTACTCAAGCACATGTTAATCTTCCCCTTCTGTAGCATTTTTGATATGTGACACCCACATTTTCAGTGAATGGCATGATATCTAGTAGTGTTTCCAATGTGTTAAACTGTTTGCAGCTATATTGTATAACTCTCAAGAATGAGGACACTACAATTTGTATAACCAATGTACCATGATATATGTAACCAATGATTTATTTTAAACAAACAATATTTGTTGAGTTGATTTTTTTTTTTTTTTTTTGAGACGGAGTCTTGTTCTGTTGCCCAGGCTGGGGTGCAGTGGCGCGATCTTGGCTCACTGCAACCTCTGCCTCCTGGGTTCAAGCAATTCTCCTGCCTCAGCCTCCCACATAGCTGGGGTTACAGGTGCGTGCCACCGTGCCTAGCTAGTTTTTGTATTTTTGGTAGAGACGAGGTTTCACCATCGTGGCCAGGCTGGTCTTGAATTCCTGATCTCAGGTGATCCACCCACCTTGGCTTCCCAAAGTGCTGGGATTATAGGCATCGGTCACTGCACCCAGCCTGAGTTGATTTTTAATTACATAATTAATACATGAAGATGTTGTCCTTGTATAAAATAAAATCTTACAGATAAGGCTTAATTTCCTTTGACTATAACTCTTAACCCTAATGTCTTTTCTTGCCACTTTTTCCCACAAAAAGTCACTACAATGATCAGACTGGTATGTATTCTTGCAGATCTTTATTTTATTATTATTTTTTTTTGAGACGGAGTCTCACTTTGTCACCCAGGCTGAAGTGCAGAGGCGCGATCTTGGCTCACTGCAACCTCCACCTCCTGGGTTCAAGCAATTCTCCTGCCTCAGCCTCCCTAGTAGCTGGGATTACGGCTGCCTGCCACCATGCCCAGCTAATTTTTGTATTTTAGTAGCAACGGCGTTTCACCATGTTGGTCAGGCTTGTCTCAAACTCCTGACCTCAAGCAATCCACCCACCTCGGCCTCCCCAAGTGTTGGGATTACAGGCGTGAGCCACCGCACCCGGCCTATTCTCTGTATTTATATTATATATATATGCATAAATATATATATATATATATTATTGTGTTGTGGGTTTTAAAAACACAAATGGTATCATACTGTATATATTGGTATTTGCTTTTTATTTAAGAATGTGTCTTAGAATTCTTCCTATGTGTGTTCAGATAAACCTTATTCTTCTTAAATGTTGCCTAATAGCTTATTGAATACATATAATTTATTTAGCAGTTCTCCAATATATAGACATAGGTTGCTTACAATTATCTTTCTATTATAAAGTTTTTGTGAACCTCCTGTAATATGTCTCTTTGTGTGACTTTTTTCTGAGACAGTCTGCTCTGTCACCCAGGCTGGAGTGCAGTGGCATGATCTTGGCTTACTGCAACCTTCGCCTCCCGGGTTCAAGAGATTCTCGTGCCTCAGCCTTCCAAGTAGCTGGGATTGCAGGCACCTGCCACCACTGCCCAGCTAATTTTCGTATTTTTAGTAGCGATGGGTTTTTGCCATGTTGGCCAGGCTGGTCTCGAACTCCTGACTTCAGGTGATCCACCTGCCTCGGCCTCCCACAGTGGTGGGATTACAGGCATAAGCCACTGCACCTGGCTTTTGTGTGCATTTTAAAATCAGGGTCCAGTCAGGAAAACAGAAATCACATTAGTTATTGAGAAATATTTTAATATGGGAAATTGGTCAAAAGGAATTATAAAAGGTAACAGGTAATCACTGCAGGTAGCAGCTACCATTCCTAGAGCTAGGAAAGGATGGAACAAAAGAAGTGGTTGGAGTCATCAGAACCTAAAAGCTTGAAGGAGGGCCCTGAACACCTTAGTTCAGGCCTATGAAGAATGAAGAGAGGGTGATGGCTGGCTGTTACTGGATCTCTGGAGCACAAAGAAGGGATCCCACGGTGTTGAGGCTCAAACTTCTGAGGAGGTGGCTCAAACATTGGCTATCTCAGGAGCTCAGGGGAGGGGCCGCATGAAAGTAGAATTCAGATCTCTGAGGAGAGCACTGACTGCTGCTGTGATCTCTGAGGGGTGCAATAAGGCTGATTCTGTGATTGTTGGAAAAAGGATAGAGATTAAAACCACCTTTTGGCTAAAGCAATTGCTCCTGCCACGGTAAAATGCAGCTGCTGCTGGCATGATGCTTACAGAATGGAGCAAGTCCCTTCTTCCTCTTGCCTTTGTTTCCCTCTTGTTCGTCCTGTTGGTGGAATCTAGCAGAAGCCCCCCCAGTAACATGGAGTTGAGTATAAAAGGGTGACTGCGTGGACAAGAAACAATAACCAGCACACATTTACTTGTTTCTCTGGTGTGATTCTGAGTCGCACAATCAATGGGTTACAGGATTTGTACATTTCAAATTTTAATAGGGACTCCCACATTATCCTCTTTCCTAAACTGCACGTTAACAGTTTCAATATGAATAAAAGGGGACGGGGAGGGGAGATTTAGAGAGAATAGTGCCTACAGCAGTAATCAAATTTTAACAAGACTTGGGAATACTGTCAAAATGCAGGATCTGATTCAGGAGTTCTGAGGGGCCCGAGTTGGCCTTTTCTAAAAAACGCCCAGGTGATACTGATGATTGCATCATGTTGGAAGTCTAAAACACTCCCATCTTCCCACAGCCTCTACCATAACATTCTAATGCTACCCTTATGTGAAACTGCCCCTCTGATGATTCACGCCAGTTTCCTACCCTCTAAGCAAGGAACAAACCTAGCTTCTGAAAGCGGGGAGGACAGGATTTGGCGCCACGGGTCCAATGCTTGGCTTCCTATTGGCCAGGAATGACATCACTCAGACAGGCGTGGCTTTAGCTGTGACGTCTCCGGTGGCGGATGGTCAGGGACACAGCGGGAGGCGGGAGCGGAAGTGGGGCAGCAAATGGACAGGGTGGGTGGCGGAAAAGGGCCCGGGGGAAGTTATTACAGGGTGTCCTCTTCCGCCGCCAGAAGCCGGAAGTTGTGTCCCGGACGTGTCAACCGGGGTCTGAGTGCTCAGAGTACAGCTGCAACCGCGACCATGGGCGGGAAGAACAAGCAGCGAACTAAAGGGAACCTGAGGGTGAGCGGGGGCTGGCTCGGCCGACCCGGGAGCCTCGCTTCGAGGCGGCTGGCTCCGCCCAGCGCGTTGCTGGAGGGTGTGTGGAGCGCGGCTGTAGGGAGGCGTGTGTTTCCCTGTCGAGTGTGACCTCTCTGTTGTGTGTGCGTCCCTGAGAGCGGTTTGTGTTATCTCTGAGCAGATTGGGGAATCGTGAGAGAAAAGATGTACCATGCCAGAGCTGTCCTCATCCGAGCACACACCCATAATATTCATGAAGAAATGATAATGTGTCAGGTTCACTGGAAGGTGATCTGGCCGAGGTAGCGGGTTGGTTGGGGGAGGGCGGCGCTGGGAAGAAGGAGAGTTGGGAGAATGTTAAAGTGAATCCACTGTGGAGGTTACCGCAGATTGTGCCTCTCCTTTGCTACCTACAGTGGCTTCTCCTAAGCTAAAGCTCTTAGGATGGTATATTTGGTTTCTGGACTGCCTGTTACCCCTTTCCATCTGCAGTCCCATCTTCAGCTCCCTCCTCTTGGCTTACTTCATCCAGCCACACTGATCTCTTCACTGTGCCTTGACTACCTGGCCGGCTCCCAACGCTCTTCAGTTAGGTGGCTCCAAACTTTGCTCTCGACACCTCAGTGAGGTCTCCCATGATCACCCTCTTGGTAGCCCTTCCCCACTCCCATGTTCTTCCTACTTTATTTTACTCCATTGTATTTATGACATTTATTGTCTTGGTTCACTAGGACGTAAGTATTTTGAAAGCAAATGTTTTTATCCTCGGAACCTAGAACAGACTGGCACCTAATAGACGCTCACTAAGTACTTGCTTAAGGACGACCTTAAAGTGGATTCGTGTAAAACTACACGATGAGGGGTTTTGTAATGGTATTTTTTTATGGTGTTAGATTTATTATAGCACAGTCCAATTTTATGAGAATGCTTTTTTTTCCTGTTTCTGATGTAGTTAATTCTAGTGATTTCAATGTCACATTTTCTTAGATCTGTCACTTAATCTGTTTTGGAAGATAATAACAGTATTAACAATTATAGCAACCTGTTGTGTTACTGTGCTAAGCACTTTACTTGCATCTTTTAATGTTTTTTATTTAACAGATTTTCTCAAATGTTTTATATTTGAAAAGTTCTTATGAGGAAAAGTTGCAAGAATATTAGAACGACATCCCATATACTCTTTACCTACATTTACCAATTGCTAATACTTGGTTGCATTTGCTTTCTCTCTCTTAATTTATGTATTTTTCTGAACTTATAAGAGTTAGTTGCAGAAGTCGGGACTCTTAACTCCTAAATACATCAGCATGTATCTTCTAAAAACAATGCCATTTTCTAGCCTGCAGCAATTATAATAATGGTTATAGTATGCAGAAACTTTGACTTTTGTATAATACTGTAATCCAGGATACAGCCTTGTATTTAGACTTCTGTAGTTATCCCAATAATGTTCTCTTTTTTCTTTTTTTTTTTTTTGTAAGACAGGGTCGCTCTGTCTCCAAACCTGGAGTGTGGTGGTATGATCATGGCCCACTGCAGTGTCAACCTCTTGGGCTCAAGCGGTCAGTCCTCCCACCTCAGCCTCCTTAGTAGCTAGGACTCCTGGCTAATCTTTTTTTTTTTTTTTTCGGGGACAGAGTCTGGCTCTGTTACCCAGGCTGGAGTGCAGAGGCGTGAACTTGGCTCACTGCAATCTCCGCCTCTCGGGTTCAAGTGATCCTCCCAGCTTAGCCTTTCCAGTAGCTAGGACTACAGGTACAGGCCATCACGGCTAGCTTATTTTTGTAGGGACAGAGTTTTGCCATGTTGCCCAGGCTGGGACTTTTTTAAAAAGATAAACCGTTTTAACATCTGAGATTCAGTCAAGGATCACTCATTCCATTTAGTTACCATTTGGGTTTCTTTGATCTAGACAGTTTCTCAGTACTGTTTAAGCGGGGAGAGGAGTGTCTTTTTTAACAAAATTTGGAAGAGCCTGGGCCATTTGTTTGATTAATTCAGATTCATCTAGTTTTTTCCTTATGATTAGATTCAGGCTAAACAATTTTTAGAAGGAATTCTTCATAGATGATGAGTCTTTCTCAGTGCATCACACACCAGGGGCACTTCGCACCTGTTTGTCCCCTTATTGGTGGTATTTGTTTAATTACTTGGTTAAGGTGTTGTTCATTATAAAGTTATATTTTTCCATTGGCCAATAACAAATAATATGTTAGTTTGAAACTGTGAATGTCCTGCTCTTCCACAAACTTTCACCTAATGGTTTGAGCACCCTTTGATTCTTGCTGGAATCAGTTATTACTATGGTGATTTAAAAACTTATGCTTAATCATGAAAACAACCCAACTAATGAATTAATTACTCATATCTCATTTTAAATGTGGTGAAACTGAGGTTTAGAGAAATTAGCTTGCCTAAGCTCATGTAGCCAGGAAGTTGTGGAGTTGGGATTTTAACTTTAATGTGGCAAAGTCTTCAATAGAAGACTCTGATACTGGATGTCAGGTATTCAGAGATAATAGATGTCTGCTGTTCTTGAACTATTAGTTTGATGATACAGACACATATGTAAGCAAATGTTAAAGAATTATGATGCAGGTATTAGAAGAAAGAATGTGGGAGAATGGAAGAGAATGGAGGAAGGCAAGTGTTGCAAACATGAGTTTGAAAGATGAGTAGGAGTTTGTCAGACAGTGAAAAGAAAGGAAGCGTTTTCAGGTAGAGAAAAAAGGTTATATAAAGATCAAATTGTGAAAGGCCATCACATAGATAACTTTTTTTTTTTTTTTGAGACAGAGTCTCGGGTCACTGCAACCTCCACCTCCCAGGTTCAAGCAGTTTTGTTGCCTCAGCCTCTCGAGTAGCTGGGATTACAGGCATGCACCATCACACCCGGCTAATTTTTTGTATTTTTAATAGATACAGGGTTTTGCCATGTTGGCTAGGCTGGTCTCAAACTCTTGGCCTGAAGTGATCTGCCCAAAGATACGCTCAGCCTCCTAAAGTGCTGGGATTACAGGTGTGAGCCACCATGCCCTGCCTCAGAGAACTTCGAATTCAGTTTGCTACTAGGGCATGAATGATGGCAGCATAATTTGAAGAAGGGAGAAGGAAGTGGGGCAAGGGAAGGAAAGAGTGGCAGGAGATAAGACTGGGAAAAGTTGAGGTTAGATGGTGAAAGGTCTTGTAAGTCTTCCTTGGTTTGGTCTTTGTAGACTCAGGATTGCCACCACAAATAACTCTAGAAGCTAGGCATGAAAGAGTGTAGACAGAAGTAGGCATAGTACAAAAAAAAAAATAAGTGCCATAAATAGAATTGTTTCTTAATTTTTATTGAACTATGGGTATAGCACTTAACATACAAAGATCATAAGAGTAACTATATTTTAAATTTAAAGTAGACATTAAAAAAAGATAGTGCATTTAAAAGTAACTTGTTACTTTTAAATTGGAGACTGGAAATTTGATACCTTCTCTTTTGCCCCTAGTTATCACTCCTAATTCTGTTATTTCAGCCTCAACTCCTTTAGATGTTAGCAATAATTAGTTTTTTATTCTGTTTCATAATAAAACCGTTTACACATGAGATTGTAGAAAATTCTGATACCCTAAAGTCATCATATTTAGTTTAAGAATTATAATTCACTAACTACTTCCTTTGTGGCTCTTTATTCATGTACCAATATTGAGAAAGGTGAATTGAATAATTAATATTAATTCATTTTAATAAACTTAAAAAATAGAGAACAGCTGCTTTGCCTATGGAGTAGCCATTCTTTTATTCTTTTCTTTTTTTTTTTTGAAATGGAGTTTCGCTCTTTTTGCCCAGGCTGGAGTGCAATGGCGCAATCTCGACTCACTGCAATCTCTGCCCCCTGGGTTCAAGCAATTCTCCTGCCTCAGCCTCCCAAGTAGCTGGGATTAAAGGCATGTGCCACCATGCCTGGCTAATTTTGTATTTTTAGTAGAGACGGCGTTTCACCATGTTGGCCAGGCTGGTCTTGAACTCCTGATCTCAGGTGATCTCCCTCCTCAGCCTCCCGAAGTGCTGGGATTACAGACGTGAACCACCGCGCCTGACCTATTTTCTTAATAAACTTACTTTCACTTAAAAAAAAAAATAGAGAACCTTTTTTGGAATTAGTCTTAAATGCTACAGATTGAAAACAAATGTAATGCAGGCCATCATTTTCTTTCCTGTTCACTCAGTTCAGTTTAGGAAGTAGGCCAGATTATTCCTTGTCAGATGAATTTTCCAAACACACTTTTGCTAGGTATTAGGAATTTTTTTTTTTTTTTTGAGACAGAGCCTCGCTCTGTTGCCCTGGGTGGAGTGCAGTAGCACAATCTTGACTCACTGCAACCTCAGCCTCCCAGGTTCAAGCAATTCTCATGACTCACCCTCCTGAGTAGGTGGGATTACAGGCACATGCCACCACGCCTGGCTAATTTTTGTGTTTTTGGTAGAGACAGGGTTTTGCCATGTTGCCGAGGCTGGTTTCGAACTTCAGGGCTCAAGTGATCCACCCGCCTTGACCTCCCAAAGTGTTGGGATTACAGGCATGAGCCACCTTGCCTGGCCGGTATGAGCAATTTGTTTTTTTTTGTTGTTTTTTTTTTTTTTTGAGACAGAGTCTCGCCCTGTCACCCAGGCTGGAGTGCAATGGCACAATCTTGGCTCATTGCAACCTCTGCCTTCCGGTTCAAGCGATTCTCTTGCCTCAGCCTCCCGAGTAGCTGGGATTACAGGCGTGCGCCACCACGCCCAGTTAATTTTTTGTATCTTTGGTAGAGATGGGGTTTCACCATGTTGGCCAGGCTGGTCTCGAACTCCTGACCTCGTGATCTGCCCGCCTTGGCCTTCCAAAGTGCTGAGATTACAGGCGTGAGCCACTGTGCCCGGCCGGTATGAGCAATTTGAATCACACATTTGGATAACCGTTGGCAAACATCCTTATAGAGAAATAAGAAATAGATGACTTTAGATGGGTTGTGATGTCAGCTTGGTGGTCAAACTGAAGCATTTTCTGTTTAGATAACAATAAGTTAATTTCTTTTAGCAGTTCAAATATTTTCTTTCTCTGTATCAACTCACCTCCTTTTAGTAGAAGACTACTATATTGTGTATCAGTCAAAGAAACCACTGACTATGATTCAAAACAAAGGAGTCTGTATTATAGATTGACTGTTGTATTGATTTTTATGGCTATAATAATGTAATTTTAGCCCAAAGAGGTTAGGCTAGGCTTTGGAGTGTGTGGAAATGAGTGTATCCACTCTCAAGGAACTCTCAGTCTAGAGGCAGCTATCATTAGACCTGGGCCATTGTGATTGTTTAATAAATATTTGTTCATTTAATGGGTGAATGAAAGGATGGGTTCTATTTATGAGTTCATTTTACATCATTACATAGTATACATATGTGTATACATACTATTTATATGAAAGTTAGAAATAAAAAATTCATAACAGCATTTATGAAAATTTTCCTGCATGTGATACATTCTGATTTTAAAAATTTTAATCAATTTCTTTAAAATTCTGTCATGGTCCATTATATTGATATCATGAGCCACTAATGGATTGTATCCATGGTTTACAAAACATTCTAATGTTTAAGAAACAGAATAATTTCTAGGATCAGTATTGATGGATTCTTGGCAACAAAACCATTAATCTTTGGGGAACTTTGCAATAGATGAAATTTTAGGCTAGGAAAAAAGAAAATAAAATAAAAGCTCATTCTGACCATGGGAATAGCCAAGGAATTATAAAGTTAAGTTTTGAACCCTTCCTGGACTCTGACTTTTTTCTCCGTAATTTTCTTATCAGCCTTCAAACAGTGGCCGAGCTGCAGAACTCCTTGCCAAAGAACAGGGAACAGTGCCTGGATTTATTGGTTTTGGAACATCTCAGAGTGACCTAGGCTATGTTCCTGCTATTCAAGGAGCTGAAGAAATTGACAGTCTTGTAGATTCTGATTTCCGAATGGTGCTGCGGAAACTTTCAAAGAAAGATGTCACCACAAAATTAAAAGCAAGTTTTCTTGTTTTCATAAAAATTATCAAGAAAATCCCTTTGTTAAAATAAAATGTCATTAGCATGTTTTATGTAAAGAAAAATGAACAATTTATTGCTAAGTTCTTTTATAATTGTACTTTTTTCTGACACAGAGTCTTAAACTTAGTTGATATTTATTTTCTAGGTCGTAAATTAGTTTGTTACAGTGAACTTTTTTAAAGTGCTTTGGAATTTTGGCTGTATAGTTTTTCCCATTAGGGAATGTAACTTTGACCTTGTAACTTTAAATGAGGTTTTTTTGTTTGTAGATGTTTTATTTTTAAAAAAACAACTGAAGAGTTTCTACCGTAGTAGCCTGTGAAAGAGCTCTTCAAACTAGTCTCATATGGCATAAAGAGAAATAGTGTATTCTCCTATTACATAAAATAGACAAAGCTTCCAGAACAGAATAATCTATAGCCAGTTATTATGGTTGTTAATCCTAATGATGTTAATAACTTACTTTTAGGCTATGCAGGAATTTGGAACCATGTGTACAGAGAGAGACACAGAAACTGTGAAAGGAGTTCTTCCATATTGGCCAAGAATTTTTTGCAAAATTTCACTTGTAAGTATTAAAACTTTGCTAGTTTATTTCTGTTGTATATTTTTTGGTTGGAGTCATGGAGACTCTCAAATTTATAATGTTGATTTTTGGTGAGGGTTATTAAATGTTATGTCAGCATTGTTATGCAGATTGAATTGTTAACACTTGAGAAGAGCGTGGAAATAAAAAAAGAGATTGGGGCCTGGTATGGTGGCTCATGCCTGTAATCCCAGCACTTTGGGAGGCTGAGGTGGGCAGATCACTTGAGGTCAGGAGTTTGAGACCAGCCTGGCCAACATGGTGAAACCCTGTCTCTACTAAAAATACAAAAATTAGCCGGGTGTGGTGATGGATGCCTGTAATCCCAGCTACTTGGGAGGCTGAGGCAGGAAAATCGCTTGAACCCGGTGGGGCGGAGGTTGCAGTGAGCCAAGATTGCACCACTGCACTCCAGCCTGGACAATAGAACAAGACAATGTCTTTAAAAAAAAAAAAAAAAAAGATTGGATTGTGTTGGGTTATGAAGAACATTTAGGAAGTCTGTTTTCAGAAATTAGGTTGTTACTGGAGAATTACCCAGGTGCTTTCCAGTTTTAATAAATTTTGATAGTGATTTTATTCCCTGTATATTTGCTGCAGAAGAATGAGAGTGAGTTGCTTAATTATTGAAGACCCAACTTTTTTTTTTTTTTTTTTAATTGAGACGGAGTCTCATTCTGTCACCCAGGCTGGAGTGCAGTGGCGCGATCTCTGTTCACTGCAACCTTGTCTCCTGGGTTCAAGTGATTCTCCTGCCTTAGCCTCCTGAGTAACTGGGATTACAGGTGTGTGCCACCATGCCCCGCTAATTTTTTGTATTTTTAGTAGAGACGGGGTTTCACCATGTTGGCCAGGCTGGTCTTGAACTCCTGACCGCCAATAATCCGCCTGCCTCGGCCACCGAAAGTACTGAGATTATAGGCACGAGCCACCAGGCTCGGCCTCAAGGCCCAACTTTGAATCTGTCTTGAATACAATCCTATCTCATTGGGAGAAGGGGAGAAAGAAAAATTAATAAATTATTTTACATAGTTTCTGATTTAAAAACCTCCAAATTATTGATTTAAAAAAAATGATTTCAGTTTAGCTTAATACATAGGTGAATTCTTGGTAATGGGTCATTATAGCATATCCGGAAATGTCTGTGATTGTTTTTATGGGCTAGAGCTATTTTAAATCACATTTATATTTTTAATAGGATCATGACCGTCGCGTCCGAGAAGCCACACAACAAGCTTTTGAAAAACTTATCCTTAAAGTAAAGAAACAGTTGGCTCCCTACTTAAAAAGTTTAATGGGATATTGGCTAATGGCTCAGTGTGATACTTACACACCAGCTGCGTTTGCAGCAAAAGATGCATTTGAAGCGGCTTTTCCTCCAAGCAAGCAACCTGAAGCCATAGCATTTTGTAAGGATGAAATTACAAGTGTAAGTTCTGGAATCATTCTGAATCTATTTTTTTTTTTTAAGTATTTAAGGGTTATAAGCATAATGACAGCTCTTTTACTTGGGATTGTAGGGGAATGAGTAAGTAGAGTATTTCCAACTGAAGGTTGCCTTTTTAAAATTCTGTTTAGTTAAATAACCATTTTGGATCTTTAACAAGATTAACATTTTGGATTGGATCTTTCTACAGTATTTAAATTTTCCATTTTAATTTTGAAGTCTTTATTATATTTTTAAAAAGTAGATGTTTTATGTAATCTAAACAAGTAATATATCTAAAAATAAATCTAAAATTATTTTCTCTCGTGTTTCCATATCAATATATATATATATACAGATCTAACTTAGTGTCTTTTTCTTTTTATTGGCTCTCTGGTATTACTATACATGGATGTACTGTAGTTTATTTAACTTTTTAGATTAATATACATTTGGATTTTTTTCCAATTTTTATCATAACAAATGCTATTTCAGTAAACATTCTTGAGTAGATCTCTTCATACCCTTGTGGGAGTGATACTTACTAGAACTTCTAGTAAGCATATGTTGGGCCAAAGAATAAGAACATTAAAATTTTTTATAATGATAAATGGCCCTTCAAAAGGCCAAACAAATTTATACTCCCATTTTCAGATAAAGTTTCTCCACACTGGGCTAACACTTTTGCCATAACTTTCTCATAAAAAGTTACCAGCCATACCTGTTTGTGGCTTTCAGTGTGTCTGTTTCTAGTAGTGTCTCATTTCTTCCCCCTTCATTTTCTATTCCCAATATATGGACTAGAAAAACCAGACAACAAAGTTGTTAGAATTATATTGAGAAATAAAAGTAGATGAAGTAGAAGTGAGGAGGGAATTGATAATTTTTTAAAAAATCTATGCTTGCATTTATTCCCTTATTTAGTACTCCTGTGTTTCCACAACACCCTGTGTATAACCCTACTTAAACATTTCCATCTGACCCTCTCCCCCTGCTTTCCTTCCTCCTTTCAATTAGCCATCCTTCCTGTGGCTCTCCATTACACTTTTAAGTTCAAATTTCTTGTCTTGACATACAAGGCTCTGCATGATCTGGTCCCTGCTTCCCTATCTAATCTCTTCACCCAGCACTCCCCAACACATAACTTGATTGTAGTACCTCATTTAGGTTCTTCCATTCTTCATTTCTCAGGTGTACCAAGCGTGTTTTTCTAGAGAGAGGGTTTGTAGCTTTAATCATATGCTCAAATGGAGTTTTCTAACCCATCTGTAGCATAAGAATCATTGGTTGATTTAAAATGCCAAGTTATAAACGTTACAAGAGTGAAGTGTCATGAGTTTGGACGCTAAGAGCTTTAGGAAATGGATTTTGAGACAACTAGTTTGGCTCTTCATAGGCTTTAGAAAATAAATTTGTTCTTGGCTTTGTCATGGATGGATAACTAATCATTGAACATTGGGTTATTTCTTCCATTTTATTTTCCCTTTAGTTGGCTATGTTACAGTTCATTACAGCTGTTGGCATTGAACTGTCTCCAGTTCCAAACCCATGTATTAGAGAGGAGTTAGGCAAATGAAAATCAAAATGTCAGCATTATAGATAGTATATCATACTGTCTATAAGACATGGGCTCTGGGTCACACCATTGGTTCTAGTCCCACTCTGCCATCAGCTAGCAACTAGGTGTGTGACCTTGGGCAAGTTTCTGTGCCTTCATTTCATAATCTATAAAGCAGGAATTAACTTGTACTTCATGGAGTTCTGAGGATTGATTTAGTTAATGCCTAAAATGTGCTCAAAGCAATACCTGGCACATGCAAAAGCTCAATAAGTGTTAGTTATTGTTATTGCTGATAAAGCAGTTACTGGAACAGTGGACTCCCTTGCACTGCACCCCAGGAGGAAACAGACTTCCGTATATTTGAAAACCTCATACCTTCCTCTGTGATGGAGCAGAGCACAATGTATGGTGTTCTTTGTGGGCAAGCAGGCTTACAGAAAGAGGGGAGAGGAAAGCAGAGCCTAATTTATCTCCCAGATTCACATTCACTTCATTGCTGTGTGAAAGAGAAATGGAGGAACAAGTGGTCAGGAGTATTTATAGGTGCGTGGGGAAGAAGTATCTAAAGCAGCTAACCTTGGGAATTGATAGGAAAAGGAAAATTGGTAAAATTCAAACCTTTCAGTTTTGCTATTTGATTCTGCTCTTAGGTAAGATGATGTTTATGGGGATTTTTAAAAAGTGGATTTTATTTAACTAGGCTCTGTCTGTTCACCATTGACAGTTCAGTAAAACCAAAGGCTTTGGTATTTCCCCCCTTTGTAGGTGCTGCAGGATCATCTTATAAAAGAAACACCTGATACACTCAGTGACCCGCAGTAAGTTGTATTGTTTCATTGTAACTCATGTTAAGGATTTGTTTCACTCATAAGTAATCAGATGATTTCAATGTGACTTTTTGTTTTTGTTTTTTTTTTGAGACAGAGTCTCACTCTGTCACCCAGGCTGGATTGCAGTGGCGCAGTCTCAGCTCACTGCAACCTCCAGCTTCTGGGTTCAAATGATTCTCATGCCTAAGCCTCTCGAGTAGCTGGGATTATAGGCATGCACCACTACACCTGGCTAATTTTTTTGTATTTTTTATAGAGATGGGGTTTCACCATGTTGGTCAAGCTAGTCTCGAACTCACGACCTCAGGTGATCCACCCGCCTCGGCCTCCCGAAGTGTTGGCATTACAAGCATGAGCCACTGGGCCCGGCCCTGTGTGACATTTTTAAAAAGAAGGAATAATATATGTAGAGATGAAAATAACATAATGCTGTATGTGAGATGCTGTATTAAGTGCTTTTACTTGCAAGTTGTCCTGCTATTTAACTTGAATTACCTGGGAGCTACACATTTGGTTGTATTAGAAAGAGATGTTTTTATATGTTTCCTTCTTTACTTTTTGACAGTTGTAGGAGGAAGTATTTTAAGGTCTGGTTGAACATAGTTGAAGAATATAAATAGTTCTGTTGAAAGAGTAGTAAACTATTTTGTTTACTTCTATATTCTAATCAAAGTTTTAAGAGTCCTTGAGGGAAAATAGTCTTAGATGGCTTGATATCCATTCCCTGGGATCACCCTTGTACATGCTACCGAGAGCGGTATACTTTCTCACTTATTGCAAGCCTTGGCTTTTCGTCTACTTTCACCTTGTATTAGTAGTAAAGTATGTGATTAAATTTCTTTGTATGTTTACATTTTGAGGGGCGTTGGCACAGGGGAAATAGAAGATAGAAATAAAGCAACTTTGGTAGATATTTAATGATAAAACATTTTAAATAGAACCACCAGATATATAGTTTGGCTAATTCTAAATTTTTAAATATATTTATTTTGTTTTATATCAAGAACTGTTCCAGAGGAAGAAAGAGAAGCTAAATTCTACCGGGTTGTAACTTGTTCCTTATTGGCATTAAAGAGATTACTTTGCCTTTTACCTGATAATGAGCTTGATTCTCTGGAGGAGAAATTTAAGTCTCTTTTATCACAGAATAAGTTTTGGAAGTATGGAAAACACAGTGTACCTCAGGTATATTAATCTTTTTTATCTTAAGACATTTCTCTGATTCCTTACCCCCATCTTCTTAGTTTATGTTTTATGTTTATTGTTTATACTTAGAACTCTGCAAGCACATCTGTGTGGTAGGCTATTCATTTACTGAATTACCTCTCTTACTAGAATGTTACTCTGTTTTTACTTTTTTATTTAGTTTGGGCCTCAGATTTAGAATTATCAGTATGAATTACCATACTCCTTTGTTCATAGCACCTTAAAATTGGTGTGTGCAAGTCTCTTCTCATTTAATTAATTTATTTTTTCCCTTTTGTCTATCTCTCCATTCTCTACTTTCACTGGCTGACTGGTCTACTATGTTTAATATATGTGCTTTTGTTTGTGCAGTTGATTCTTATCATTCTTAGTAGTTACTTTCTATAAACTCATCATGAATACTGACTTAGTGAATACTGAGGCATTGCCCTTACGGGAAATGCAGGGTTAGGTTCTTGTGAGCTATTCACAGCATTTTTGTCAGTTGATAACTGACATAACCAGTACATAACCTTGTTTTTTTTTTTTGGTAGTTCTTTTTTTTAATTATTATTATTATACTTTAAGTTTTAGGGTACATGTGCACAATGTGCAGGTTAGTTACATATGTATACATGTGCCATGCTGGTGTGCTGCACCCCTTAACTCGTCATTTAGCATTAGGTATATCTCCTAATGCTATCCCTCCCCCCTCCCCCCACCCCACCATAACCTTGTTTTATGTGTGTTTCTGTATAAAGACACCTTTTTTTCATAGCTATTGTTGATTCATTAGCATTGAACTCACGGCCAACAGCACTAAAACTCATGCCTGGATAAAGCGTATCTAACTCATATTTTCTTTGTAAGGCATATCATAGCGTTCTTGTGCCTAGATACAATAGACAGCACTTCAGTGCTGCTGCTTGGAGGCCATTTAAAACATGAAATCACCAATCAAAAGCACAAAAATTTGAAAAAGTACTGTGAAAAGGACACTTGTTTACAGTATGAGAGCTGAAATAAGGGAACGTCGCCTTGTTCAACCTCAGCTGGGAATGTGCACGTGGGTGACTCAGATTTTTTGCCATTCTATGCATGTCCACAAATGACTGCAAGACACTGCAAGTTTTTTGTTTATTTTTCCAGATGGAGTTTCGCTCTTGTCACCCAGGTTGGAGTGCAATGGCGTGATCTAGACTCACTGCAACCTCTGCCTCCTGGGTTTGAGTGATTCTCCTGCCTCAGCCTCCCAAGTAGCTGGGATTACAGGTGCCCACCAGCACGCCCGGCTGATTTTTAAATATTTTTAGTAGAGACAGGGTTTCACCACGTTGGCCAGGCTGGTCTCAAACTCCTAACCTCAGATGATCCACCCACCTCGGCCTCCCAAAGTGCTGGGATTACAGGTGTGAGCCACCGTGCCCGGCCTAAGACACCGCAAGTTTTGTTTTTGGGGTTACAAATTAATTTTAGCAAGTAGGTGAATTGGCAAACATGGGATTTGTGAGGATTGACTGTATTTTTGAAAAACGTGCTTTTGTGTGTGCTTGAGTTTTTAATTCACATAAATGATACTGTTATATTTTATTCCATTTATTACTTTTTCAAAAGAGATCCATCATGTTCCTGTATGTACATCTGATTCATGACTTCTAACTGCCTTGTAGTATTCAGAAGTTTGCATTACCTATTCATTTAACCTGCCCATTCCTCCAGTGATAGATCCTGATTGCCTCCAACTCCTTGCCTTCACAAGTAATGCAGCAATGAACATCTTCATTCATGTGTCCTTGGATCTTAAGAAATTATCTGAATTGCTGAGTCAGTGAAGTGTGTGCATACCTAATTTCCTAAAATAGTGCCAGATTGCTCTCCTGAAGGGCTGCATTACTCTAGACTCAACCATCAATACGTGATGACTCTTATACTGCATAACCTTATATTCTAGCCATCACTAGGCAGCATTCAGCTGCTACTACATAACCTTATATTCTAGCCATCACTAGGCAGCATTCAGCTGCTACTACATAACCTTATATTCTAGCCTTCAGTAGGCAGCATTTAGCTGCTACTACATAACCTTATATTCTAGCCTTCAGTAGGCAACATTCAGCTGCTACTACATAACCTTGTATTCTAGCCTTCAGTAGGCAACATTCAGCTGCTTAATTTTTCATCAGCCTAATAGGAATTCAGGTGATATCTCTCTTTAACTGGAATTACTTTCCTTATTGGTGATTTTGCATCTCTTCAAGAATTTTTAGCGTTTTTGTTTTTGTGTTTCTTGTTCATTTTTCCTTCTTTGGAGTTCTCTTTTTCTTTTTATGCAGGAGTCCCTTTTATAATTAAATATTAGTCTTTTTGTCTTTTTTAAAAATTCTAATCTCATGACAGATTATCTTTTGTCATTTTTAGGCAATGCAAAAAAGCTCCCATTCTGTCATCTCTCCCATGTGTCTTATGTCAGAAAGAAAATTTTGATGTGATCAAAGTCACTGATTTTTGCCTTATGAAGGCTATTCCCACCTTTAAGTCATAAAGATATTCTTATATTTTGAATTTTTTAGCTTTATAGTTGTAGGCTTTATATGCAGTTTTACCTTTCATATAAAATCTTCACTTCATCAATAATCTACCTTTTCATTTGGTGTTAAGTATAGATCTAGTTACATTTTTCTTCATATATGGTGAGTCAGTTTTCCTAACATTACCTAGTAAACTGTTTATTTTTTTTCCCTGTTGATCTGTGGTCATGCCGTTACAAGACATTAAGTTCTTATATATTGCTGGGCACAGTGGCTTATGCCAGTAATCCCAGAACTTCGGGAGGCCAAGGCAGGTGGGTCACTTGAGCCCATGAGTTCCAAACCAGCCTGGACAACATGGCAAGACCCTGTCTCTACAAAAAAATAATTAAAAAATTAGTTGGGTGTGGTGGCACACCCCTATTGTCCCAGCTGCTTGGAGACTGAGGCAGGAGGATCGCTTGATCCCAGGAAGTCAAGGCTGCAGCGAGCCATGATTGTGCCACTGCACTCCAGCCTAGGGGAAGAGCAGGAACCTATTAAAAAAAAAAATCATACATTCAGAAATTTGCCCTAAATTATGTTCTGATGCATTGGTCTCTGTTTCTTGTTATACCAGTGCCACTGTCAGTATGACATTATGATATGTCTTTTTTTTTTTTTGAGACAGAGTCTTACTCTGTCACCTAGGCTGAAGTGCAGTGGCACGATCTCAGCTCACTGCAACCTCTACCTCCCAGGTTCAAGCAATTCTCCTCCCTTAGCCTCCCGAGTAGCTTGGCACTCAGGTGCCCACCACCACGCCTGGCTAATTTTTGTATTTTTTAGTAGAGACGGGGTTTTGTCATGTTGGCCAGGCTGTTTTCTTGAGACAGAGTTTCACTCGGTCACTTGGACTGGAGTATAGTGGCGCAATCTCAACTCACTGCAACCTCCACCTCCCAGGTTCAAGCTGTTCTCCTGCCTCAGCCTCCCGAGTAGCTGGGATTAGAGGCGCCTGCCACCATGCCCAGATAATTTACGTATTTTTACTAGAAATGGAGTTTCACCATGTTGGGCAGGCTGGTCTCAAACTCCTGACCTCAGGTGATCTGCCCGCCTCAGCCTCCCATTTGGGATTACAGGCATGAGCCACTGTGCCTGGCCTTATGATATGTCCTAATACCTGCTCAGGTTAGTCACATATTTTGGGTTGTATTCTTTTTTTTTTTTTTTTTGAGATGGAGTCTCACTCTGTTGCCCAGGCTGGAATGCAGCGTCATGATCTCAGCTCACTGCAACCTCCACCTCCTGGGTTCAAGCGATTCTCCTGCCTCAGCCTCTCGAGTAGCTGGGATTACAGGTGCCTGCCACCACGCCCAGCTAATTTTTGTATTTTTAGTAGAGACAGGGTTTTGCCGTGTTGGCCAGACTGGTCTCGAACTCCTGACCTCAGGTGATCCACCTGCCTCGGCCTCCCAGAGTGCTGGGATTACATGCATGAACCACTGCACCTGGCCAGAACTTTATTCTTTCATAAAAATTTCAGTAAATTTGGGCTGAGCGTGGTGGCTCATGCCTGTAACTCCAGACCTTTGGGAGGCCAAGGTGGGAGGATGACTTGAGGCCAGGAGTTTGAGACCAGCCTGCATGACATAGTTAGACCCCATCTAAAAAATGTAAAAAAATTAGCTAGACACAGTGGGGAGTGCTAGTAGTCCTAAGTACTTGGGAAGTTGTGGTGGGAGGATCACTTGGGCCTGGGAGATTGAGGCTGCAGTGAGCTTTGATTGCACTGCCACTGCACTCCAGCCTAGGCAATAGAGTGAGATCCTGTCTCAACAAAACAAATTCCAGTACATTTGTTGAATTTCTCAAAAACGTCTAACTAGAATTTTAATTGTGGTTGTACTCAATTTATAGACCAATATGGAGAAACTTGCTTTCTTTATGTTGTTGAGTCTTCCTATCCATGAACTTCTCATCTCTTTCAATTTTTTTTTTTTTTTTTTGAGACAGAATCTCACTTTGTTGCCCACACTGGAGTGCCGTGGTGTCATCTTGGCTCACTGCAACCTCTGCCTCTTGGGTTCAAGTGATTCTCCTGCCTCAGCCTCCCAAGTAGCTGGAATTACAAGCACGTGCCACCATGCCCAGCTAATTTTTGTACTTTTAGTAGAGACAGGGTCTCACTGTGTTGGCCAAGCTGGTCTCGAACTCCTGACCTCAAATGATCCACCAGGCTTGGCCTCCCAAAGTGCTGGGAATACAGGTGTGAGCCACCATGCCTGGCCTCTCTCAAGTTATTTGGGTACTTTAAAATATCCTATGATAATTCTTAAAAAATCAACTTTTTTGAAGTATAATTTGCACACAGTCCTGTAAAATGCAGCCATTTTTATAGTTTAAGTTTTGACAGATGTGTACACCTGTCTACATGTATATATACTTATATAACCACTACAATAAAGAAATAGAACTTTTTTTTTTTTTACCCAAAATGCATTCCTTTTGTCCTTCCAAGTCATCCTCTGCCTTTATCCCAGGCAGTCATTGATTTGCCTCCCATCACTACAGATTAGATTTGTCTTTTCTATGCTGTCATATAAATGGAGCTAGGCATTACTCTCTATCTAGCTTCTTTTGCTTAGTGTAATGTTTTAAGATTCATTCATGTTGTTGCATATATCAGCAGTCCATTTTATTGTTTAGTTTTGTACAGTTTTCGTGTGAACATATGTTTTTATCTTTCTTGAGTAAGGAGAGGAATTGATATGTCATATGGTAAGTATATGTTTATAGGAAGCTACCAAGATGTTTTCTAAAGTTGTAGTACTCCTACCAGCAATGTGTGAGATTTTTAGTTGCTCCATATCCTCATGTTTCATATTGTCAGCCGTTTTAATTTAGGTCATTCTCCTGGGTATGAGATCAGGCATTGCAATAGCTCGTGTGTCAAATCTGGCACATCTGTTTTTGTTTTTTTCATCCCCATGGACACGAGGGAAACATCTATTTTTGTAAATAGTTTTATGTATTATCTATGGCTACTTTACTTCTACAAAGCAGAGCTAAGTAGTTGCAACAGAGATGACATGGCCTGCAAACCCTAATATATTTACTCTGTATCTCCCTATGGAAAATGTTTACTGACCTCTGGAATAGAGGTTTCTCATTGTGGTTTTAATTTGCATTTCCCTGATGACTAATGATGTTGAATATCTTTTAATATGTTTATGGGCCATTTGTATATCTTCTTTTTGGAGGTGTCTGTTGTAATCTTTTGCTTATTTTTTATTTCATATATTTTTTATTCCTAGAACTTCCACTTGGTTTTTTATATTTTCTGTTTCTTAGATGAAATTGTCTATTTTTTCCCCATTCATCCTCATCGTATTTTCCTTTACCTTATTGAGTATAGTTTTAATAGCTTTTTAAAATCCATGTCTGATAACGTCTGGGTCATCTTGGGGTTGACATCAGTTAACTGTCTTATCCTTTGTGATGAGACCACATTTTTGTGGCTCTTGGTATGTTGACTAATTTAAGATTGTATACTGGACATTGTGAATGTTATGTTTTGGAGACTGGTTTATTTTATATTTATCCAAAGGGTATTTTTTTTTTGTTAGGAGGCAGTTAACTTGATTAGACCCATACCAAACCATTATGCCTGTGGTGGGAAATGGCTTAGCTCTCAGTTCATTTCTTGTTTTAGCTTTAAGCTGCTTCTAGTTTACTTGAGGCCAGGAATTCAAGACCAGCCTGCACAACATAGTTAGACTCATATCTCTAAAAAAATTTTAAAAATTAGCTGGGCATAGTGGAGTGCACATGCATGGTTCAGAGATAAGCTATAGATTTAGGCTGTTAAAATACAGAATATAGGGGTTCCTTTCTGTGGCCCTCTCCTTTCTAGAGTCCCCCATCACTCTCCTGCGTCATCCCGCATTATCCTGGCCTTCTTTCCTGGTTCTTCTAGTTCCTCTGGCCAGAAAGATGTCAGTCTTTCTACTGAAGTTGTAGCTGGTCCTGTGCCTTTGTGATGGCGACCACAGCCACGTTTGGGCAAAGCTGCAAAAGTTGGGATCTCAATCTACATGGATCACTTACTCCCAGTTTGATTCTCTTCTAAAATGCATCTGTATTTCAGTCTCCAGAGTCCTCAGGTAGTTGTTTTTTGTGTGTGTTTTATCCACAGAGCTTCCTTTTTAGGAGGACTGATATATTGGGCTCTCACTCATCCATATTTTTTGGTCCATTTTAAAATTGCAGTTTGGTTATTTTTGAGTTGCAAGTGTGCTGTATTTATCCTGAGTAGAAGTATGTGTCAGATAAAAGTATGATGAATGATTTCTTCCAGTATATGGCTTGCCTTTTAATTTCATTAGTGTTTTTGAAGAGTAGATGTTTTAATTTTGATGAAGCTTAATTGATCATTTTTCTTTTATGGTTGTGCTTTTTGATGTCTTATTTTTTATTTTTATTATTTGAATGGCCAGTTAATAGATTGATGTCTTATCTAAGAAATCTTTGCCCAAGTTTGCAAAGATTTTCTATATTTTATTTTAGAAGTTTTATAGGTTAGCTCCATGTAGTGGATTTAGAGGTTTTTTTTGCATATAAACTGAAGGTGAGAGTCAAAATTAATTTTTTGGTTATGGAGTATTCAGTTGCTGAAAGACTATCCCATCCTTATTCTGACATCTTTGTCAGAATTCACTTGACCGTATATGTACAACTTTAATTTTAGACTCTGTTCTGTCCACTGATCTGTATGTCTATCCTTACACCCAATACCATGCACTTGATTATGAATGTTTTATATTGTGTTGAAAACTTCCAACTTTGTTCTTTTCAAAATTCTTTTGGTTATCTTAGGTCTTTTGCATTCTAGAATAATGTTTTACAATCTGCTCAGTCCTTATGGTTTTTGTTTCTTTCATGAATGAATGCTTGATTTCTAAGCAAAGCAAAATTTTCTTGATTTTTCTGATGTTTTATGATCAAAGTTTCTTGGCATAGCTAGAAGTTTGCTGTCTTTATAAATGTCATGTCTTTTAAAATACTTTGCTAACTTTGATTTGGTAATATTTTATATAAAATATACATAAAATATTTTGTGGGGTTAGATATGTATGTATTTTTAAATCTCACAAAATATTATACTCTCAATCTTTGTTTACATTTGCCTATATATTTGTTGCTTTGTGTCAGAAGGTGTTTTTATTTTGCCCTCATTCTTTTTTTTTTTTTTTTTTTTTTGGGACGGATTCTTGCTTTGTCACCCAGGCTGGAGTGCAGTGGTGCAATCTGGGCTCATTGCAACCTCCGCCTTCCGGATTCAAGTGATTTTTGTGCCTCAGCCTCCCAAATCCTGGGATTACAAGCATGTGCCACCATGCCTGGCTAATTTTTGTATTTTTAGTAAAGATGGGGTTTTGCTATGTTGGCCACCCCAGTCTTGAACTCCTGGCTTTAAGTGATCTGCCCGCCTCAGCCTCCCAAAGTTCTGGGATTACAGATGTGAGCCACCATGCCCGGCCTTCATCCTCATTCTTGAAAGACATATTTGCTGAGTACAGGATTGTATGTTGGTAGTTATTTTTGTGTTGAAGATACTATTCCATGTCTTCTGATTAAATTATTGATGTCAAAATTAACTATCAGTCTTATTGTCCTTCTTTTGAAGGTAGTTTATCTTTCTCCTTGGGCTACTTTTCTCCTTGTGTTTTCCCAGTTGCATAATGTGTCTTTGTGTGGATTTCCTTTATGTATCCTGCTTGGGATTTGTTGGACTTTTTGAATCTTTGACTTGGTGTATTTCATTGGCTCTGTAAAATTCTCAGCTATTATCTCTAGGTATTTCCTTCCTCATTCTTCTCTTGTTTTGGGATTCTGATTAAATAGATATTAAGCCTCACTTTATCCCCTATGTCTGTTACGTTTTCTTTGTTGTTTTTCATCTTTTTGTCTCTCCATGATGCTTTGCGGATAATTTCTTTTGCTCGGTCTTCTAGTTCACTGATTCTCTCTTATTTGTATCTAACCTCCAGCTGTCTTAGTCCATTCAGGCTACTTTAACAAAATACAGTCAGCCTTCCATATCTGCAGGTTCTGCATGTGTGGATTCAATCAACTGTAGATGAGGAACCCGTGGATATGGAGGGCCGACTATATTACGCCATTTTATGTCAGGGACATTTTATGTAATTCCTGAGAATTTGGTATATGTGTGGGGGTGGGAGGGTGGGATATCCTTGATCCAATCCCCTGCAGGTACCAAGGGATAAACTGTACCTTAGATGGAGTAATTTGTAAATAATAAAAATTTATTTCTCACGGTTCTGTAGGCTGGAAATTTCAAGATCAAGGTGCCAGCAGATTCAGTGTCTGGTGAGGGTTGCTTTCTCTGTTTCAAAGATGGCTACTTTTTGCTGTGTCCTCACATGGCAGAAGGAGTAAACATGGTCTCTCATACCCTTTTGTAAGGGCCCTCTGATCCTATTCATGAGGGTAGTGCTCTCAAGACCTAATCATCTCCTAGAGTCCTCGCTTCTTAATACTATCACACTGGTGATTAAGTTTCAACATACTAATTTTGGAGGGAGACATTCAGACCATTGCATTGTTCTTAAACTACGAGTTGAGCTTTAAGTTTTAATTATTTTTAGTTGAGTAATTGTGCTTGATCTTTTTCCGATCTGCTCTGCTTTTTCCAGGATCCTTTTTCTTACAAGTTTTTTAAAACTTTTGTTCCTTTAAATATAATAAGCATTGTATTATAGAATTTGTGACTGATCATTCTAAGATTTAAAGTCTCAGATCTTTTATTTCTCCTGATTGTTGCTCATGGTGTCTTATTTTCTGTTTGTTTGGCTATAATGGAGGCCCCAAATGAAGGCTTCTGCTACTAAAGAGGATTTGTGTTTGCTTCAGTCAAAGAAAGAGAAAGTTGAATTAATTCTTTCAGCCTTCACTTTTGCCTTGGTAATTCCTTATGCCTTTTCAGCCATTTCATACTCTAAGATTTTAAAAAGTATTTTTTCTAGCTATTTTAGTTTTCTTAGTGGGAGGGTTAGTGTGAATAATCTACTATTACCATAAATTAAAAATCTTATCAAGTTTTACTAGGTTTTAATTTAATTCAGCTTTGCATTCTTTTAGATTCGCTCAGCTTATTTTGAGTTAGTCTCTGCATTGTGCCAGCGCATTCCACAGTTGATGAAAGAGGAAGCATCCAAAGTGAGCCCATCAGTTCTACTTAGCATTGATGACAGTGACCCAATTGTCTGCCCAGCTCTCTGGGAAGCTGTACTCTATACACTTACAACTATTGAGGTATGTAAGAGAGGCACATTTAGTACACTGAGGAATGAACCTATGAGATAAGAATATCCAAAACTTACTGGGAAAATGCTTTCTTGGAAATAAAATAATCTAAACTTGGCATAAATCTTAAAGTGACTAAAATGGCATAGAGTTTTTATTTTATTTTGTTTTGCCAGTATTAATTATTCTTTAAACCTTATGTGTCCTAGTGCAGTCACCATAACTGAATTTTATATTTAAGATGAAATATAATTAAGATTGAAATATAATTGTCCCTTTTAGAAAGCAGCTTTTATAGAAATAGAAGTTAAATAATTATTTCTAATCAATACTTTATTGTAAGCATGTCGAATATATGATCATTATATGTAATACATTTATAATTTCAGTTTTAGTTTTTAATGGTGGTGAAAGATTTTAGCTTTTTTTAGGTAAAATACTTGGTTTTTCTTTTTGAGAGCCTATATGTTTTCTCTTTTAATTGAGAAAAGTATGTTTATGATCTCTAATTACTACTATAATCTTTTGTTTGGTTAGGACTGTTGGCTTCATGTAAATGCAAAAAAGAGTGTGTTTCCCAAGCTATCAACTGTGATTCGTGAAGGTGGTCGGGGTCTAGCTACTGTCATATATCCTTACCTTCTGCCATTCATCAGCAAGCTCCCTCAGTCCATCACAAATCCAAAGTTGGATTTCTTCAAAAATTTCCTCACGTCTCTAGTTGCTGGGTAAGTAATTTAAATTTTTGATTTTTAAAACAAAACAGATTTTCTTGTTTTTATACTCATTTTCTTTCTTACTTAAATTTCTCCAAGTTGTTTTACTATTCATTAAATACTTTTAAAGTTTTCAGAGAATTACAATTGATATTTTTTTCTTGAGTACGTTCAAGACTTCAGTGGTAGCACACAGCAGGAAGTTAGATAAATAAGGTAAAGCTCCTTGTTGGAAATAGGTCAACTAGGCTATTTTTCAAATTAGCCATTTTTTTAACAGCAGAATGTGCTAACCAATTGCACCACAGACACATGTAGCCATTTTTTATTTTTTATGTTGATAAATACAAATGCCTAAATGCAGAAAATTAGCCAGTGAAATTTTTAAAACATCAACAACTTTAACTACTATAGATGTTTAAATTCACACTTAAAA
Organism: Homo sapiens; assembly: GCF_000001405.40. NCBI lineage: Eukaryota > Metazoa > Chordata > Mammalia > Primates > Hominidae > Homo > Homo sapiens. The sequence goes on along the minus strand of NW_025791813.1, from coordinate 60,861 downwards.
AAACTGTTTCAGTACATTTGTTGAACTTAGAAGATACATCATTTTATTAATGATTACAGATTTTTTTTACTACACCATTATCTTTATTTGGTTAATAAGTTATCTCGAATTTGCAGGTGGATTGGTCCATGAATAGAAAATTAATATCTCGGCTAGGCGTGGTGCCTCACAGCTGTAATCCTAGCACAGGCCAAAGTGGGAGGATTGCTTGAGGCCAGGAGTTCAAGACCAGCCTGGTCAAGATAGTAAGACCCTATTTCTAAAAAAAAAGAAGAAAAAGAAAAAGGAAATATTCTCTTATTTTTATTTTTTACTGATACATTTTTTGAAAAACTTTTTCAAAGTTTTTAAGTTCATATTCTCATTGGGCTATATGTATTTTCATTGGTATTTAATTTGTAGTTTAAGAAACTGCTTTAAAAATGTTTCTTCTGTCATGATGCCTTTTTGAGGTCTTTATTTTGATAATTCTGAGTTCTTGTTTCTTCTTCATGAAAGAGTAATCCAGTTATTAATTATTTCTTAGGCTGTCAACAGAGAGAACTAAAACCAGCTCTTTAGAGTCCTCGGCAGTAATATCTGCTTTTTTTGAATGCTTACGTTTTATAATGCAGCAAAACTTAGGTGAGGAAGAGATTGAACAGATGCTCGTCAATGATCAGGTATCTATAATGTAAAAGTCGTCAGTCTCTTTGCATACTGATTATGTAGGATCAAGCTCATTGTGTCTTGTTGCCATTTACAGTAATAAGCCTTCCTTGTAAAAATTTTATTTTTATAATTTACCAATTGAGTGATGTGTATTTCTGACCAGATAAGTAAAAATTCCATACTCTCAGTTGCTAGCATGGTATGATACCTAAGAAACTAATCAGTGTCTGGATGCAAAAATCCCTTTTTTTTTTGAGACAAAGTTTCGCTCTTTGTTGCCCAGGCTGGAGTACAATGACGCAATCTCAGCTCACTGCAACCTCTGCCTCCCGGGTTCAAGCTATTCTCCTGCCTCAGCCTCCCAAGTAGCTGGGATTACAGGCACCCGCCACCACACCCAGCTAATTTTTGTATTTTTAGTAGAGACGGCGTTTCACCATGTTGGCCAGGCTGGTCGAGAACTGCTGACCTCAGGTGATCTACCCGCCTCGGCTTCACAAAGTGCTGGGATTACAGGTGTGAGCCACCGCGCCCGGCCTGTAAAACCCTGTTTTAGAAAGATGTAGTGCAGGCTGGGCGTCGTGGCTCACGCCTGTAATCCCAGCACTTTGGAAGGCCGAGGTGGGTGGATCACCTGAGGTTGGGGGTTCAAGACCAGCCTGACCAACATGGAGAAACCCCATCTCTACTAAAAATACAAAATTAGCCAGGTGTGGTGGTGCATGCCTGTAATCCCAGCTACTCAGGAGGCTGGAGAATTGCTTGAACCTGGGAGGCAGAGGTTGCAGTGAGCCGAAATTGTGCCATTGCACTCCAGCCTGGTCAACAAGAGTGAAACTCCATCTCAGAAAAAAAAAAAGAAAGATGTAATGCAAAGCAGAATTTTGAAGTTGCTATTTATGATCTTTTGTAGTAAGTTTAAATAAATCATGAAGCAATCATCTTGTTAATTCTAAAATACTCAAATTATGCTTTGTGAAAGTTTGGCTTGGCTTTTAGAACCAGAGATGAGAGAAGGTTATGGAATATGGTTCTTTACAGTAGGAAATTAGTGAGATTATAGAAGCCCAGGTCTTAGGATGTCTCTACCCTTATTTTTGTAATTTAGGAAATAGGATTCCGCACTCTGTGGGTCCTAGGTATCTTTCATGTTGACTTATAGTCTCATATCTTAGATTTGCCTATAGTTAAGGCAGAAAAGCAAAACACTTAAATCCAGAAGATGCAAAGAAAACTAGATTGTTAATGACCAAGAATCCCAGTCAATTTTATCATGAAAAAGGAATAATTGAGGTGAAATCATTAAGCTCTTGTATGATATGAAAGGGATCTTTAGGTTAACTTTTTCAGAGTTCTAGGGGAAAATTTATGTTTTTCAGTTATTAAATATGAAATAGTGTTTTACAAATACTTTGTTTAAATTTTCTCTTGAAAATTGAACTTTTCAATTTTTTACCTTCTGTGAGTGGAAAAAACAATTTTTCCTCTATTCTCACATCATAGTAATCAACACAGAAGACTTCTGTGACCAAATATGTGGAGATTTCTCCCACCCAGCAAGCAGTCAGTTCTGCAGCAGATACCAGCTATGTGTCCTCCAATTCAATTCTGACTATCTACCTGGAGATAGTGTCAGATCTCACTGGCTTAGGACTCAGTCCCACAAGACCGCTCCCCACTTCTGATGCCAATCGCAAGCCCCAGGCTGTTTTACCTGGGCTTCTGACCAACCAGCTGTACATCTAAATCAGGGATCCCATGACCCCCTCCTGGGGTTTGCTTAATTTGCTAGACTGTCTCACAGAACTCAGAGAAACAATTTACCAGTTTATTATAAATGATATTACAAAGGATACAAATGAAGACATGCACACGGTGAGATACGGGAAGGGGTGAAGAACTTCCACTCCCTCCCTGGGTGCGCTACTCTCCAGGAACCTCCACATGTTCAGCTATCTGAAAGCTCCCTGAATGCTGTCTTTCTTGCGTTTTTATGGAGGCTTCATTACTAGGCATGAATGATTAAGTAATTGCCACTGGTGATCAGCTTAACCTTTAGCTACCTTTCTATCCCTGGAGGTTGGGGAGGTATTGAAAGTTCTAGCCCTTTAATCCTGCCTTGGTCTTTCTGGTGATCAGCCCCCATCCTGCTATACAGGTGCTGCCAGCCATCAATCAACCCATTAGCTTATGAAATGATATCACTTTGGAGATTCCAAGGATTTTAGAGTTGTGTGCCAGGAGATGGGGGTTGAAGACCAAATATATATTTTATGATATTCTACCTTTTCTTTCAGTTGATCCCTTTTATTGATGCAGTTCTCAAAGACCCAGGATTGCAACATGGGCAGCTATTTAACCATTTAGCAGAAACTCTAAGTTCCTGGGAAGCCAAAGCAGACACGGAAAAAGATGAAAAAACAGCTCACAACTTGGAGAACGTACTGATACATTTCTGGGAAAGACTGTCAGAGATCTGTGTTGCGAAAATCAGTGAGCCAGAAGCTGATGTTGAGTCCGTTTTGGGTGTATCTAACCTATTACAGGTGCTTCAGAAGCCGAAGAGCTCATTGAAGTCAAGTAAAAAAAAAAATGGTAAGGTTAGATTTGCTGATGAGATACTTGAAAGCAATAAAGAGAATGAAAAATGTGTATCTTCAGAAGGAGAGAAGATTGAAGGCTGGGAATTAACAACTGAACCTTCTCTCACTCATAATTCTTCAGGCCTTTTGTCTCCTCTAAGGAAAAAACCTTTGGAAGACTTAGTCTGTAAACTCGCAGATATAAGTATTAATTATGTCAATGAACGAAAGTCAGAGCAACATCTAAGGTTTCTTTCTACTCTGCTTGACTCCTTTTCTTCAAGCCGAGTATTTAAAATGCTACTTGGTGATGAAAAACAGAGTATTGTCCAAGCCAAACCTCTTGAAATAGCCAAGCTTGTACAAAAAAATCCTGCGGTGCAGTTTTTATACCAGAAACTGATAGGTTGGCTAAATGAAGATCAAAGGAAGGATTTTGGTTTCCTGGTGGACATTTTGTACAGTGCTCTCCGGTGCTGTGACAATGATATGGAAAGAAAAAAAGTCTTGGATGATCTAACCAAGGTATTCCTGTTGTATATCTTTTCAAACTATTTGAATAATAGATGAGTAGAATGAGCCTGCTTATTGTTTTCTGGTTGTTTCTTCACTGTGAGTGTCAATTTTAGGACAAGCAATATATTCTTGATCATGATTTGGGAAGTATCTAGGGCTGCTGGGTAGATGTTCAGCAGTACCAGGGTGACAAATACTTGTAATTAAAAGGTGAATTCTTTTAATCTATACATTTAAAAAGTTGGATAAGAACATTTTAGTTTTGTATTGGTTACATGGGTACTTCATTTACTTTTTAAAAGTTTTAGCTGGGCATGTTGGCGCATGCATGTAGTCCCAGCTACTCAGGAGGCTGAGGTGAGACATTGGCTTGAGCCCATGAGTTCTAGACTAGCCTGGGCAACATACAAAACCCCATCTCAAACAAAAAGTTGTTCTAGCAGATTGTTTCTAACTCTTTTTCTTTTTTCAGGTGGACTTGAAATGGAATTCTCTTCTTAAGATTATTGAAAAGGTATCTTAGGGATTTTTTTTTCTTTTTTTTTTTGTATTTATGGGAATAGAAATATTATAACCGTAGTCCTATTTACACAATAAATATGGTCAGATAGTCAGGTTCTGTGTTAGAGAACTTCCTCATTATTGTAACTTTCTTCCTATAATGTGGGAAGATATTTGTTCTTTTCCTTTCCTGTAGTAGTATTTTTCTGGTTAGTAATATTAGGGAAAAATGAACAGGCTCTGGAAAATCCAGTGTTTCTTTCCTAGAAGGTAACAAAGGCAGATTTAAACATTTTATTATCTTTTAATTAAAGCTACAACTTTCTGCTGTTATTCTAGTTACTTTTTCTACTGCAGAAATGGATTGGAGGTTCTAGCTTTGGGTAGAACACATGAGAAAATTAAGTTTTCTCTACTCTGGAACACTATGTAGGTAAATAAAAATCTTCCAGTCTTTGTGTGATTGCCACTGACTAAGAAAATTAGTGGTAAGAATAATGAAAAGAAATGAAAGAACATAAACAATTTACAAATTTTCAAAACGGCTTAAGTATTCTTTCCTAATGAGGATGTAAATGTTATAACTAACACTTTTCCAACTGTAGAGATGTTATGACTAGCTACCTGAAATTCTTACTCCTTTTTAAAGCATTTTCAAATTATTTTTCTGTTTTCATAGCTAACTCTTGAATTTGCAAGTTTTTTTCTATTTTTTAAATTGTAGTAAAAAAAACACATAGCATGAAATTTACCATCTTAACCATTTCTAAATGTACAGTTCAGTAGCATCAAGTATATTTACATCGTTGTGCAGTTTCCATAACTTAATTCATCTTGCAAAACTGAAACCCTGTATCCATTAAACAGTAACTCCCCATTTTCCCCATAGTTTTATTTTTACAAAATAAATACAGAATATTTATTATTTTTCAATGAGGAATATGACTTATCAGGCACACTATTTGCCTTAGTTTATCTAGTGCCTTCTCTCCCTGTAGCCAAGTTACATGAAGAGCTAAATTATCAGAAAGCTCCTTGATAAGCCTTGATTCAGAGCAGGGGGTGCAAATAATTTGATAAGAGTAGACTAATGTATCCATTTCCAACTTAGGAATGTACCTGCCGTGAAGTGCAAATACTCACATCTGTGTGGAAGAAAATCCTCTTCCTGAGCAGTGATTGGAAGTTCCTAGCCAGTGTTTGCTGCCTGCGCTTCCATGACTCACTAGCCTCCTCATCTCCTTACAGCTAGGCAGCTTCTTTCATTAGATATGTTCATACTGGCATATCTCAGAGACATCGTAAGTTCAGTTCCACACCACAGCAATAAAGCAAGTTACACAAGTATTTTGGATTGCCAGTGCATATAAAAGTTATGTGTACACTACAGTCTATTAAGTGTGCAATAACATTATATCTGAAAACCAATGTACATATCTTAATTTAAAATTAATTTATTGCTAAACAGTGCTAATGATCATCTCAGCCTTCAGCGAGTTGTAATCATTTTGCTGATGGAGAGTCTTGCCTCAATGTTCATGGCTGCTGACTGACCAGGGTGGTGGTATCTGAAGGCTGGAGTGGCTGTGACAATTTCTTAAAATAAGGACAATAGTGCAGTTTGCTGCATTGATTGACTCTTCCTTTCATGAAAGATTTCTCTGTAGCATATGATGCTGTTTGATAGCATTTTACCCAAAGAAGAACTTCTTTCAAAATTGGAGTCAATCCTTTCAAACCCTGCCACTGCTGTATCATCTAAGTTTATGTAATATTATAAATCCTTTGTGGTCATGTCAACAATGTTCACGGCATTTCACCAGGAGTAGATTCCACCTCAAGAAACCACTTTCTTATCTGTAAGAAGGAACTCCTCATCCATCCACATTTTATTATGATATTGCAGCATTTCAGTCACATCTTGAGGCTTCATGTCTCATTCTAGTTCTTTGCCTCTTTCCTCCACATCTGCAGTTGCTTCCTACACTAAAGTCTTGAACCTCTCAAAGTCATCCATGAGGGTTGGAATCAGCTTCTCAACTCCTATTAATGTTGCTATTTTAGCCTTTTCCCATGGTTCATGAATGTCTTAATGGCATCTAAAATGGTGAGTTTTTTCCAGAAGGTTTTCAGTGGACTTTGCCCAGATCCATCAGAGGAATCACTGTCTATGGCTGCTATAGCTTAATGAAATGTATTTCTTAAATATTAAGATTTGAAAGTTAAAATTACTCTGATTCATGGGCTGCAGAATGGATGTTGTGTTAGCAGGCATGAAAACAACATTAATTTCCTTGTACATCTCCATCAGAGGTCTTGGGTTACCCAGGTGCATTGTCAATGAGTAGTAATATTTCTACTTATTGTAGAATTTTTTTCTTTTTTTCCTTCGTTTTTCCAACAGTGGGCTTAAGATATTGAATAAACCACGCTATAAACGTGCTGTAATTTAGTCCTTGTTATTCCACTTATAGAGCACAGGCAAAGTAGATTTAGCATAAGGTTAAGAACCCTGGGATTTTTAAAATGAGAAATGAGCATTGGCTTCAACTTAAAGTTACCAGCTATATTAGCCCCTAACGAGAGTCAGCCAGTCCTTTGAAACTTGGAAGCCAGGCATTGACTTCTTGCTAGCTATGAGAGTCTTAGATGACATCTTCTTCTAATATGTGACTGTTTTACCTCCACTGAAAATCTGTTTAGTGTAGCCACCTTCATTATTGATCTTAGCTAGATCTTCTGTATAACATGCTGCAGCTTCTACATCAGCACTTGCTGCTTCACCTTGTACTTTTGTATTGTGGAGATGGTTTCTTCTTTTAAACCTCATGAACCACCCTTTGCTAGCGTCAGTCTTTTCTTGTGCAGCTTCCTCACCTCTCAGCCTTCATAGAATTAAAGAGAATTAGGGCCTTGCTCTGGATTCGGTTTTGGATTAAGGGAATGTTGTGGCTCGTTTGATCTTCTGTCTGGACCACTAAAACTTTGTCCATATCAGCAGTAAGTCTATGTCACTTTCTGTTACTCTTGGGCTCACAGGAGTGGCACTTTTAATTTCCTTCAATAACTTTTCCTTTGCATTCACAACTTGGCTGTTTGGCACAAGAGGCCTAGTTTTCCACCTGTCTTGGCTTTCAACATGCCTTCCTTGCTAAGCTTCATCATTTCCAGCTTTTGTTTTAGAGAGATGTGTGACTCTTCCTTCCACTTGAACATTTAGAGGCCATTGTAGTGTAATTAACTGGCCCAATTTCAGCATTGTTGTGTCTAAGGGAATAGGGATGCCTAAGGACAGAGAAGAGAGATTAGGGAATGGTCGGTCAGCGGGGCAGTCAGAACACACACACAATATTTGTTGATTAAGTTTGCCCTCTTATATGGCAATGGTTTGTGGCACCCCCAAACATTACAATCGTAACATCAAAAGTCACTGATTGCAGATCACTATAACAGACATAATAATGAAAAAGTTTGAAATATTGTGAGAATTACCAAAATGTGACACAGAGACACAAAATGAGCATATATTGTTGTAAAATGGTGCCAATAAACTTGCTCAATGCAGGGTTGCCACAAATCTTCAATTTTTAAAATTGCAGCATTTACAAAGCCCAGTAAATATTAAGCCCAATAAAACAAGGTATGCCTGTACATTATGTTGAATTTCTTATCTTGCTAACTCGAGAGGCATTTTATTCAGAAGTTTATTTTGTTTACCAGGATTCTGCAGAATAGATTGGTTTTACTTGGCAAACTACACTGGGAAAACAGGTATCACAGCCATCTAAACTCTAAAGTAGTTTTTCTTGTTTTATGGAACCTTAATACTTTATGAGCAGAGTCTTAAAATCATCTTTTTTTTTTGAGACAGAGGCTCACTGTGTTGCCCAGCAGGCTGGAGTGCAGTTGCAACATCTCGTCTCACTGCAACTTCTGCCTCCCGGGTTCAAGTGATTCTCCTGCCTCAGCCTCCCGAGTAGCTGGGATTATAGGCACCTGCCACTATGCCCAGCTAATATTTGAATTTTTAGTAGAGACAAGGTTTCACCGTGTTGGTTGGTCAGGCTGGTCTTAAAGTCATCTTTTAAAAAAACCATCAATTAAAAAACAGATTTGAGTTTTGGAACCAGAAAAGGACCTTAGAGATTTTCTAAGTTAATCTTTCCAACTTTCAAATTAGGAGATAGGCCCACGCTGATTAAAAGATTTGTCCAAGGTCATAGGCTAGTTAGTGATAAAGCTTGGACTAAAATATAAGCTCTGGTTACCTACAATTTTTAAATAAAAGGATAAAGTTTTCCAAGCACTACCCAATCTGCACTTGGATTTTTTTTTTTCTTCCAGATTGCTTTGAAATGAACCAAGTTGCAAATTCCTTACTTCTCAGCCCTTAAAGCAAAAGAAGCTCTGGGAACATGGATCAGCATGCTTTAGGGGTGGATTTACAGCTTTTTTTTTTCTTGCTTCCCCACCTCATGAAAATAAGTTGCTGTCAGATATCTGGCCCTAGTAACTCTATATCAGAGAATTTGGGGAAATAAATCCCATTGTTCATATTGAAGTAATTTACCATTATTATACACTAATTGTTCTTTAATTTTAGCAAAATTAATGAACAAAAATTTATAGAGCATTTATAAATCTATCTTCAAAGTTTATTCATTATTCATTGAACATATCTACAGTGTTGATAGCAGGTATCAAAGAAGTTTAAGACAGTCTCTACTCTCAAGGAACTTACAATCTCATTGGAAAGACAAGATATACACAGATGAAACATTTAAATAATTATACAATCCAGTAAGTGCTTTAGAAATTCAGAGAAAAGCAGTGATCATTGTGGGCTGGAGTGGATGGGGAGACTCCATAAAGTAGGTGGGATTTGTACTGATTTTCAAAGAATGGATGGGATTTTAAGTTAAAAAAAAAAGGGGGGGGTGGGGGAATATTTATGGCTGGGAAGGTAACAGCAAAGCGTGGAAGTGAACATCATACAGGCTTAATGGGGAACAGGGAGGATACCAGTCTTCCTAGAACTTCAGGAGGAGGAGGAGGGGGGATAGAATTGGAGCCATGATAACGAAGGGATAGTAATATGGTACAAGTAATATTTTGGACAGAGAGAGTATTTGATCTTGCTGTTAATCTTTGCTTTAATTTTATGGTTTTAGGCATGTCCTAGTTCAGATAAACATGCTTTAGTAACTCCTTGGCTCAAAGGCGATATCCTTGGTGAGAAATTGGTCAACTTGGCAGATTGTCTTTGTAATGAGGACTTGGAATCCAGGGTATCTTCAGAATCTCACTTCTCAGAAAGATGGACTCTTCTAAGCTTGGTATTATCCCAACATGTTAAAAATGGTAGGACAAATATGGCTTTTGTTTTCTAATGGGGAATAGTCCATTTCTCCTTTGTGGGGGATTGCATGGGGCTCAGCTTATGTGTTATTGGTTAAAAATAACAGGACTTACTCATTCAAATTTTTTTTTTTCTTTTCTTTTCTTTTTTCTTTTTTTTTTTGAGACTGAGTCTCCCTCTGTCGTCTAGGCTGGAGTGCAGTGGTGTGATCTTGGCTTACAACATCTGAGTTCAAGTGATTCTTGTGCCTCAGCTTCCCAAGTAGTTGGGACTACAGGTGCATGCCACCATGCCTGGCTAAATTTTATATTTTTAGTAGAGACGGGGTTTCGCTGTGTTGGCCAGGCTGGTCTCGAACTCCTCACCTCAGGTGATCTGTCTGCCTCAGCCTCCCAAAGTGCTGGGATTACAGGCGTGAGCCGCTGCGCCCAGCTCATTTACATATCGTAATATTGTAAGCACCCTAATTGTTTATTAATCTTCATACCATGACTTAGAAGATATTTAATATTTTTAGTTCTATATCCTAAAGGGTTTTTTTTTTTTAGCTCATAAAGTTGACTCATGACTTAAAGGGTTTTCAGTGTACAAACTTGCTCACCCTAACTGTAGACCATTTCTGTTTTCTACTTAATTTAAAACTGCCTTTTTTACTTGAGGGCCTTTATGTGTGAGAGAATGTGTTGATTTGTTGATAAAATTTTGTCTAATACATTTTAAAATCCAGGAAAGACCCATAGAATTATTAATCCAAAGTAAGATATTTAAAAATACACGTTAATATTTTTATTTTTTGTCTGTTTGAACCTTTTTTTCTCCAGATTACTTGATTGGAGACGTATATGTTGAAAGAATCATTGTTAGACTTCATGAAACTTTATTCAAAACAAAGAAATTATCAGAAGCTGAAAGCAGTGACTCATCAGTGTCTTTTATCTGTGATGTGGCCTATAACTATTTCAGCTCAGCGAAAGGATGCTTGCTAATGCCATCATCTGAAGATTTATTATTAACTCTCTTTCAGTTATGTGCTCAGAGCAAAGAAAAAACACATTTGCCAGGTAATAGCCTACTGCTCAAATGTTTTGTTGGGAATCTCCGGCTCTGACCTTCATAGTGAGTGTAAGTGCCCAGGCTTTATTAATTGAATTATAATGTGTTTGAAAGTTTAAAGCATTTTGAGTAAAGGGCTACAGTCTTAAACACTTTCAGCTCTAGAAAGCAAGTTAAAGATGTACGTAGATGTTATTTCTAAAGATCTCACTTGATATTCAAAGAAATTTGGAATGAGCCATAATTGATTAGGTGGAATCTTAGTCCATTCAGTAGTTCTGGCATGTTCCTTAATTTCTTGATGTCTTAGTTTCCTCATTTGTAAAAGGGGGATAATAATATCCCTTTATTATAGTAAAAACATTCAATCTTTGGTGTATATCAAAATAGAATTGAAATTATCTTTTTAAGGACTATATTCTTGCCTTATATGCTAATTCAGACTTATTTGTGAAAGGAACATAAAAAAATACTATCTATAGAGAGCTCTCCTCCTCCCACCCTTCATTCTTTCCTTTCTTTTTTTCTTTCCTTCTTCCTTCCTCTTTCTCTCTCTCTTTTTTTTCTGCCCATCATTGGCTACCAACCCTTTCTTAAATACTAACTTCTGTATTTGGAAATGGTGTAATAATTTTTTTAAAAATGTCTCCAAAAGGACAACTCTTGTAAATAAGTTCAAGCATAAAAAATGTAACTTTAAAAATCTTACCATTTTACATTTATATGATACGTGCTAGCTTGTATGATTGCATGTTTATGACACAGTTGCTTTGTTTGGCAATTGAATTTTGAATGGCAATTTAAAATTTTTCTTTTTTAAATGGTATTTAAAAAAATCTCAGATCTGTAGAGTTGTTTCAAACATTTTGTGCTGATGAGAGTTAATTCAGTGAGATTACAAATTCCTGTTGACATCTTGATTTTAGATTTTCTTATCTGTAAACTGAAAAATACTTGGCTCTCTGGTGTAAATTTATTGGTTCATCAAACTGACAGTTCATATAAAGAGAGTACCTTCCTACATTTGTCTGCTCTGTGGCTGAAGAACCAAGTTCAGGCTTCATCTTTGGATATCAACAGGTAACCTTTTTTGAGCTTGGTTTCAGTGTCTCTTTTATACTTGAACAGTGTCCTTAAATTAGATTCCATGATCAGTGTGAGTGCCTATGAAAAATGACTTGTAGGGCTCGTCCCTATAATCCCAGCTACTCAGTAGGCTGAGGTGGGAGGATCAGTTGAGACCTCCAGGAGTTTGAGACCAGCCTGAGCAACATAGTGAGATGCCATCTCTTAAAAAAAAGAGAAATGAAAAGTGACTTGTTAGGTAACAAATCTACAGGACTCTTATGAAAAGACCCAAACGAATTTTTCCAAAACCATTTTGTTTCAATGACCATCCATTTAAACTGCCAGTTAATTGAAGGATAATTTGCTATAACATACCTGCTGGACTCATAACTTATAGACAGTAAAGTGATGGTGATACTATCCTTTGTCATAGGCTGGTGTGCATTGTAGCCTCTCATGGTCACCACATGTACTGATTGTTCTTGGTTATTTATTTTTTGGGGACAGGTAGGCAGTGTTTTAAGATGTTGAATTGCAAGTATATTTTACCTCTCATACCTAAATCCATATAATAAAGGAGAAGAGAGAATGCATTTAGAGGATATTGGGTTTAGGTAAAATAGTGCTGCATTTCATAAGGTAGCTGTATTTCTGAAATACCTGGTCTGAAATAGGTCAGGTCCTCTTCATTCTGAGATAGATAGGAAGCAACACTAGATTTCAAATGATAAATATTGGATTACCTCCCCAGTTTGACTGTTATGTTGGTGTGTCATCGGTGGGGGAATGTCACTTACCTCTTTTTATTTTCATCATTTCTTTTTGTTCAGGTGAGCTATTATAGGGTATTTAATATGTATTGGGGTATTCAAACTAGTCATAGCGTAACTACAACAGTTAAGTTCTCTGCATTATTTTTAGTCTCCAAGTCCTCTTGTCTGCTGTTGATGATTTGCTAAATACACTTCTAGAGAGTGAAGATTCTTATCTTATGGGAGTTTATATTGGAAGTGTAATGCCGAACGACAGTGAATGGGAAAAGATGAGGCAGTCTCTTCCTATGCAGGTATTTTGGAAATTGAAGAGTACATATCTCATTCTGAAGTTTGGATTTCATGCAAGCTTGAATATTTTTATTTTGGGGAAGAAAAACATAAATAAAATGAGTATTTTGCTTTGCTTTGATGTCTTTGTATGCTCATATACTGGATGTTTGCTTTTTGCAAGACACCATTTGACAGTGGCAGTGGGCATGGTACAAAGACTTAGGACCTAGTTCTGTACTTAAGGAGTCTTAAAGAAATACACATGTTGATAATTTCCTGTAAAAGAAAACAAACTTCTAGGTTTCTGTGGTTTTGGTAATAAATATTCTCACAACTTCATTTTTGTTCAGTCTCAATTGCTTAGGTAATAAATAATTTTGTATATAACGTATTCTTTTCACAGTGGTTACATAGACCTCTTTTAGAGGGAAGATTGAGTTTGAATTATGAATGTTTCAAAACAGATTTTAAGGAACAGGACATAAAGACACTTCCCAGCCATTTGTGTACTTCAGCATTATTGAGCAAAATGGTCTTAATTGCACTGAGAAAGGAAACAGTCTTAGAAAATAATGAGCTTGAGAAAATAAGTAAGTATATATGAGTATTTACATATAACATAATGCATGAATGAATATAATTTTGAAATAATCTTGATTATACTGCAGTTTAAATCTTTAATTCAAGAATCTTCAGCTTTCTTTTTCCTATTTTAATGATGAGAACCTTGAAGTTACTTAAGTGGTGAATGTGAAATTGCAAATTAGATACGAATATATTGGAATCTTGCTATAATCTTGTTAACTGTGGATCGTAATTTGGTGTTAGCTACTCAGGCTGTCATGACATCAATGTAAACAGATCCTGTGGCACATACCCTAAAGAAAATGGGTGAGGCTTTGGTGTTTTATCAAGGATTCAGAATTTTCTGTTGATTAAAAAAAAATTGATACCTGATAATTTTACATATTTATGGGGTACATGTGATATTTTGATATATACATAGAATGTGTAGTGATCAAATCAGGCTAAGCAGGATATCCATCACCTCAAACATTTATCATTTCTTTGTGTTGAGAACATTTCAAATCTTCTAGTTATTTTGCAATATAAATCATTGTTAACTATGGTCATCCTACTGTGTTATTGAATACTAGGTCATATATCTTCTCTCTCACTGTATTTTGGTACCCATTCACCGACCTCTCTTCATCCCCTGCTCTCCCTGACCCTTCTCAGGGTAACCATCAGTCTACTATACTATTCTATCTTCATGAGATCCACTTTTTTAGCTCCCATATACAAATTAGAACATGTGATGTTTGTCTTTCCGTGCATGGTTTATTTCATTTAGCATGATGATGTCCAGTTTCATCCATGTTGCTGCAAATGACAGTATTTCATTCCTTTTTTTTTTTTTTTTTTTTTTGAGACAGAGTCTCGCTCTGTTGCCCAGGCTTGAGTGCAGTGGCGCAATCTCGGCTCACCACAACCTCTGCTTCCCAGGTTCAAGTGATTCTCCTGCCTCAACCTCCCAAGTAGATGGGACTACAGGCGCACACCACCATGCCCAGCTAATTTTTGTATTTTTGGTAGAGACGGGGTTTCACTATGTTGGCCAGGCTGGTCTTGAACTCCTGACCTCGTGATCCGCCCGTCTCAGCCTCCCAAAGTGCTGGGATTATAGAAGTGAGCTACCGTGCCTGGCCTCATTCTTTTTTTAATGGCTGAATAGTATTCCATTGTGCATATGTACCACATTTTATATATCCATTCATTCACTGATGGACACTTAGGTTGATTTCATATCTCAGCTATTGTGAATAGTGCTGCAGCAAATATAGGGGTGCAGATATACCTTTGATATACTGGTTTTCTAAATATTCAATGGGATTGCTGGATTGTGTGATAGTTCTATTTTTAGTTTTTTGAAATACTTCCATATCGTTTTCCAAAATGGCTGTACTAATTTGCATTCCTACCAATAGTATATAAGTTCCTATTTCTCTGCATTCTTGCCAGCATTTGTTATTTTTTGTCTTTGTTTTTTTAGAGATGGGGTGTTACTATGTTGCCCAGACAGGTCTTTATCCTGGGCTCAAGCAATCCTCTTGCCTCAGCCTCCCAAAGTGCTGCGATTACAAGCAGTGCCACCATTCCCAGCTTATTTCTTACCTTTTTGACAAGAGGCATTCTAACTGGGGTTTTGATTTGCATTTCCCTGATGATTACTAATATTGAGCATGGGATTTTTTTTTCCTTTCTTGCCGTTGAGTTGTTTGAGTTCCTTATATATTCCTTATGTTAGCCCCTTGTTGGATGAATAGTTTGCAAATATTTTCTCCCATTCTACAGATTGTCTCTTCACTTTGTTGATTGTTTCTTTTGCTGTGCAGAAAGCTTTTAGTTTAACATAGTCCTATTTGCCTGTTTTTGTTGCCTTCGCTTTTGAAGTCTTAGCCATAAAAATATTTGCCTAGACCAATGTCCTATAGCGTTCCTTGATGCTTTCTAGTTGTTTTATATAGTTTCAGTTCTTAGGTTTAAGTCTCTAATCCATTTTGAGTTGATCTTTTTAGATGGTGAGAGATAGAGGTCTGTTTTCACTTTTCTACATATGAATATTCAGTTTTCCTAGCACAATTTCTTGAAGAGGATGTCCTTTCCCCAATATATGTTCTTGGCATTTTTGTTGAAGACTTTGTCAATTGCCTGCAAATATGTGGATTTATTTCTGGGTTCTCTAGTTCTGTTCCATTGGTCTGTGTGTGTCTGTTTTTATACAAATACCATGCTGTTTTGATTCCAATGGTTTTGAATACTTTTGTATTTCATCGGGCTCTAATTTTTTTTCTGGCAAGTGGACGTTCAAATGTTGAACCCTAAGAGGACTTAGGGCCTCAGCAAATTTCCCTGTTTCAACAAATGGTTTAGAATTATAGGTGGTGGAGTGACTTTTACAAGATGGTATTAAAGGTAGAGAATTTGCAGAAACCCTGTATCAGTCTTGTTTGTAAGCCCTCAGCTGTAACACAGTTACTAGAAGGGGGAATATATGCTCTGTGGAAGAAAGTTGAAACACCTCTTTTGGGCAGCCACCTTCACATTTAGTTAAGGGAAAGGAAACAAGCCTGTAGTTTAACATTGCTCACAGGGTGAATCTGTGCAAATCCAAAACTAGTAAGTAGAGTAATAATTTTTTGTGTTACTAATTACAAATTGGCAATATTATTTCTTTAATTTTATCGAGCTCATTAGTCAGATATTATTGTTGTTTTTGTTACCATGACTTGATTAGAGCTGCTTAGCTGGTAAGTGTAGGATTAGATTTTGAACCAGGTCACAATGCTTCTGACTCCAAAAGCTATACATGGCTTTATAAAAGGGAGCTGTGACTGTGTATTAGAAACCTATGATATACCAGGCTTTATGATAGATACTTGGCCATTTAATTATCACAGCAGTCCTGTGAGGTAGTTCGTAGTATCCTAATTGATAACTATTTATATAGCTTGAGAGAGAGATGCAGATTTGAATCCACCCCAATCTGTAATTGAGGCCTCATGTCCTTTTACTGTATCATACTGTCTCCCATTTCTCCCATTTGCCATGAACTTCTCACCTCAGGTCTTGGGTCCCTTAGTTGTTTTTCCTGTCTGGAACTTTTTACCAATTGTGCCAAAATGGTAGGAAGATTCTTTCAGTATCTCTAGTAACTTAGGTTCTTGTCACATTCTTAACTAATTAGAAAAAGGACCAAGTAGAATTTGGGAAAAGGGTGGTATTTTGTATCAGACATATATTCTCAGTTTTCATTGTCCTTGAACATCTCAAAGCAGATTTGAAAAATCAGTTCATAGGAGTTTTGAGATGAGTGGGCACAACAGTGTTAGAAAACAAGGTGGAGAAGTGAAAGTAATTGAAGGGTTTGTTCACAGAGTGCTTTTCATAATTTGGTGCTGTCTCTTCTTTTAGTTGCAGAACTGCTTTATTCACTGCAGTGGTGTGAAGAATTAGATAACCCACCTATTTTTCTAATTGGATTTTGTGAAATACTTCAAAAAATGAATATTACGTATGATAACTTACGTGTACTTGGTAATACGTCGGGCCTTTTGCAGCTGTTATTTAACAGGTAAGAATCTCTTTCAATTTGTTTTTAAAATGACTATGCTACTTCTTTATGGCTTTGCCTTCTGTAAGAGGTAACCCTACTGCATGCTAATGTTTCAGTCAGAGGATTGATCTAAATAATTCCTATTCTTAATAATAAATAGTTTATGAATTCTAAATACTTGATTTAACCTTCTCAGGGGAAGATATTTGTATTCTGCCTGTCTTATTAAATCCATAAATACATACAAGGGTCAGATGACAAAAAAGAAGTAGAAGCTTGTAGAAGTTGTTTTGATTTATCTGTGACTCATCCTCCCAGTGCTCTCAGATTCATCCTTTATCTTACATGTTGTTATAGGTGTGTCTTAATGTTATGACCACAAAGCCCTCTCCCCTAGATTAGGAAGGCAGGTATGAAAACAGTCCTTGTAGAGGTTGTAGTAGTAAGATGTTTAGCTTTTTGAAATTACTGTATTGAACTGCTTTCTTTTTAGGAGTTTATCACTTGCCGATAGTATTTTGAGTATGCTTTGCTGTATCAGAGGACCCAGGCTTCCTTTCCAATCGCATTCTACTTAGTTGACACAACTTTCCTCAGAACCAAAGAACCTCTTTGATTGTTCAACTTAAGCCTGCCTAGGTGTCCTCTGGGAGATGTCTTTTTCCCAGCTACAGCCTCTGGTCTTCAAGCCTAATCTCTAAGATCATCTCCCCTATTGGGACTGAAGAGACTGTGGAGTTGCCTAGGGATGAGAGAGCTCAATACCAGCCTTGAAGGAGTGTTGAAAGCCGAAACTCTCAGCTCTTTGGATAATTACTGGCAGTTGCTTGGGTGCAAAGTCTTAGGTGAATTGATGCCATCACAAGGTGCTTTATTTAATTCTGTAAAAGGAATCCAGCTAGCCAGTGTTTAAACATTTTATTCAGTATGCTTTCAAAACGGAATATAATTTTTTTCTTTCCTTTTTCAGGTCCAGAGAACATGGCACACTGTGGTCTCTTATTATTGCTAAGTTGATCCTTTCCCGAAGCATTTCATCTGATGAAGTAAAACCACATTATAAGAGAAAAGAAAGGTATTCTTATTTAAAATGTTTTTACTTTGTAGTTTACTGTAATCGGTCACTTTGGCAACCCCTAATTAATGAATAATTTCTAATGAATCAAGAAAACAGGTTTAGGAAATGAGGAAATTAACGACTTCAAGGCAAATTAAATTGTTTTAGGTTAGGGACATACCTTTGAATTTATTTATTTATTTATTTTGAGACAGGGTCTCACTCTGTTGCCCAGGCTGGAGTTCAGTGATGCGAACATGGCTCACTGTACCCTCAACCTCCTGTGGTCAAGTGATCCTCCCACCACACCCTCCTGAGTAACTGGGACCACAGGTGTGCACTACCACACCTGGCTAATTTTTTAATTTTGTAGGGATGGTGTCTTGCCAGGTTGCCCAGGCTGGTCTTGAATTCCTGGGCTCAAGCAGTCCTGCTGCCTCAGCCTCCCAAAGGCCTGGAATTACAGGTGTGAGCCACCATGTCTGGCCGACACCTTTTTTTTAAAGTAAATAGTTTTAACTCTATAGCCTTTTGTTGTAGAATTTTATACTGTACTTTTTTTTTTAAGCCAACAGCATTTCATGAACTTGTTTTCTTTTCCCCAGAAATCTCTCTGATAGAAATCTTTTCTTTTGCCCTTTCCTAATACTCTTTTTCCATCACTTTATTTGCTATATGGAAGTGATAGGGAAAGTTACTCTTCTCTTAAATAACATCATCCTATTGAAATATATTCTAGAAATGTAACAAATGTGTCTGTTCTTAAGACAAAGAAGTAGATTGTGGGTTTGGGTGTGCTGGTGAAGCTCAGCATTCAAATTAATACTTAGCTGAGATTTACCAAGAGGCATTTTGAATTTACTGATTTACCAAGAAGAATTCTGAAATGATAGATACATGTTCTGGCATAGTAGAATTCTAAATTAAATTTTGACTGTTTTTTATCTTAAAAGTTTTAAAAAACTTTTTATTTTGAGGTAATTGTAGATTCACATGAATGTGTAAGAAGTAATACAAAGAATAAATCATACATCTACCCAGTGGTACTGTTTTGCATAACTTTAGCATAGTATTACAACCAAGGAAAAGGCATTGATACAGTCAGTTGACTTAGTTTACATGCACATGTTTGTGTATGTTTGTGTGTGTGAGAGACAGAGTGTGCGTGTGTTCTGTGTAGCTCACATCTGTGACCACCACCACAGTCAAGTCCAGAACAGTTTCATTATCAGGATCCCTTGCGTTATCCATATATAGCCTCAGCCACCTCCCTTCCCCTTCCCATTGTCCTAATCTCTAGCAACCACTAATCTGTTCTCTCTCTTTGTAATTATGTCATTTAAGAATATTTTATAAATGGAATTTGCCAGGTGTGGAGGCTTATGCCTGTAATCCCAGCACTTTGGAAGGCCAAAGTGAGAGGACAGCTTGAGCCCAGGAGTTCGAGACCAGCCTGGGCAACATGGCGAAACATCTCTACAAAAAAATACAAAAATTAGCTAGGTGTGGTGGTGTGCACCTGTAGTTGCAGCTACTCAGGAGGCTGAGGTGGGAGGATCACTTGAGCTCAGGAGGTGGAGGTTGCAGTGAGCAGAGATCACGCCACTGCACTCCAGCCTGGGCAACAGAGTGAGACCCAGTCTCAAAACAAGACAAAAAATGATATTATATAAATGGAATCATACTGTATGTAACTTTTTGACATTAGCTTTTTTAGCATAATTAACATTTTTTTCTGATTATAAAAGTAATACGGAATTAGCTAAAGAACTATTGGAACTAATTACTAAGGAGATGGATGTATATTTACCACACAAAAATGAATAGCTTTCTTATTTACCCATAGTAATCAATTTAAAAAATGGTATGGGAGAAAAAGAAGATTCCATTCACAATGATAACAAAAACTATAAATACTTAGAAATAAACTTAACAAAAAATTACAATTATAAAACTTGAATAAAGATCACAAAAGAAGGTGGGAAGATAAATTGTAAAAATGATTGTGTCAATCTATAATTTCAGTGCGATCTCAATCAAAATTTCAGCAGTTTTTGAAAAACTTAGTAAACTGTTCTGAACATAGTATACATTTGAAGGAAAAAGTTCTCAAAAATAAGAAATTTTTGAAAAAAGTGAAAGAGACTGCATGCCAAATATAACATATATTATTGAATTATAGTAATTAAGCAGTATGAAATTGAAGAGTAGACAAATCAGTGGATACAGTCCAGAAACCTATCCACACATAAATGTGAATTTAGTTTTTAATATAGGTGGCATTTCAAATCACTGTGGTGAGTAAATAATAATGATGGGAAAATTGGTTGTGTGTTTGGAAGAAAAATACTGAGACCTTCTCCTTTACATTTTATGTAAATATATATATATTTGATTCTGTAAAAATGAAAACTTGCAACCTAAGTGCCCATCAGTGGATAAATGGATAAATAAAAGTGTGGTATAACCATATAATGGGATATTATTCAGCCTTAAAAGGGAAAGAAATTCTGACATGCTACATACAGTCTGTATGAACCTTGAGGACATTATGCTGAGTGAAATAAGCCAGTTACAAAAAGACAGATACTCTATGATTCCTTCTGTAGAGTAGTCAGATTCATAGGGATAGAAAGTAGAAGGTGGTTGCCTGGGGCCGAGGGTGAGAGAGGAATGGAGCATTCGTGTTAGTGGGTAGAGTTTCAGTTTTGCAGAATGAAGAGTTCTGGAGATTAGTTGCACAATAGTGTGAATGTACTTAACACTGCAGAACTCTACACTTTAAAATGGCTAATACATTAATTTTATGTGTATTTTATGACAGTTAAAATTTTTTATATAGTATTTCTGAAAGATGAAAACTGCGACAAAATATAAAGATTACAGGGACAAATGACAAAATGGGAGATGACATTTGCAAATCAACAAAAAACTATCTACATATAGTTTATATAAATCAGTAAAACCCTCCAAATTGGAAAATTTATCAAAGACTTAAAGAGGCAATTCATAGATGAAATGGTCAAAGGTAGCTCAATACTGAAATGTGAAATATGAAAGGATTTGCCTTACTAATAATGACAGAAGTACAAATTAAGAGCAATGGTTTTATCCACTATATTGCCGAGAATCAAAAAGATTCATTAAATGTGCAGCTAAACAGTCACACCTGTGCATATTTGGTGAAAGTATAAGTTGATTATGTGTTTTCAGAAGCAATTTGAGATCACCAACATATAATACATTCAAATCCTTTGAGCTTTCAATTCCACTTCTAGGAATTTAGCCTAAAGAGGTGTTTATACATACACAGAATAGTATCTTCTTAAGGATATTTATTGCAGCATTATGTGTGACAGCAAAAATTTGGGGAGGGGAGAAACCTAAATGTTCACTGATAGGGAAATAGTTAAATAATGATACCTCCATAGTATGGAGTGTTAGGTAGATTTTGTTCATTTTTGTTACGTAGCTTTAAAACAGAATAATTTATATGTTCTGACAGAAAGTATATGTAAGTGGTAAATGATAGAACAATATGTTTAGTGTCATCCTTTTTATGTGAATAAAACCCAACTATATATATGCACAAATACGAATATCAGTTCAAAGAAAGGACACACAGGCCTGGAATCCCAGCACTTTGGGAGGCCAAGATGGCTGCATCACCTGAGGTCAGGAGTTCGCGACCAGCCTGACTAACATGGTAAAACCCCATCTCCACTAAATGAAAAAAAAAAGTTAGCCAGACATGGTGGTGCATGCCTGTAATCCGAGCTATTTGGGAGGCTGAGACAGGAGAATCACTTGCACCTGGGAGGCAGAGGTTGCAATGAGCTGAGATCGTGCATTGCACCCCAGCCTGGGCAACAAGAGTGAAACTCCGTCTCAAAAAAAAAAAAAAAAAGAAAGAAAAGAAAGGACACACAACTGGTACTATTTATTTAAGTTGAATCAATTGACTCTATTTTTTTTTTTTTTTTTTTGAAACAGAGTTTTGCTTTATCACCAGGGCTGGAGTGCAGGGGCCCAATCTCAAGCTACTGGAACCTTTGCCTCCCAGGGGCAAGTGATTTTCCTGCCTCAGCCTCCTGAGTAGCTGGGATTACAGGTGCCTGCCACCACACCCGGCTGATTTTTTGTATATTTAGTAGAGATGGGGTATCACTATGTTCGCCAGGCTGGTCTCAAACGCCTGACCTCATGATCTGCCCTCCTCAGCCTCCCAAAGTGTTGGGATTACAGGCATTAGCCACCGCACCCCGCAATTGACTCTTTTTTTTTTTTAAAAGAGGACATAATGTCATGTGGCTAGTATAATTTTAAAAAATCATATATGGGGAAAAGTTATATATGCTCATTTAAAAAATTTATGCAGAAAAGAGAAAAGGAGCAAAAAAAACCAATTTCATCAAGTCAGCACTTGTTAAATCTATCATAGTTTCTTTTTATGTAATTATATGTGATAGAATTATTCATCTATCTTTTTCAGTAGTCTAAATAAAAGAAATATATAAAATAACTGTATGTTTGGAAGAAATCTAACTTGTGTTTTTTTTTTCTTTAAACAGTTTTTTTCCACTAACTGAAGGCAATTTGCATACCATTCAAAGTCTATGTCCATTTTTGTCAAAAGAAGAAAAGAAAGAATTTAGTGCTCAATGTATACCTGCTCTTTTGGGCTGGACTAAGAAAGATCTTTGCAGCACTAATGGTTAGTTGCTTGATAATAAATATTTCATTAATTTAATTATTGCTTGAGATGAAGAACTGTTTCTAATATATAAGACCACATCTAGCAGAGGTAAATTGAATTACAGCTGATTTGTTCTGAGATTATATGGATGAGTGTTGTTAGACAGTGGCTGTTACCATTTTACAGTACAAAAATGCTGGGCCTTAAGGGAAGACTTACGCCCAGAAATACCTTCTAACCATTTCTTTTCTATCTATAGCTTTTTAAAGCTGTGCCTCATTTCTCCCTAGCCAATCAATGATTGAACATATAAAGGCAAAAATAGCGTCTGTTGTATTTAAAACACTGCACTTTTCATTTGTTTATTAATTTAATAAACATTTATGAGCACCTGCTACATGGTAGTTCCTATTGTAGAGAAGACAAACATAAAGTTGTATTATGTGATAACCGATGTAGCAAAAAGATGTGCTATGTATAGAAGTGGCAGAAAGGAAGGAGTTTCCACTCTGCTTTGAGGGTGTTAGTGGCAATTTCACAAAGAGAAATATTTCTACTGGGTGTTGAAGGATAAATAGTTTTCCATATGGACATAGTTGGGGAAGGGCATTCCAGGTACACAAAAACATACAAGGGTACAGATTGTTCATTTTGGCTGGTATGTAAGATAGAAGGTTGGGGACAGAGGGTGTTAAGATACACCAGTGGATGGATTTTGAGGAATGGTAGAGATTCTAAAGAGTGAGTCCACATCAGAGTTTACCACATGTACTAGCTGCTATTGAGTGAATGAATGTATAAATTATGAAACAGTATGTTCTATTTTCCATTTGCTGTTTCCAGCTACTCTGTAGCTGTAGGGTTTTTTTTATTTGAATGATGAGTTTGCTGAATATGTCCTGCACTTAAGAAACCAAAACAAAAACAGCATAAGTCAGTTTAAATTACAGCATCATTCACTCTTTCTCCTCCCCCAAATTCTCTATTGTGTGCTAGGTGCTGGGTTTGGAGACAGGGTCTCTGCCCTTTGGAGCTTATAAGCTCATTTGTTGACTCTTAGATAAAAGTCATTATTAGAGTTCTTAACCTGAACACTTCTCAAGAAAGTCTTTTACTTCTCAAAGTGGACTTTTTTTTAATAGTAGCGATATAGTTCTTAAATATTTTTAATTTTCATTTTGAATTTTACTTTAGGAGGTTTTGGACATCTTGCCATTTTCAATTCTTGTCTGCAAACCAAAAGTATAGATGATGGAGAGCTATTACATGGAATATTAAAAATCATAATATCCTGGAAGAAAGAGCATGAAGATATTTTTCTTTTCAGTTGGTAGGTGATACTTTATACTATGTTTTTCCTTCAGTATACAATTCAGACAAAGATTACGTATCTGTGTCACAATTTTGTAGAGAAATTATGGTAGACATTTAAGTCAGTTATAAATAAGTATGTAAGATTTAAAGTAGCATACTTTCTAATTGAATGTCAATATAATCTTTTATTGTCTTTTGTTTTTATCTTTATCACAGTAATCTATCAGAAGCAAGTCCAGAGGTACTGGGTGTAAATATAGAAATAATCCGGTTTCTTTCCCTATTTCTGAAATACTGCTCATCCCCTTTGGCAGAGAGTGAGTGGGACTTCATCATGTGCTCCATGTTGGCTTGGTTGGAGGTAAATTAACCCGATATGTCATCACCTCTTGTGGGTTTTTGTACATACTTTTGCATCAGAACTATTTACTAATCTCATTCTTTAAGTGATGATTGTAATTGGTTCCTTTGTATAATTTAAAACACTTTATAGATGTTCTTCTTACCAGCTACTATTTGACAGAATAGTAAAATGATAGATTTTTAATGACTACCAGCATCATTCAGTGACCAAATCTCCTGTTATTAAAATGCCTTCTCCATTAGCTTATTGTAATATTTGCAGCACAGCCCTTTCAGGTTTTATCTGTTAATGACAATTATTTTGGTCTTTTTTGGTTATAATTAGATTATTTCTAAAACATACTGTGTGAATATTGTGAGAGTAATGCATTAAATAGTAGCAGATTCAGAGGGAATTAGTGTAATTTTTGACCCAAAGCAACCAGAGGTATATTACTTGTGGGCTCCAAGGCAGCAAGTCAGTCAGGGTTGGATTGGTCTGAATCTCTGCTTTGCCTGCTATTAGCTATGTGACTTAGAGTTTTAAACTTAAACTATTTGAGACTCAGTTTTCTTTCTTTCTTTCTTTCTTTTTTTTTAAATTTGAGATAGAATCTCGCTCTGTTGCTTAGGCTGGAGTGCAATGGTGCGATCTTGGCTCACTGCAACCTCCGCCTTCTGGGTTCAAGCAATTCTTGTGCCTCAGCCTCTCAAATAGCAGGATTACAGATGCCCACCAGCATGCACGACTAATTTTTATATTTTTGGTAGAGATGCGGTTTCACCATTTTGGCCAGGCTGGTCTCAAACTCCTGCCCTCATGTGATCCACTTGCCTCAGCCTCCCAAAGTGTTGGGATTACAGGCATGAGCCACTGTGCCTGGCCGATTTTCTTATTTTAAAATAATAACTTACAACTTGTAGGGCTACTGAGAAGATTATAAATGTGTATTTAATGTGTCTGACTTAGTGTTTCCTTCCATGGGTTAGAAATTAAAAAGGGTACTTGAGAATAAATTGTTTATTAATGATTCTATTCATGGTATTTAATTTTGAAGAAAAAAGTTATTTTGATGTAAAATTTTATGTTTCTCCTGAGATTACACACCTCAACTGCTTTTCGTTTTAAAATTCAAAGAAATGAAAGTGGGGCTTTTCTTTATATTGGCTTTATTTGTAGTGTTCTGGTAGAAGTCTGTTTACCTATTTCATTTTTATTGTTTTTTCAGACAACAAGTGAGAATCAGGCATTGTATTCTATTCCACTTGTGCAACTGTTTGCCTGTGTCAGCTGTGATTTGGCCTGTGACCTCAGTGCTTTCTTTGATTCCACAACTCTGGATACCATTGGCAATCTTCCTGTAAATCTAATCAGTGAATGGAAAGAATTTTTTTCCCAAGGCATCCACAGTTTGCTTTTACCTATTTTGGTGACTGTTACAGGCAAGTGAAAAAGGGAATAATAGTGAGATTGATTCATTGGAAATGACTTACTGAAAAATTCAAAAGCAAAAATTTTGATGTTTAAATCAAATAATACTAAATAGTAAAAGAAAAAGCCAGAAGAGAAAGCTTGGCTTCTCAGAAGCATCATCTATGCTTTACTTTACAGACAGAAATTGAAAAATGGCAAGGTATCCAATGACTGTTGCAAATTAAAATAATAATACTTCAGATAACATGAATGGATGATGTGAATAGAACCTTGCTATTGAACATTTGCTGGATCAGATAAAAGTCATTAAAACAGTTGAGATTAACTGGAATATATATTCAGTTCATGTTTCTAGTTAAGACTGCTTTATTGTTTATGTCTAGTTTTTATTTCATTTTCTTAAATGACATTTGATTGTTTGTGAATCATTTAAGCTATACTAACTTTCTTTTGAGACGTGCATGTTTCTTTCCTTTTTGTCATTAGGAGAAAACAAAGATGTGTCTGAAACATCCTTTCAGAATGCAATGCTGAAACCCATGTGTGAAACATTAACGTATATCTCAAAGGAACAGCTATTGAGTCACAAACTTCCTGCAAGATTAGTTGCTGACCAAAAAACAAACTTACCAGAATATCTCCAGACTTTGTTAAATACATTGGCCCCATTACTCCTCTTCAGAGCTAGGCCTGTGCAAATTGCTGTTTATCATATGCTATACAAGTAAGAATTCATCCAATTGAATCAATGTTACAGTGGTCTAAAAAAATAGAATATATGCTTAGTTTTTACTTTTAATTATTTAAAGTAAAATTTTTAAAAGAAGGAGATCTGACTGCTTCACTTATAGGGACCCTAAGTTGCCTCATCTTTTAGGTTATTGTTCTCTATACACAATTTATATTTCAATAGTCCTGGCTATAGTAGTTATTTTAAAGAAAACTCATTAAAACATTTACTCATTATAAAATAAGTATTGGTCTTTCTGCTCTTGAGCACGACTTAATAAACAGTTTAATATCACATATTTAAAAATAATGTTCTAATTTCTAGATTGATGCCTGAATTACCACAGTATGATCAGGATAATCTAAAGTCATACGGAGATGAAGAAGAAGAGCCAGCCTTGTAAGGTTTTTTTAAATAATTTGTTTTATTAAATTCTTATAATCCATCTCACTTATAATGTCTTTAGAGGACTGAAGCAGCACAGAAGCTATAGAGTTATATTCATTCTACAGATAGATCTTTTTAGTTATCTGTAAGATATAAATGAAATATAGATTTCACCCAAAAGATTGTGTCACTCTCTTAATTGTTCTTAAATCACATTTTCCGTTTGCTACTGTTCAGTAAAACTATCTTTGGCCATATGGTGGCTGTGGAAAGAGTGTATCGGTTCAAGTATCTATTGAGCATCCACTTTGTGCAGAGTATTAATTAAATGCTGAGGGGAATATGCAGTGTTTAGTGAGCACTTTCTTTTCCTTAAGGAATTTATCTGATACAGATGATACTGTAGCGTTATGGAAAATATAGTATATGATAAGTGCTAAGAAAAAGGATAGATAACTTTTTTTTAAAGGTCAGTTAGGCCTATATAAGATAGCATGTATGAGGGCACAATTAATGTACATCAGGAAGGGAAGACTTTCTTTTGAGGAAGAGGCATTTAAACTGGACCTTTAAGGTTAGGTAGCATTTCTGCAGGACAGGAAAGACAACATAAGTTAAGAGAACATCATGTACAAAGGCACTGAGTCATGAATGTGAGGATGTGCTTGGGGAATATTGAGTAGTTACCACTTAATGTATAGTTTTATTGATAATATCTTTCTTTACTGGAATGTAAGTTCTGTGAGGGCAGGAATTTCTCTCTCTTATTTCTGAGAGAGAAATAGGCTAGAATGCTGTAGGCCAGAATGCTTCCTGGCCTATAATAAATGGCCTTAAAAATGACTTTTTTGGGGGGATTTGGTCATTACTTGGTAGGAGATAGGGCGCCACCAGCCGATTCTGACACTAATGTGAAACATGAATTGTAAAAAGAAGCAAGCAGAGGTGGAGCTGATTGCAGAAGTTAAATAACAATGCATGGAGGGCAATGTGAAAAGTGGAGAGATTTTGGAGCTGGTATTTTATAAGATCTAGTGACTATCAGTATGGAATATAGAAGGCTGGGTACATGAGATGGAGGTGTTGAAGGAAAAGACCTAAGAGCAGAAGTTTGGAGAAGGCCTGTACTTGTGGGCTGGGAGAAGGAAGCCACAAGGGAAGAACGATCACAGAAGTGAAAGGAGAGAACCAGGCTAGAGTATCATGGAGAAGAGAGTTAAGTATTTTACTTTTTGAGAATCTCATAAGTTCACCTGAAAGTATAAATGAGTAGAGTAGTTCAATAAAGAAGAAAATTAACTTACATTGTTGTGAATTAATCTGAATGGTACATTTATTTTCCTAAAAAGATTACAATCATGATTTTTTAAACAGGCACATAATTATTTTCTGTGTTTATCCGATTAATAGTATCATTGTGATATTTCTTAATAGTACTAAGTAGATAATATGCAATAAAATAGAAACTAGAATGAAGTGACAAAGTTCGAAGTCTTAATCTTCACTTTGTCTTTTATAAGATGATAAAAGGCCGGGTAGGATTTAGAATCCCTAACAGTTTCCCCTACTAACTGAAAGACGTTGGACTCATCATTTGGCTTCTCTGGGTGTGTGATTTTTTTTCACTTAGAAAATTGAAAGAGACGTTTTCTAAAAATGTCTTTCCTTCAAGTGCTATAATATGTCTTTTTTATTTTACTGTTATGTGAGATTAGGAGTTAAAATTGGCTCAATAGAGGGGAATTTTTAAAACGTTTTTTGGAAAACAGAGAAATTTTTCTAAAATGCTTGAAGTTTACAAGTACTGTCAATTTGTTAAGGAATGAATTATAAAGAAAACTTGTGGTGTTTAATCATTGATTCTTAGGTCACCACCAGCAGCACTGATGTCTCTTCTTAGCATTCAAGAGGACTTACTAGAAAATGTTTTGGGGTGTATTCCTGTTGGACAGATAGTTACTATTAAACCACTGAGTGAAGACTTCTGTTATGTTCTGGGATACCTTCTCACTTGGAAATTAATACTAACTTTCTTCAAAGCTGCATCATCACAGGTAAATAAATATGTGACAACTTTCGATAGTTCTGTCCTAATATGCTTCTGATACTGTTCTAAATACCTTCCTTTCAGTTTAATAAAAGGAAAATCCTTATGTTTTAATCTCATCTTTTAAAATTTATTTTATTTTGTTTATTTGAGACAGGGTCTCACTCTGTTGCCTGTGCTGGAATGCAGTGGCACAATCTCGGCTCACTGCAACCTCTGCCTCCTAGGCTCAACCGATCTTCTCACTAAGTAGCTGGGACTACAGGTGCAAGCCACCATGCCTGGCTAATTTTTATATTTTTGTAGAGATGGGGTTTCACCGTGTTGCCCAGACTGGTCTCAAACTCCTGAGCTCAAGCGATCCACCCACCTTGGCCTCCCAAAATGCTGGGATTACAGGCATGAGCCACTGCGCCCAGCCTAATCTCATTTTATCCAACTAACTTCCATCTGCTTAATAAGTTTACTCCTGTCCCTTATACCTTACCTTCCAAGCAAAAGTAATTACTCTGATAGGTGGCCAGATCAACTTTTTTCTAACTGAATGTAGTCACCAGGTTCTTTTATTTCAGGAAATAATATTTATATAATTTAATTTTGTACTATCATAGTAATGATTTCAAAAGAATTGGATCTTGTGTTTTTTGTTTTTTTTTCGGAGGGAGTCAGTTTGTCACTCTGTTGTGGAGATATAACTTAATACATCATTGGAAATTTACCTTACTTGAAAATCACTGTTTGGAGAGAGATCTGTGAAACATTACCTATGTAATAATTCAAACTGTTACCTAAGTGGTGAAAATATCTGAAATATTTTGTCCAAATTATTCTAGCAGCCACTAGATGTCTCTGTTGTCTCATGTTTAGGAAGTAAGACCTTGTCCAAGAAGAAACTGGAAAGATCTCTCTAGTTTTTCTGTTAGAAGGATCCCCACTTGAAGATAGTTTGAGCCGGGGAAGTGGAGGTTGCAGTGAGCTGAGATCATGCCACTGCACTCAAGCCTGGGCGACAGAGCCAGACCCTGTCTCAAAAAGAACAAGGAAGATCCAAATCTCTGTCAATCTTTGATTGAATTAGCCTAATAAAATATGTGCCTTCTTTTGACAGGTCAATACAAAAAGATTTAGTTTATCATTTAGTGTGATTAAGTATTCATGGCATTCATTTCCAATGTGA
Source organism: Homo sapiens (assembly GCF_000001405.40). Lineage (NCBI taxonomy): Eukaryota > Metazoa > Chordata > Mammalia > Primates > Hominidae > Homo > Homo sapiens. The sequence continues at coordinate 30,783 of NW_025791813.1, read as the reverse complement.
CTTTTTGGAATTTTTAAATTATAATTTATGTTGTTGCTCATACCCTATACCCTGGTACAAAGATATCAATTTTTGCATCTTTGCATTTGTATATCTGTGGGGAAAAGTCAAATCACAGAAGCAGCATTGATCTAGCTGTTAAATAGATTAGTTTTCTCTTTAGGCCTGTCACTTATTTTTGTGACTTAAGCTAGTTTTATTTGCTGATGATATATTTCAAGAGCTCCTTATTTGGCTTTTACATCAATTTCTTAAAATATTGTTGATCTTTAAAAAATAGCAGCAGATTGAGGCATTTGTGTATAAGAGTTTTGTTCTCATTTTATATTCAGAAATTAGGAAAATGGCCATGTGTCACCTTTTTCATTAAGCTGGGATTGGGTTAGGGTGCAAAATTATACGGCAGCATTTATTATTATTGAGTCTGAAACTTGAACTGAGCTGTGGGCAGATAAACCAGAATAACCCACTAAGTAATACTAATTAGATGAATCCTGAAATAAACAGAATTTTTCTTCGGAAAACTTTAAATGTTCCTAAATCATGGGTTAACTTTTTTCTCAAAAAAACTAGCAAATCAGATTGAACTGGAAAAAGTTGTATATGTACATGTGTATGTTTTTGTGTCTGTTTTATAAAGCTTTACTGAGATATTGCACATACCATAAAATTTACCCACTTAGCATACACAGTTTGGTGTTTTTAGTATATAGTCATCCCTTGATATCTGCTGGGGATTGTTTCCAGGCTCCCTCCCATGACCCCCACCCCAGCGAATACTCAAGTTCCTTATATAAAATGGCATATAGTATCTGCATCTAACCTATGCACATCTTCCTGTATACTACTTAAAATCATCTCTAGATTAGTTATCACTGATACAGTGTAAATGCTATTGAAATAGTTGCTATACTGTATTAAAGTTTTTAGTATTTTTATTGTTGTATTGGTTTTTTTAAATCACTTTTTTTGCCCCTCAAATGTTTTCAATCTGCGATTGGTTGAATTCTCAGATGTGGAACCCATGGAAGTGGAGGGCTGACTGTATTCACAGAGTTGTGCAACTGTTAACCACTATATAATTTTAGAACCTTTTCAACATCCCATTGTAATTGATAGCAATCACTTCCCATTTCCTCTCAAACCCCGCAGCTCCTGACAGCCATTAAACTGTGTTCTGTCTCTATGCATCTGCCTGTTCTGGACATTTCACATATCTGGTCTTTTGTGTCTGGCTTTTATTTTAGTATATTATTTTCAAGATTATCAAATTGAAGCATGTATCATAAGTATTGCATTTATTTTTGTGGCTGAATAATACTCCATTTTGTAGATCTATCACATTTTGTTTATCTATCTGTTTATCCATTAATGGGCATTTAGGTTGTTTCCTTTTTTTTGGCTATTGAAAATAAAGCTGCTGTGAACATTCGTGTACGAGCTTTTGTGTTGAAATATGTTTTCACTTGTGTTGTATACCTTGGAGTGGGATTGCTGGGTCGTATATGTGTGTTTTTAAAAGTCCATTGATATTGGTGATTAATTTTTTAAAAATCTCTAACTTTTTGTTTTGAAAAATTAAACAATGAAGTTGGAAGAATAATTCAATGGAAAATCACATACTCTTTTAGATAAAAAAGTTACATACATCTTTTAACATATTGCTACATTTGCACATACTTTCTCTGTATTTACTTTTTTTCTGCTGATCTACTTGAAAGTAAGTTGCAGATATTTTGATGCTTTACCAAAAGTATTTAAGCATATATCTCCTAAGATCACGGACATGTTTCTACATAAGCATAATATAATTTTTATACTCAAGAAATTTAATTTTGATGCAATAATATCTAATTTTTATTTAGATACTTTCAGTTGTCCCAGTAATATCTCTATAGTTTTATTTTCTTCTCTATTGAAGATCCAATCAAGAATCATGTTTGTATTTGCTTGTCATATTTCTTTAGTTTCTTTAACCTATAATTTCTATACCTTTCTTTTCTTTCTTGTCATTGTTTTGGCCAGCTGTTTTTAGCCTGTCATACAATGTGAATTTGTCTGATCGTTTCCTCATTAGATTGTGGTTAATTTTTAGCAATAGTACTTACTGCACAAGTTGTTATGTGTTCTCAGTGTCTTACCTCAGGAGCCATATAATGTCATTGTGTTCTTTTACAGGTTGAGTATCCCTTATCCAAAATGCCTGGGACCAGTAGTGTTTCTGATTTCAGATTTTTTCAGATTCTGGAATATTTTTGTTACACTTACTGGTTGAGCATCCCAGATCCGAAAATCTGAAATGCTCCAGGAGCATTTCCTTTAAGCATCATGTTGGTGCTCAACAAGTTTTAGATTATGGAGCATTTTGGATTTTGGATTTTCAGATTTGGGATGTTCATCCTTCATTAGTGATGTTAAGTTTGATGATAAGAGCACTTTGGTCAACATATTTTAAAAATCAATTCCAAATCCTATGACTTGATCCTTGTACTTAAGTATTCATAGTGTTCAGAAAATGCTATATTTTACACAAAGAAAGGATAAATGCTTGAGGTGATGAATACCCCACTTACCCTAGTACATATTATATGCCTATAAAATACCTCATATGCCCCATAAATATCTACTGTGTACCCACAAAAATTAAAAATACAAATTTTTTAAAAAGAAAAGGGAAAGAAAATGATATCTTTGTACTGTGAGGAGATATGTGATATAGTAGAAATTATCTTAAAACCAATACAGATACCAAAGAACTGCAAAGTCAATGTGGAAAATGCAAGCTACTTTATGGAGGGAAAGCAGGAGTTGTGAAGTACAGGTCTCACACAGATACCTGCAGTGCTCCCACTGGTGGCTCGTTTTTCTGTTTTTAAAAGAGAAATCAGAAATCCATATTTTTATGTGAAATTTCCTGATTGAAAAAACAACTCTGAGAAGACCCCCATGACATTTTGGACCACTAGTTTGTGCTCTCTGTCGTAAAGGGATGTCGGAGTTTTTGATACAGGGTGAGGTCAGCCATAAAAATGGGATTAGTTTTAAGCAGGAATTTGAAAGGTTAAGGGCAATGGTGTGGAAGGAATGTATGGAAGACTTGGGAGGAGAGTGAGGGAGTCATCTGTGGGAATGGTGAATAGATTTTCTTGTCTCAGACATTCTAAGCCAAGGTGAGTGCATTGTAATACAGGAAGACAATTTGAGAAAGATATTAGAAATGTGTTACAATAATGAGGGGATAGAATGTCTGCTAGTTTATGAGGAAAGGAAATTTGTTACACTTTGAGTTGTTCTTTTATACCAATTGTCTTGGTGTATTTGGTTTACTAACAAATTCTTTGCTCTCCACCAGCTTCGGGCTTTGTATTCCATGTATCTTCGGAAAACAAAGAGTTTGAATAAATTGCTCTATCACCTGTTCAGGCTTATGCCAGAAAATCCAACCTATGCAGAGACAGCAGTTGAGGTCCCAAATAAGGACCCTAAAACATTCTTTACTGAGGAGCTCCAGCTGAGTATTAGAGGTCAGTAAGATATGTGTTTATGTTCTTTCTTGGACACTAGATTCAGACTAGGTTGAATTAAACTTTTCCCTGAGAATGTGGAGAATAACCCCAAAGGTGGGTCCTGGCTATGAGAATGTTGAAATTGACCATTTTCCATATTTCTCTAAATAGGATGAATAATTAGTTTTTACCCATAAGACTGTGAGGAATTTAATACATTTTTGAAGCTTAGTGTGGTGAGACTATTAACTTTTGACTCTGTAAACAAATATTTCTTACGTGATAACATTTTATAGGCATATAAATCAGGGGAAATAAAGTTGAATAACATTTCATTCTGGGAGCTCACATGTGAGCTGAGAGGACAGATATGCATGTATCTGGTTGTACTACAGTATTGGAAACAATTTACTAAGAATATGAGTTTTTTAAATGCCTTGGAGATCTGAGGATGGACTGCATCTTGTGAGTATTGAGTTGGGTATTCCAAGACTTCTGCACAGCAGTTCAGCAAGCTCTGGGGAAAGTAAAGGAGGCCAAACTCCTTTTCATAATTTATAACAGCAAGCATCTTTAATTTTTCCTTCTTTTTAAAATATGTGTATTCTATTTTATTTGTGGTCTTCATGTTAAATACAGAAATCTGTTTCTAGGTAGATTTTTCAGTGTCAATTGGGATTTTCACTTTTTTTTTTTTTTTTTTTGAGACGGAGTCTCGCTCTGTCGCCCAGGCCGGAGTGCAGTGGCGTGATCTCGGCTCACTGCAAGCTCCGCCTTCCGGGTTCATGCCATTCTCCTGCCTCAGCCTCCGGAGTAGCTGGGACTACAGGCACCCATCACCACGCCCACCTAATTTTTTGTATTTTTAGTAGAGACGGGGTTTCACCGTTTTAGCCAGGATGGTCTTGATCTCCTGATCTCGTGATCCACCCACCTCGGCCTCCCAAAGTGCTGGGATTACAGGCGTGAGCCACTGCGCCCGGCGGGATTTTCACTTTAAAAAAAAATTCTTTTGCCATTCTTATGGTTCATTTTGAATGTGTGGAAAGATGCTCATACTCCAGAGTTCTGGTTTCTCTGGTATGTTTGTTTTTATGAGCTATAGCACTATTGTTGAGAAATTAAGGATCACTTTCTAAAGAAAATACTAATATTAGTCTGTTATTCTATATAAGAAATATATGTTACTAATCAATAATTTGTTTTTTCCTCAGAAACAACAATGCTTCCATACCACATTCCACACTTGGCTTGTTCAGTCTATCATATGACATTAAAAGACTTGCCTGCCATGGTTAGGTTGTGGTGGAATAGCAGTGAGAAGCGTGTTTTCAATATTGTGGATAGATTTACAAGCAAGTATGTCAGCAGTGTTCTTTCTTTTCAAGAAATATCTTCTGTACAAACAAGTACACAACTATTTAATGGCATGACGGTTAGTATTGTCTTGACTTTCTCTAGAAAAGTTGTTTTAATATTGGGTATGTCTGTCATTGTTAATATCATAACAGACTGTAGCTCTTAACTCAGAATTTATAGAAACTGGTGGCCAGGAGTCGTGGCTCATGCCTTAATCCCAACGCTTTGGGAGGCCAAGGTGGGAGGATCACTTGAGCCCAGGAGTTCAAGACCAGCCTATTTTATTTTCTAATTTGTGTGTCAAATCTCAACATTACTTCATGCGTGGATTGAAACAGTGGTATAATTTCATTCACACACTGTATTAGTCTATTCTCAGATTGCTATAAATGCCTGAAACTGGGTAATTTATAAAGAAAAGAGGTTTAGGCCGGGTGCAGTGGCTCATGCCTGTAATCCCAGCATTTTGGGAGGCCGAGGTGGGTGGATCACTTGAGGTCAGGAATTTGAAACCAGCCTGGGCAACATGGTGAAACCCCATCTCTACTAAAAAAATATAAAAATTAGCCATGCGTGGTGGCGGGCGCCAGTAATCCCAGCTACTCAGAAACTTACAATCATGGCGGAAGGCAAATGGGAGTCAGCACTTCACATGGCCAGAGCAGGAGGGAGAGAGGCGGGGAGGTGTCACACAATTTTAAACAACCAGATCTCATGACAGCTCACTCACTATCACGAGACTAGCACCCGTGGGAAATCCATCCCCATGATCCAATCACTTCCCACCAGGCCCCACTTCCAACATTTGGGATTACAATTCAGCATGAGATTTGAGCGGGGATACAGATCCAAACCATTTCACCCACCAAATAGTTTTTGAGCATTCATTAGTTCATTCAAAATCTGTACTGGAATACTTACAGATGCCAAGCACTGTGTCCCAGTCACCAAGGATATGAACAGTTTAGTAGGACCAGATTCTTGTCCTGTAATAACATACAGTCTAATAAAGGGAAAAGAGCGAGACTGATAATTATTTTTGCATTGGAAAGTAGCATATTAAGAGAAAGAGTGCCTTGTGATCTGAGTGGGAAAGATTCATCTGGCTGAGGGGATTAAGTGAGATTTTATGGAAGAAAATCACTTGGAGGTGGGCAGGATTTTGTTATGGGGAAAATGAAGGGAATGGCATTTACTATAAAGAAAATAGGCCGAGTGTGGTGGCTCACGCCTGTAATCCCAACACTTTGGGAGGCCGAGGCGGGCAGACCACCTGAGCTCGGGAGCTCAAGACCAGCCTGGCCAACATGGAGAAACCCCATCTCTACTAAAAATACAAAATTAGCCAGGTGTGGTGGCACGTGCCTGTAATCCCAGCTACTCGGGAGGCTGAGGTAGGAGAATTTTTTGAACCCGGGAGGCGGAGGTTGTGGTGAGCCGAGATCACGCCATTGCACTCCAGCCTGGGCAACAAGAGTGAAACTCCATCTCAAAAAAAAAAAAAAAAGAGAGAGAGAGAGAGAATAGTATTGCAAAAGCAAAAAGCATAGAAGTGAGAATGTCATTTCAGTCGTTGCCCAGGAAATGATAAATAATGCAGTACTCCAACCCAAATAATGCGTAGGAGTCCCAAGGGTGAATAGAATCAACGGTGAATAAGAGGTATGTTGGGAAGGGCCTCAAATAACGGTCTAAAGTGGTACAATTCAGCCACTGAACATTTTTCATTCAGGCAGTAGCATGATCAGAGTTAAAATCTTTGAAATTGCTCTGACCACAATCTATAGCATGATCTGTTGGCAAACAGTTTGGATTCAAATGAATGGTAGAGGAGACTATTGGGGTAGACATGAGCAAAGGACTAGGGCATGGGTGAGGCAGTAACAGTGGGAATATAAAAGTAGGGATGTGAGAGATTTTGTGCTAGTGATTTAGTTAATATCTAGGATGAGGTAGAAGCAGAAATTTAAAATGAGCTATCATGATTTTTTAGCCTGGAAGTAGGAAATTCAGAAGATGAAGTTTGTAAAGGATAATAATGTGTGCGTTTTATGTTGAGTTTGCAATGTTGGTTTGAAAACCAAACAAATAACTATAAATGTTCTGACAGTTGATAGTTGGCTCCAAAGCTCAGGAGGATAATATGGTAGAGGAAGAATTGTTAGATGTAGAAGTGACATTCGATACTCTGGGTGTGGAAGAGAAGCATAATAACCCATTCTGTCACTTATCTATTCAAGGTTTATTGAACTATTATGTGACAAGCCTAATATAATAAAACCTTTTTTATGAGCAATTAATTTCTTTTAAAACAAACTTTGAATATCACAAAATCACTGTAAAAATATACCAGGCAGGTATTTAAACGTATTTCTTAATTATCTCATGTCAGATAAGTGAATGTATTTACCTGCACTGTCCTTGAATGAAGTCTTTAGCTTTTAATAGTCAACCTATCAAAATGTTTTCTGGTTGAAAGACAGAAATTTGGCAAACAAAATATCCTTTGTTGTATTGCAGGTTAAAGCTCGAGCTACTACTCGAGAGGTAATGGCTACTTATACTATTGAGGACATAGTTATTGAACTTATAATACAACTGCCTTCAAATTATCCACTGGGTTCAATAATAGTAGAAAGTGGGAAAAGAGTAGGAGTAGCTGTTCAGCAGTGGCGGAACTGGATGCTGCAGTTAAGCACTTACCTCACCCATCAGGTAAGTTTCTGTTTACACATTTGGCTTTACAAACTTGGAAAAGATGATCTATTTAAAAGGGCATTTAAACATAAAATATATCTTTTCTGCTTAAGATAAAAGTAGATATTAAACTTCCTTGGATAAATACAGAGATATGCCTAAATGGATTAAACCTGCCTTTCTGTTTTAATTGTTAAGGTTCTGTAATTTATTTTCTGGTGTTTGAGAGGGATTGACTTTATTTCATTAACACTGTAGAAGGTGTATTAACAAAATTGTTTCGGAGAGGATGTTTTGAAAGATACTGGACAGATGAATGCCTTCTGAGCTACTTTCACTTTTATTCTTACATTTCAACTCCTCTTTGGTTAGAGAAGTCCCAGGACCCTCAAAGACCTTTGACCTCTAAACACATTTTAAATCTTCAGTTCTGTGTGCACATTGTGTATCTCAGGCATTCTACAATAAAGAAAAACTTTTTTTTTTTAAGAGTTTTTGCTCTTGTTGCCCAGGCTGAAGTGCAATGGCATGATCTCAGCTCACTGCAACCTCTGCCTCCCAGTTCAAGCGATTCTGCTGCCTCAGCTTCCAGAGTAGCTGGGATTACAGGCACCCGCCACCACACCTGGCTAATTGTTTGTATTTTTAGTAGAGATGGGGTTTCACTATGTTGGCCATGGTGGTCAACGAACTCCTGACCTCAAGTGATCTACCCACCTTAGCCTCCCAAAGTGCTGGGATTACAGGCTTGAGCTACCGCTCCCGGCCAAGAAAAACTATTTTAAAACAAATATGCTCACCAATATTGTAGAGCTGGAACAAATCATTTGAGATAATTTCATCATTTTCAGTTAAACATTAGAACTAACCTAAATGATTTAATTATTAAGAGAGTTTTATCAAGCAACAAGCTTAGACTATAACACTTTAAGTATTGGTCCAGAAGCCTTTAAAGTATGTCTTTAATGGAGAAAAATTACATCTGGTTCCAAAAACTTGGGAGGTTATTTTAAAAACCAACATTCATAAGTTGGGAGACATGAACATAGCCAAGCAGATTCTCTTCTTTCAGAATTGTAATTCAACTTTAAAATTTGTGAAATTGAATAAAAATAAAATTGGTGGTTATCAGTGTGTAGTGACTTATTTTTCTTCTTGTTAACAGAATGGAAGTATTATGGAAGGCTTAGCTTTATGGAAAAATAACGTAGACAAACGTTTTGAGGGTGTTGAAGATTGCATGATCTGTTTCTCAGTCATTCACGGTTTCAACTATTCCCTTCCCAAAAAAGCCTGTAGAACATGCAAGAAAAAATTCCATTCAGCCTGCTTGGTAAGTCTAAAGAGAAATTAACTTACTTATATTTTATGTATTTTATACACATAAACACACACACACACACACACACACACACACACACCTACACAATGTCTAACTTCGGAAGAGAAAATGTGTGTTAAACTTAATTGTAGCTAATGGGAGATATATTAAAAAGTGATTTTTTAAAATCTGCCAAAGATAATTAGCAGTTTACTGAGACTGGTAGAATCAAGGCCCTCTAATAAATGGGTGTTTCCAGTGACCTTTTACCACTCAAGAAGTAGAAGGTCTTCTGAGATCTAGACCATGAAGGAGAGTACAGGAGTTGGTACTGGAAGCCATCTGGCATCAGAGCCCTGTGCTCTTTTTAAACATACTGAAAAAGAAGTTGCCATTTGTTCATTTGTTTCACAGGAGATTTCTTATATCTTAGTGATTGTGTGCATGAGCCTAAGTAGGAAGAACTTAGTGTAGCCATCGGAAGTAATACTCAATTTGTGTTAATTTTGGAGATAACAGAAAGAGCAAAAATTTTATTGTTCTTCCCTTTTCACTTTATCATTTGAAGGTTACTATAGATGTATGTGTACTTTATGATGTATGTTAGAGGAGAACTTTAAAAGTTCTTTTAGTATTTAAAACCTTTTCTTTTTCAGTACAAATGGTTTACATCTAGCAACAAATCCACTTGTCCACTGTGTCGTGAGACGTTTTTCTGAGATTTTTTTCACTGGAAGGGATCCCTGAAGTACATCAAACAAAGGCATTGGATTTGGATCCGTCTGAAAGTGTGGATGTGGGGAAGCCAGTGAGCATTACTTTTAAATAGGACCTTCTCTGGAAAATTATTTTGGTTAATGTAATAATCCTAAAATCAGGTTTACTTAACTTTAGATTGCTTTGTAAATGTTTGGAAACTTTCTTTTACAAAAGAATATTACATATTTGAGAGAAAATATTTCTATTAATGGTTTAATTTCTTTGTATATTTAAAAATAAATATGAAAAACCCCTAAATTACAGAATTGGAATTTGTGAAAAGATTGCACAACTATATTATTGATAAACCCATTCCGTTTGTTGATCTGTGTTTTAGAATAGTCCAAGTGAAGCAAAACGAACTGAGAGAGCTGATTTACATCTATAGATATTTTAAGCCTTATTTATTAGTTATGACAATAAATTAGTATTCTGATATTTGTAGATTATTTTAATGATAAAAATGACACTAAGCTATTAATACGGCTTGTCTTAAGATATCTGGAGGCATGCTCTGAAATCCTATATAAAAGAGTTTAAACTGAACTTTAAGGTGCCTCCATTTATCAAGGGTTATGAAACTCAGAAAATTAAATTCTTGATGCTGACCTTTTTGCTTGTGGGAGAATTATTTCTATATATTAGTGAAATTTGAATTGTAAACTTGTCAGTGAATTTATCACTCTGAGCGAGTCTCTAGAGGGTGAGAATTTGAGAGAAATAGTAATTTGATTATTTCATTCATGAAGCGGAGTGGTAGTTATCCTTCTATTGAGAGGGAAGAAATAAATGAGTATTACTGAAACTTAAAGATCAGTGGAAAAAAAAAACATTTAAAAATGTTGTAGGAGACTTTCAATTTTGGAAGCAAACTGAGCTATTCTTACCAGCCAAAGTTATACTAAATAAGAGACTTGGGGGAGCAAATGTTTTTCAGCCTTCAGAAATGAAAGTTAAGGATTTTAGCACTAGGTAAAATTCAGTATAATAGGCTGAAGTGGAGTAAGTGAAAACCTGCCTTTTGCCACTCTTAAAAATTGTGCCCAAAATATAAAAGTGTGGAACTTTAGAACTTGGAATAATTTTATTGCAGTCTTCCATTACATGGAAATAGCATATCTAATATCTAGGTTACTTGAGAGACCAGCTAATCATCTCTGTTGCACATGTTTAATTGGCAAAAAGCAATTCATGATAAATAAAATTACTGCTTTCCATCTACTGGGTAAAATGACTATTGAAATAGTATGAATGTGGTCAGAGGATTATAGTTGAGAGTGAAGTACTATGTGTGAGTTATAGATCTCTCGAATTATATTTATAGATGCAGTGTCCTGCCCAGTTTTGTTTGCCTCCTACATTTTACTGTAAAATATTTATTGTCTTCTAGCCTTGAGCCTCTGAGGGTCAGTAAGTGAAGTACAGATAGCAAAATTTTACTACCTCGTTAACCCTTTTCTTAAAATATTCTCTATCTTTCTATGTCTCTTTCTGACATAGTAATCCCAAAGGATTGTGTTACTCCCCGTGAAAGTTATTACTTTTCCTTTAAAAATGGTTTTATAATAAGACTGTTTAAAACCTTTCCAGTATTGGTACATCTTGGCTTCTGGCCCAAACCCCAAGCAGAAAAGAAAATGGAATAATGGAGCATTGTTTTTCCACATTAGTATTAGGGCATCAGATTCTTGGTGAAACACTATAATTAAGTAGTTATAATTAAATAACTGTTCTTCATACTTAGGACTCTTAATACATTTCTTTAAGACTTGTAAGTATAATTGTAAAGCTTGTTAACTGTTTATATACTAAAGAAAAAGCTTTACAAGATAAGACTGAAATTCAGAATACCACATCTGTACAGCGTTGACAACTCTAACTAAAAGGATTACAGCCCTTAAAATTTTAGCTTAAGGACATTTTAAAATTGCATGAGATTAGCAAAATTATTAATTTAAAACCCCAAAGTAAATTGCAAATTTTAAAATTTATTTTTGACTCTTTTATCACATGCTCCAATGTATGTACATAAGTGTCTGTGGCTTAAATAATATGTTGTTATTTGATACATTTTTGTGGTGCAAGTAATTAATGTTATTATTTGATTGTTATACCATATGTGCCCATTAAAATTCTTTTTAATTAAAAATATTTCAAATATGCAGAAAAATAATAATATAAATGCCCTTGTACCCTTCACATACTATTTTGCCATATTTGCTTCTGATTTTTAAATAAATAAAATGTTACTCTTTTGTACTTCTCCCTGGCGCCATTCTCCTCCTTCTTTCCCTAGAGCTAACGTACTAATTCTGAAGTTGGTGTGACTCCTTCCTGTTTAAGATTTTATACTTTACCATGTGTTTTTATCCAGAAACAATGTATAATAGTTAACAAAAATTATGTTAATGATGTTTTATGTATGTAATCTTTTGTAACCTGATTTTCCACTCAACATAATGCTGTTTAGTGTCATATCAGTTTACTTACCAGTTCCCTTACTAAAGATTGTTTAAATTGTTATTTTTTTGCCATTTTGAACAGTGCTGCAAGTGTACATTCTTGATCATGTCACCTCATGCAGATGTGCTAGATATTCTAGACATATGTCTAAAAATGGAATTTCAGCCCGGCACGGTGGCTCACGCCTGTAATCCCAGCACTTTAGGAGGCCGAGGTGGGAGGATCACCTGAGGTCAGGAGTTTGAGACCAGCCTGGCCAACATGGTGAAACCCCGTCTCTAGTAGAAGTAAAAAAAAAATTAGCCAGGCATGGTGGTGTGCACCTGTAATCCCAGCTACTTAGGGAGGTTGCAGTGAGCCCAGATCGTGGCACTGCACTGCAGCTTGGGCAACAGAGCAATCAAGACTCAGTCTGAAAAAAAAAAAAAAAAAAAAAAAAAAATTTTATATATATATATATATATATATAAAATAAATAAAAATGGATTTCCAGGTAGTAGGATGTGTATACTCTGTCACTTTAGATGTCTTCAAATTGCCCTCCAAAGTGATATGCAAGTTTGCTCTCCCAGCTGCAGTTTAAGAGAATTCTGGTTTTCCTATCTTGTCACCAACACGTAGTCTTATCAGAATTTTTAAGTTCTGCAGTCTGAAAGCTATGAGATAGTAGCTCTTTGTTTTAACTTATATTTCCTTAAGAAGCCTAGCTTCATTTCATATATTGGTCATTATTTGACAGATTTTTGTCCATAATCTATACCTATTTTTCTGCTAGGTTACTTGTATTCTTACTGATCATAATGCTTTAGCTCATAGGACTTCTAATATGTGGCTTGTCTTTAACATTTTCTGTGACTATCTTTAATCTCACAGAATTTTTCGGTTAAATTTAATCAGACCTTTTTTTTTTTCTTTTATGATTGAGCCTTTTTTATGTTAGGTTTTAAAATTTTATTTAACTGAGGTTTAAAAAATTCCGTTATATTTTGTTAAAAGTTTTAAATTTCAAAATGTGCCTAATTTACCTGGCATTAACTTTTTTTTTTTTTAATTTTACTTTAAGTTCTGGGATACATGTGCAGATGTGCAGGTTTGTTACATAGGCATACATGTGCCATGGTGGTTTGCTGCACCTGTCTATCCGTCATCTAGGTTTTAAGCCCCACATGCATTAGGTATTTGTCCTAATGCTGTCCCTCCCCTTGCCCCCCACCCCCAACAGGCCCCAATGTGTGATGTTCCCCTCCCTGTGTCCATGTCTTCTCATTGTTCAACTCCCACTTATGAGTGAGAACATGCGGTGGTTTTCTGTTCCTGTGTTAGTTTGCTGAGAATGGTGGCTTCCAGCTTCATCCATGTCTGCAAAGGACACAAACTCATTCTTTTTTATGGCTGCATTGTATTCCGTGGTGTATATGTACCACATTTTCTTTATACAGTCTATCATTGATGGGCATTAGGGTTGGTTCCAAGTCTTTGCTGTTGTAAATAGTGCTGCAGTAAACATACATGTGCATGTGTCTTTATAGTAGAATGATTTATAATCCTTTGGGTATATACCAAGTAATGGGATTGCTGGGTCAAATGGTATTTTGGGTTCTACATCCTTGAGGAATCGCCACACTGTTTTCCACAGTGATTGAGCTAATTTACATTCCCACCAACAGTGTAAAAGCGTTCCTATTTCTCCACAGCCTTGCTAGCCTCTTGTTTCTTGACTTTTTAATAATCGCCATCGGACTGGCATGAGATGGTATCTCATTGTGGTTTTGATTTGCATTTCTCTAATGATCAGTGATGTTGAGCTTTTTTTCAAATGTTTTTGGCCACATAAATGTCTTCTTTTGAGAAGTGTCTGTTCATATCCTTTGCCCACTTTTTGATGGGATTGTTTTTTCTTGTAAATTTAAGTTCCTTGTAGATTCTAGGTACTAGAGCTTTATCAGATGGATAGATTGCAAAAATTTTCTTCCGTTCTGTAGGTTGCCTGTTAACTCTGATGACAGTTTCTTTTGCGTGCAGAAGCTCTTTGATTTAACTAGATCCCGTTTGTCAATGTTGGCTTTTGTTGCAGTTGCTTTTGGTGTTTTCGTCATGAAGTCTTTATGCATGCCTATGTCCTGAATGGTATTCCTCGGTTTTCTTCTAGGGTTTTTATGGTTTTGGGTTTTACATTTAAATCTTTAATCTATCTTGAGTTAATTTTTGTATAAGGTGTAAGGAAGGGATCCAGTTTCAGTTTTCTGCATATGGCTAGCCAATTCTCCCAGCACTATTTATTAAATAGGGAATCCTTTCCCCATTGCTTGTCTTTGTTCTGTTTGTCGAAGATCAGATGGTTATAGATGTGTGGTGTTATTTCTGAGGTCTCTGTTCTGTTCCATTGAAGACCACAATTTTCTAAAGTATGCCTTTAAGATGTACAATCATTTCTATCCAGTGTGATAATTTTTCTTCTTAATTGTAACATTTAATTCATTTATATAATGTAATTACTAAGATAGTTTATAATTCGTTTTCTAATTTTTCCATCTGTTTTGTATTCCATTTCTCTTTTTTATTTCTATTTTCCCCTCCTATTAGTTTCTTTTCTTTCACATCATAGAATATATTATTTAAGGTTATCCTAGAGATTCCAACATTAATACCTGACTTATCAACATCTCATATAAATTCTTTTTGTCACTTCCTGGAAAATTCAAAGTACACACCCTTCATCCCAGCACTTTGGGAGACCAAGGCAGGAGGATCACTTGAGCACAAGAGTTCAAGACCAGGTCGGGCAATGTGGCGAAACCCCATCTCTACAAAAGAAAATGCAAAAATTAGCCAGGCATGGTGGTGTGCACCTGTAGTCCCAGCTACTTGGGAGGCTGAGATGGGAGGATTGCTTGAGTCTGGGAGGTCAAGGCTGCAGTAAGATGAGATCATGCCACTGCACTCCAGCCTGGGTGACAGTGGGAGACCCTGTCTCAAAAACAAAAAATTCAGGGACCTTAGAATAACTTCAGTACTATTATTATTATTATTATCATATTTTGTGATCAAGTCTCACTCTGTCACCTAGGCTGGAGTGCAGTGGGGTGAACTTGGCTCACTGCAACCTCCACTTCCTAGGTTCAAGTGATTCTCTTGCCTCAGCCTCCCAAGTAGCTGGGATTACAGGCGTGTGCTACCATGCCTGGCTAAATTTTGTATTTTTAGTAGAGACAGGGTTTCGCGATGTTGGCCAGGCTGGTCTCGAACTCCTGACCTCAAGTGATCATCCTGCCTTGGCCTCCGAAAGTTCTGGGATTACAGGCATGAATCATGATGCCCGCTCCAGTACTATGATTTTTTATACTGTTGTTTAAACACCACAGGACATTATTATTGTTTTATGAATCTATATATTCATTTATATTTTTCTTCACATTTACCCCTTTGTATATTTCTTCATTCCATTTTGCATCTGGTAATTCTTTCATCATCTTGGCAGTATTACTTTTCTTTTGGAGTTCTACTGTTTCTGTTGCAAAGTCATCTGTGAATCTTATTCCTTTTAAGAAAATGTGTACCCTACCCCACTCTACCCCCAGCTGCTTTTATTTTCCCTTTGTTTTGGGTTTTAAACAGTTTTACTATGATGTCTCTAGGTGAATCTGTGATTTGGTGTCTTTCATTATTTTTGGAAAATTCTCAGGCATAATCTCTTCTTCTATCACTTTTGCCCCAATTGTCTCTTTCCTCGCCTACTCAGGGCTTTTCACCATTAGCCATACGTGTGTTAGATTCTTTTCTGTTTTGTTGTTTTATTCGTTTTTTCTCTTCATGCTCATTCTGGATTTTTATTGACCTATTTTGTAATTCACTGAACTTGTCTTCAGCTATGTCTAAGCTGTCATTTAACTCATTTACTGCGTTCTTAATTTCAGTTCTATTATTTTTAATTTCTACAAGTTCCATTTAATTATTTTTACTGATTTGGACCCTCTGCTGAAATTCATCATCTTGTATATTTTCTAGAGCATATTAATTACAGTTACTTACAAGTAATTTGGAAGCCCATGCTTGATAATTCTTAATACAGTTTCCACTTTTCTATTTTCAGTCATTTGGTCTTATCTTTTAGCATGGTCAATAATTTTTGTCTGAATGCCTGACATGTGAATGAAAAATTATTGAGTTGATGACATTAACTCTTGATACTATCTTTTTTTCACAGACAGTTTTCTTTTTGCTTCTAGCAAACAGTTTGGATAAGAGCAGATCAGTGTGGCAATTAGCTGATGAAACAGCTGAGCTTTAGTCCTTTTGAGGGTTGGTATATTTACTTTTCATTCAAGGTTCTTTCACCTTGATTGATCCTGAACTTGTTTTTGTATTCCCAGACATGTAAGACAGCCTAAAATTCTGCTCACCTTTTCAACCTCTGGTCCTCTGTTTTCTGCTCATTCAAGGTTCTTTCACCTTGATTGATCCTGAACTTGTTTTTGTATTCCCAGACATGTAAGACAGCCTAAAATTCTGCTCACCTTTTCAACCTCTGGTCCTCTGTTTTCTGCTCATTATTTCCCACTATTTAGCTTCTTAGCCTTAGGCTACTGCTTATGAATTGGCAGTTGCCTCAAGGGGAAAACAGGTGCTAAATGTCATTCTCACCTTTGCACTTCCCTTTTGGACACGGTCTTGACCCTTCAATTTCTTACTACCTTGGTGGCTCTCTTGTTTAAGCGGATATCCTCATCTATGTTTCTGTATCTGTAAGTGTATCTCATTTTTGAGTAGAGTCACTGGCCTGACAAAAGTATATTCTAGCCAAAATAAGAGAAGTCCCCACAATTTGTTTAATGACAAAAGCTCCACTAGAGAGAAGCAGTTACCTAGATAAGTCTTAGAATGTCAATTCCATTCTTTCTCTTTGCTTTTTGTGGATAATGTATAACCTTTATAGCAGTCATATATGCACATACAATGTTTTGGTATCCCTGCTTGAGCACTTTTGGAAAACCTTTACCATCTGTGCCTTAAATCCATGTAGAGCTTGTGAACACAAAATATGTGAGACAGGTCTCAGTCAATTTAGGAAGTTTATTTTGCCAAAGTTAAGGATGTGCCCATGGCATAGCTTCAGGAAGTCCTGAGACACGTGCCCAAGGTGTTTGGGGGTACAGTTTGCTTTTATACATTTTAGGGAGACATGAGACAGCTATGTGTAAGATGTACATTAGTTCAGTCCGGTAAGGCAGGACAACTCGAAGTGGCCCCGTTAGAAGTAGGTAAGACGCAAAAGGTTGCATTCTTTTAAGTCGTAGATCAGCCTTCCACTGAATACACAATTTAGTCTGGTTCAGTGGATCTGCATTTTCACAGAAACAATAGGAGAGAGGAAGCAATCAGATATGCGTTTGTTTCAGGTGAGCCTCAGACGGATGACTTTGAATAGAAGGGGAGGCAGGTTTGCCCTAAGCAGCTCCCAGCTTGACTCTTCCCATTAGCTTAGTGATTTTGGGGTCCCTAGATTTATTTTACTTTCACAAGCTTTTATATGCAGTCACCAACTCAAGCTTAGCTACACAGAGGCTGGGATGTGAAAGCACTGGTTAAGTCAGCTGTGGATCGCACATGCCCTTTCTATCTGATCTCTTCAAACCAGGATACCATCTGGCTTGGTTCAGAAACTTTCACTGTATACTTTAGTTTGAATTTAACTTTTTTTTTTTTTTAACCTTCGATACTTTGGCTGACTTTATGACTATTTTAATTCACAAAAGAGACTCACCTTAAGAGACATTATAATACTCAATTTATTGCAGGGTAAGAAAACATAAACAAGTCAATCCGTGGGCTAAAGTTTTTCTTTGGCCAAATCGTCACCATTGTCTTTATTAAGACTAGGACACCCTTTAAAAGGGCTTCCTGACTAAGTAACGATTGCCTTTCACTTCACTGTACACCCCTCCACTCTCCAGATAAGTTCATCAGTTTAACTTCATCCAATATACACAAGTGAATGCACCTTAATTAATTAGCAGAAATACTAATTGATACACATTTATTCTTAAATCCTAGATGCAGTATGTACCCTTATATCTAAAAGAGAGGTTAGCACAATAGTGCACACCAAGACATTTCAAGAGGTACTTGTGCAAGGAGAATTTTAATCCATTTTCATTTCCTCCACTTCCTCGATACTCTTTCCAAAATTTGATCTTCCCATTTATATACCTGTCTCAGACTGGTTCTCTTTTCCCACCTGCCCCTTTCACATATGTCCTTTTTTAAAAGAAAGGCATAATTTTCACCCATCTTTCTCAGTTTCACCATTGTCAAGGTGGGAAAAGCAAAACAAACAAACAAAAAACCCTTCCAGTCTATACAGGTCATTTGAAAATGTGTTGAGAAAGAGACTCCAATAATGGCTAACCCTTTTTTGCAACTCACTGGTTTTCAGTTATTTGCTTTCAATAAAATTAAACAAAAGCCTAGGCAGGCTGTCAGCCATTAAATCATTAAAATTTATTTCATTTTTGACGTATTACTAAAAAAATTGATGGATGCAGTGGCACTGAGTGACAAAGAATTGAATTATTACAAATCTCCATTCTCTGGATAAAGAAAATGTACTACATAGTGGAGTGCTATTCAGCCATAAAAAAGAATGAGATTCTGTCATTTGCAACAACATGGATGGAACTGGACGTTATTACGCTAAGTGACTTAAGCCAGGCATAGGAAGGCAAACATTGCATGTTCTCACTTATTTGTGGGATCTAAAAATCAAAACAATTGAACTCATGGACATAGGGAGTAGAAGGATGGTTACCAGAGACTGAGAAGGGTAATGACACAGGGGGTGGGGTGGGGGTTGGAGGTGGGGATGGTTAATAGGTACAAAAAAATAGAATGAATAATACCTAGTATTTGATAGCACAACAAGGTGACTATAGTCAATAATAATTTAATTTACAAGTTAGAATAACTAGAGGAATATAATTGTATTGTTTGTAACACAAAGGATAAATGCTTGTGGGGATGGCTACCCCATTTTACATGATATGATTATTACACACTGCTTGCCTGTATCAAAAATCTCATGTACCCCATAAATATATACACCCATGTACCCATGAAAATTAAAAGTTAAAACAAAAACGGAACAAAACTACATTCTCATCTATTTGTTTTACATTAAAAATGATCTCATCTATAGATAGGAAAAATGGGAATGTAATTTATGTTGACTGCTATGTCATGCTAGTTATAAATCATATATACCCACGGAAAGATGAACTAAAAAAAACACTACAAATTGGTCTTGATTCTCAGATGAATTTCCAGTAAGATTTTTAATGTTTTATGTGTAATACTTGTGTGTAAAAATATTCATGTTTGTGATATTATCTACTGCATTCTAATAGTTACTGTAATAATTTAGAAAAAAGTTATTTTTAATACTTATAGCCTTTTAGTTATAGGAAATTTTTTAAATTTCAATTTATATTCGTTTCAGAGAAGTACCTTAGGAGATAAATATTTTAAGCAGTAAAATATACTATAATTCTGTGAGGAAAGCAAAATATAAACAAAGATCCAGTGAATGATGTTTAATGTCTCACTATTGAAGAGCTTGTTTATGTATTATGTTGATAATGGTGGGAATCAAATTGCTATGGTACTTAGATTCTATTAGATACATTTAAAAGAATGACAAAAGTTTTTATTTTTGAAAATGTAAATATTTACAGTATGCCACTTGAAATTATCTTATTTGCACTTACTTAAATTTATGATGATAAATGTTAGTTATCAACTTAAAAATACATGAAAGTGTACATTCTTAAATTTTATTTAGAGGTATGTAGGTGATAAAGTTTGAAGATACTCTTCTGGCAAATATGGTAAGTGAAAGTTTAGCAGGTTCCCAGACCAGAGTTAAACACACCAGCAGATCTTTATTGACTATCTTATAGAAATTTAAAAATATCTCTCAACTTTAGATTTGGTGTTAGGGAATCTATCATGAATAGAATCTCACACTGTCTTGCAGGTGAGCCAACCAAGTCCTAATGCTAGAAATGTTGAAAAAACTGCCTTACTCCTTGGGTGAGATCTTCCAGAGACTCTGTTGCTAGGAATCTAGCCACTGCTGGAAAAAAGGGAGAAATGAAATAGAAATTGTATGTAATCAAAGCCTAATTCTTCCCTAGTAATAGAACTGACAGCTTTTACAAAGTGAAAAGATTACATTTTCTATCACAGAAAGAATGTATTATTAAAAGTGGTTTTGTAGCTGTTTGTCACAAGATTATAATTAAGTAGTTACATTTTTGGAAAGCACTTCCCTTCATTTAACATCCCCTTATCCCAATACGTACTCCCTCTCATGCCTGCATAACATGAGCTTTGTCATAGTCTGCTTGACAGTAGTTTTGAAGACAGTGCCTATAAATTTCACATCTTATTTTGTTTTCTTGTCTTAGCTGGGAAGACTTCTTAGTAAGCAGTTACCTTTGTCTTTTGATTGACTTTAAAATGGAATATTTTAAGTCATTAAATGTGATGTACCCCAGCTTTGAGCTACTTCCAATATATTAGGTTAGGAAGTTTCTATTTGCTTATATTTTTAAGTCCTGAGTGGATGATGAGTTTTATAAAATGCTTTTCCTACTTCTATTAAGATGGCAAGTGTTTCCCCCCTCCCCTCCTCTCTATTACGGTGGATTACATAATTTTGAACCACCCTTGCATTCTGGGATAAACCCAAATTGGTCATGATCAGTAGTATTACTAATAATATACTTGTAGATTTAAAATATTTTATTTTTCAAATTTTGAATCTTCATTTACAAATAAACTATAATTTTTCTTGTTCTGTATATTCATAAGTGAGATTAATTTTCAATTATATTCATAATTTTTTGTTTTTTGTCATTTTGTTTTTATTTTTTGAAATAAATGTCTACATGTACTTCATGTGGTTATTGTTTTCTCCCTTCCATACTCTATTCCTTGGAAATGAACCACTAAGTCTATCTCACACTCAGGTGCTAGAGAAGTAGACTTCACATTTTGGACAGAGAGGTGTCAAAGAATGTATGGACATGCTTAAAATCCCCACAATGCAGGTAATGCATGTATAGATTATATGCTAAATATGGTGTTCTTTCTAACTTAAGAAAGTTATGATGCCAAAATGAATTTGAAATTGATTGCGATATCTATATAATTTATGATTTTATCCAAAGTCTGATACTTTGTCAATCAAAATAGCTTTGTCGTTATCAATTTACACACAGATATTTCATACTAATGGAGCTATAGAACACTTAAAACAAGCTGCACTCTAGCCTGGGCAACAAGGTGAGACTCTGTTAAAAAAAAAAATTCTGGTCGGGTGTGGTGGCATGTGCCTGTAGTTCCAGCTACCCAGGAGGTTAAGGCAGGAGGGCAACTTGAGACCAGGAGATCAAGGCTATAGTGTGCTATAATAGTGCCTGTGAATAGCCACTGCACTCCAACCGGGGCAATACAGCAAGATTCCATCTCTTAAAAAAAAAAAAAGACATCTGACCACATTGATCCTGAAGTCCACTGGTCATGCCTTTTTTCGGGTGGCTGACAATATAGCTCTCCTTTTCAGGGCAGGGGGTTGGGGGCTGTCTGTCTCCTTTACAGCACAGCTTTGATTGTCTTTTTTCTTCCTTCATTCATCTGCATTTGGGTTTACACCTCTTGCCATCAGGAGTGTCCAGTAGCTTTGGTACCACCACAGATAATATGGTGTCAGAATAGGCAGAAAAGAAGCACCCCTTCCTCAGTCATCAATGGACAAGGACAGCACCCTTTTTGGGGACCCTTGAATCACTGTGACCGGGTCCATTGCCATCACTGGGTGACATGCAGATGATACTTTTAGCTTGAGAAGTGGTAACATCAATGAACTGGCACATGCTCAATATGAAGGCGGAAAATAAAAAATATATAAGAGAAGGAATGGGCCTGTGATATAAGCTAAAATTATAGCTTGCATTTTAAGTTCTCACTAAATTACCTCTTTAACCATGAGTATTAGGCTAGGTGATCTCTAAGTTCTCTTCTAGTTTTACAATTTCTCGGGCTAGGTGATCTCTAAGTTCTCTTCTAGTTTTACAATTTCTCGGGCTAGGTGATCTCTAAGTTCTCTTCTAGTTTTACAATTTCTTTTTATTTTAGGCCAGGCGCGATAGTTCATGCCTGTAATCCCTACTTTGGTAGGCCTAGGTGGGGGATCACTTGAGGTCAGGAGTGCAAGACCAGCCTGACCAACATAGTGAAACCCCATCTCTACTAAAAATACAAAGAATAAAAGCCCCGCATGGTGGCACACCCCTATAATTCCAGCTACTCGTGTGGCTAAGGCAGGAGAATCATTTGAACTCAGAGGTTGCAGTGAGCCGAGTTCACGCCACTGCACTCCATCCAGCCTGGGTGACAGAGTGAGACGACTCCATGTCAAAAAACAAAACAAAAACAGAAACTTCCTCTATTTTATTCCAGCTCTAAAGTTCTGGTATTTCTGTATCAAATATTGCTTTATAAATCAAACTATAAAGTCTTTTGAAACCATAGCTGTGCCTCAGACATGCCTTCACCTCCCATAGAATCTATGTTTCTATACACAGAAGGGTTTGTCATACACACTGATTGATCGCTCAGTATTTTAGTCTCTGGATTCCATATTCACTTAATTATTTCAATAATTGACATTACCCACAACCAACCAAAGGTGATACTTCTGGCAAATGGAAGCATGAGAGTGCTATTTCTTACTGACATTCATTTACCTTTTACATAGAAACCATTCATTTATCCTCTTCATTTGTTCAGCACTGGCAGTTCCATCTATTTTACATGACTTTTTGCAGTTATTATACCTATTCATAATTATTCCTGGCATATGTTGCTTAATGATGGAGATATGTTCTGAGAAATGTGACATTAGACCATTTTGTCATTGTGCAAATATCAGAGTATACTTACACAAACATTGATGGTATATGTATACATATATATTTAATTTATACATATTTTTCATATGGAAAACCAAATGTCTCAGAACCTTAACTGAATTATCGGTCATTTCCCCTGCTTAATCTGCAGTGCCAATATCAAGTGTTACATATCAGGTTTCTGTTTATGTTCTGTTATAATCTTATGGGACCACTGTCTTAAATGCGGTCATTGTTGGCTGAAACATCATTATTCGGCACATGACTGTACTTGGGTTAAATAACTGTTTTGGCTACAAGACTTGGCACAGAGGGATTTCTGGGGGATAATAATCAACTGCAAGAAACTGGTTACCCAAAACAAGCTGGTCATTAGTTTTGTTGAAATGTCAGAAGCTCATATCTGAAAATGGTGGGCAAAATAAGCAAATAGGTAACTTTTAATAGGTAGTACACTTTTACTGCTGCTCACATGAAGACATTAATAAATGTTCCCAATCCAACCAAAATAGCTTCTTAGCATTCCATCCAATAGAGCCAGGAATCTTTATTAGCTTCTGAGAAGCTCTCACATCCAGAAACTATTTGAAGTGTTTCCACCTGACTTAGGATTTATTAGGTTTTTTAGTTTAGTTTTTTGTGTTAGTTTTTTGGGGGGTTTTGGGATTTTGGTTTTTGGGTTTGTTTGGTTTTCGTTTTTGTTTTGGTGTCACATAAGTATTTCAATTTTGCACAACAATGTTATGGACTAGAAAGGGAATTTGCAATAGGTGATTCAAGTTATGGTCTTGGTAATTCCAGACAGAAGCTATTGACCTGGAAGAAGTCACTGACCCCCTGGTACTTTTTGGGAAAATAGGAATAATAACCTTCCACTCCAGAAAAATACTATAAACTCTGATGACATGAAGAATGTTTACATATTTGTCTTCCTTGGAATACACCTTATAAAGGCATAATGTTATTTCTAAAAGCTGTATTTTCAGAGGCAAAGTCTTGCACTTATGTTACCAATTAAGTCTCTGAGGATAATTTAGTTTATTACAAATACACTGGTAGAGACAAAGGCCACTAAGATTCTAGTGAAGTCACAGATGCAAATCAAAAACTGCGGATAGCAAGTTAATGGTTGGAGTGCTGGGGTGTACAGCATAAGGCTTGATGGGTAAGTTTAATTTCTACAACAAACATATTCTAACAAATATAATTTTCCTTAACCAACATAATAAGAAAATATAATTTTTTTTAAGCAACAAACAAGGATGGCAAGCACACAGGCTGCTTTACATATTTAAAGTCAGAACCTCCACAATCAGGTCAGCGGGCTTTAGAACTGTTAAATCAAATCTCTTATGATTACAGCAAAGCTCTTTTCCATTTGTAACAAACAAACTTGGAAAAAACTCAATTACAAATAGAAACTAGCTATGGATAGATATAATTTAAATTTTATGACAACTCGTTCTTCATTAAACTGCTGCCGCTCGCAGCTGCTAGATTCAGTTATAATTTCTAATTAGGGCTGAATTAAGCATGAGGGTTATAATTTTCTATTGCCAACCTATACGCCAATAATAATAATCGTTATAACAACAATGATAATACCAAAAGTAGGTAACACTTATGGAGTGCTTACAATGTGCCAAGATTTTAACTAAATATTTTATTTAATCCCCAGAACTACCCTATGAGGTGGGTACTATTGTGATATTCATTCAACAAATGAGAAAATGACAGTTTAAAGACGTTAAGGGCTGGGCATGGTGGCTCACCTGTAATTCCAGCATTTTGGAAGGCTGAGGCAGAGGATCGCCCAAGTCCAGGAATTTGAGACCAGCTTGGGCAACATAGTGAGGCTTTGTCTCTACAAAAAATTTTTAAATTAGCTGGACATGGCAGTGGCTTGTCTATAGTCCCAGCTACTCTGGAGGCTGAGGTGTGAGGATGCCTGAGCCCAGGAGTTCAAGGCTGGGGTGAGCTATGATCAAGCCACTGCACTTCAGCCTGGGTAAGAGTAAGATCCTGTCAAAAAAAAAAAAAAGGTTAAGGCCACAGAGCTAGGAAGAGGTAGATTCTTATCTGATAACTCATGCCCTTAAAGATCAAACCAAGTCAAAGGGCCAGGCATGGTAGCTCACGCCTGTAATTCCAGCACATTGAGAGGCTGAGGCAGGAGGATCGCTTCAACTCAGAAGTTCAAGATCAGTCTGGGCAACACAGTGAGACCTTATCTCTACAAAAAATATTAAAAATTAGCCCAACATGGTGATGCGTGCCTGTAGTACCGTTTACTCGGGAAGCTGAAGCAAGCGGATTGATTGAGCACAGGAGGTCGGGGCTTCAGTGAGCTGTGACGGTGCCACTGTACTCCAGCCTGGGCAACACTGGGCAACAGAGCAAGACCCTGTCTCAAAAAACAAAACAAAACAAAAAAACCCCCCAAAAAACAAAAACAAAGGGTACAAAGTTTCATTCAGATAGTATGAGTAAGTTCTGGATATCTATTCAACAGCATGGTGATTACAGTCAGTCATGATGTATTGTAGACTTGAAACTTGCTAAGACAGTAGATAAGTGTTCTCACCACACACATAAAATAACTGTGAAGTGACAGATATGTTCGATTCAATAATTTCACAATGTATACATATACCAAAATATCACATCGTATACCATTTAAAATATTAAATAAGATAATAAATAAAATTTAACCAATAAAGCAAACGAGTTAAAGCATTTGTACCTCTCATCATTCTAGAACCTGATATTCCTGAAATGCCCTCTTAACAGAATTTAATATGATGGTGTTTTTAATGGAGCATACTGCCTACTTTATGTGGGGTCATCACATGTTTCTTTCCACAAAATACTACTTTCTGATCTCTTTCTCATCATCATACTGCCTTCCTTTATCTCTCCTTTATCACTTTTATCTATTATTTATTCCCTTAGCCAATCCCCATTTTCCCAACTTTTATCCCATTTTCCTTGTCCATGCAATTAGCTTGTCAGGAGCACGCAGCATACCCCAAAACTCCAGAAAGCTGATTCTCAGGGCTCCAGAGTGTGGTAGTCCTTGAGCCAGAAATGAGAGACCAGGAACAGAGGCTGGGAAAACAGAACTGTCTTCCCTCCTGCTTATTTTGTTTTGAAAATTGCTTCTAGCTCCCATTTATCTTTGTGTAATTATCAAAATAAGAATAACACCTACTTCATATAAAATTAATGGGCTCTGTGTAAATTTATTTGCATTTAGGGGTAGAATATTCTGAAAAAAATAGAAATTGAGATCAAATGGTCATTTATTTTGGCTCTTACCTTTTAGGAGGTAAGTGGTTATGATCTCATTTAAGCTTAATTACTTCCTTAGAGGCCCATCTCCAAATATAGACACATTGAAGGTGTTAGGGCTTCTGGGTATGAATTTTGGAGGGATACATTCAGTTCATAACACACAACTTAATTTTTTTAAAGACTGAAAGTAAAATGATGGAAAAAGCTAAAATATGCTAAATATAAATCCAAAAAAACCTAGTGTTATGGACTGAATTTGTCCATGCAAAATTCATACGTTGAAATCCTAGCCCCCAATGTGATGGTATTAGGAGGTGGGATCTTTCGTAGGTAATTTAGCACATCAAGGTGGAATCCTCATGAATAGAATGCATGCCTTTATAAAGGGATCCAAGAGAGCTCTCCAGCTCTCTTTCTGTCATGTGAGGATACAATGGGAAGATGGTAGCCTGTAACCTGGAAGAGAGCCCTCACTCCAACCCAATCATGCTGGCACCCTGAACTCAGACTTCCAGCCTCCAGAACTATAAAGAGTAAATTTCTGTTGCTTAGAGGCCACTCAGTCTATGGTCCTTTGTTATAGCAGAGCAAACTGACTCAGACACCTACTATACCTATACTAATGTCAGACAAAATAGGTGTTCAGGTAAAAAGCTTTACTAAAGATAAAAAGGAACATTTCCACAATGATAAAAATTCAGTTCACCAGGAAGATATAATTATTCTAAATTTGGTCACCTACTAGCATAAGTTTGAATTCTATGATGCAAAAATTGAAACAGCTAAAAAAAATAGAATTATCCACAATCATAGCGGGAGACTTCAACACACCTCTCTCTGTAACTGATGGAACAAGCAGACAAAAATAGATAAGTAAGGGCATAGACATTTCAAACAATGTGAAAGTCATCTTTAAAGGGCTAGGACCAAGACAAAGAAAAAGATAATACATGTCCGTTTATATTATAGCGGCAGTAGCTATAGGGGCATATATTGTCTTTATTTTCAGTTACAATTTCATTTGACAGAAGGAGAAACCAAGGCTCAGAGAGGTGAAATAACCTTACACCGTCCAAGTGGTAGAGCCAGAAAATTCACTGTTTCTTAAAAGTTTAGTAGGACTCACCAGTGAGTTTCTTACCAAATAAAGATAATATATGCCCCTACAGCTACTGACATTGGGGCAAAGATAAGCCTATCAGTATAAGCAAAAGATGTGAGATAGCAGTGGGAAAGAGAACAAAGTGACATAAAGCCCACTAAATTATTTAGTTCAGGGGAAATAAGGGCATTGAAAATATAAGAACTCAATAGAAGCAAATAAATATGGCCAGGCATAGTGGCTCACGCCTGTAATTCCAGCACTTTGGGAGGAAGAGGCCAGTGGATCACCTAAGGTCAGGAGTTCACGACCAGCCTGGTCAACACGACAAAACTCTGCCTCTACTAAAAATACAAAAAGAGGCAGGAGAATCGCCCGACCCCGGTAGGTGGAGGTTGCAGTTAGCCAAGATCACACCACTGCACTACAGCCTGGGCAACCATGTGAGACTCCATCTCAAAAATAAATAAGCCCAGAGAAAAAATTTCAAACTATTCAACTAAAAGTGGGAAATTGAAATTATAGTCAAAAACTTCCCCTCTCAAAAAAAGCCCACCCAGATGGTTTCATTGGTGAGTTCTATTAAACTTTTAAAAAACAATGAATTTTCTGGCTCTACCACTTGGACTGTATAAGGTTATTTCACCTCTCTGAGCCTTGGTTTCTTCTTCTGTAAAATGAAATCGTAACTGAAAATAAAGTGCTTAGCACAGTGCCTGGGTAGAAAGCATCCAGTAAATAATATAATTTCTGCTATTTTTACTACTTTTACTATTACGATTGCTACTTCTACTACTATTATTCATGAATCTTTAGAGTCTCCTGAGTCCCTGACAGCTACTGACATTGGGGCAAAGATAAGTCTATGAATATTTTTAAATTTGACTTACGGAAATAGATACTAGGTGTTGCAGGCATGAGAAGTGTTTCTTAGCATGATGAAATCTGGAGAAAAAAGTTTGAATTAATTCCAAAGTAAATCAGAAGTAATAGTTGGTGGCACTGGTAATGGAGCTGAATGCATTAGAAAATGTCAGTTATAAAAATTGACTGATCTGGGTGTGAGATCAGTCCAGTTACAGTACTGCCCAGTTACAGTAAGTTAGAAAGAGGAAACGGATGGGAAGAGTTTATTCTTGTCAGTGATTTACTGGCGGGAATAAGGAATGATATCGCTAACTAGGTGCCTACTCCAAGCCCCTACATCTTTGCTTCTGTTTAGTAGAGAGCAAATTTCAAATGGAAGTTTGGCTTTGCATATATATAGTCACTGCTCAAAAATATGTTTATCAATTTATCAATTTTGGTCTATCTGTCAATTTTGGTCTGTCAGTTTAACAATTTCAATAGCTTTGTCAATATCAATTAGGTCATTCATGATTTGTCACTCTTCTTCAGATAGCCAACATTTTCAAAATTGACTTCTTTACTAATATCAGATCCTCAGACTGTAAAGACTCTACTAATAAAGTGAAATTCACACCAGGGGTTTGTGTTCATTATTATGAACAAATGAAAGAAAATGTGCATTATAATCACTCTCTACAAAAACATGGTGACCAAACTACCTTTCCAGAAGCTTGACTTGAAAATTTAGTATTTACTGAGAACAAGAGAGATGAACACCTGAACAGGCTGGAAAACATATGGGGATAAATGCCTGAGTTCACAGCAAAATGTCTGGCAAGAGAAAGAATGTTAGTGTGAAATATACAGAAATTTTGGTTATAAATTTTCCCACCAAAGTTTCACTTCAAAAAACAAACAGTGCAGACTAGTTGTTGTGTCAGAATGGAAAAAGAGTGTACCTTAGGAACTAGTTCAGGAGGATATTTTAGTTCTCTTGCTTTGTTTTTTTCAATCAATCATGTGACTAGTTTGTGTATTTCCTTTCCTTGGGGAAATATGCTAACTCCGATCCAATGTTTTTTAAAAGCTCTTTCATCGTGTGCAAAATATCTTTGGTTAGTGAATTTACAAAATGTTCTTAACCTCAGAGAAAATAAATAAGTTAGAGAAAATTAAAATAAGTCCAAATCATTAAGTACATTTTTTCAAATCCCTCAAGTGTAGGAAGAATGTAGGTGGAACAGAACAACAGTCAGGCTTGGGCCAGAACCTAGAGAAATCTCCAAAGACGTCAAAAATGATTTCACATGAAGAGTTGTGTTCTTTTTTTCTTTAGGACTTCTTCAAAAGCAGAGGAAGGGCTGGAGAAAAACATGAAAAAGAAAAGCTTATCGGAATTCAAGGTTTGGCAAGAATACTTTCCCAAGCCCATCCAGCTTACCATCAATGATAATTCAATTTCAATCAAATCAAAGAGAAGGTGCCATGCTATGTGCTGAGCTTGTGTAGAAATATGAACAAGTCTGTATGCTCACCCTCACAAGCTGTTTAAGATGATGAAGCTGGGTTAAAGATGAACGACAATAACTATAATATTTTATGAGATTATAATATAACAATATTATGGAGAGGATTTTCAAGCCATCTTCTCCCAGAAGTCTAAGTGAGAGGAGCTCTACCTCTCACCTGTTCAAATCCTTCCTATCCCTCAAGGGCAGCGTTAGTCCCACATCTGGTTCAGACTCTCCAAAACTTTCCAGCCCGTTGTTGTTTATATCACAGATGTGAGGCCATTATAAGCACCTCTTGATTTGGGTTATAAAAACAGGAAAAGAGTGTATTTTACTCTGAGGGAGAAGACAGCTTAGTATGCAGAGGCAACAGAACAAAGTGGTCAAGAGAACAGATTTCAGGGCCAGCTGACTTTGCTACAAATCCCAGGATCACCACTGGGGAACACTGGAAAAGTTACTTAAATCTTTCTAAGCCTCAGTTTCCCCATCTTCAAAATGGAAATATTAATAGTTCCTACCTCATGGAATTGTGAGAATCAAATGAGGCAGCAACTGTACTTAAAATACTAGGGGGCAGGTTGGGCGTGGTGGCTCACACCTGTAATCTCAGCACTATGGGAGGCTGAGGTGAGCAGATCACTTGAGGTCAGGAGTTCAAGACCAGCCTGGCCAATATGGTGAAACCCCATCTCTACTAAAAATACAAAAATTATCTGGGTGTGGTGGTGCACACTTGTAATCCCAGTTACTCAGGTGGCTGAGGCAGGAGAATCACTTGAACCTGGGAGGCGGAGGTTGCAGTGAGCTGTGGTCGCACCACTGCACTCCAGCCTGGGCAACAGAGCGAGGCTCTGTCTAAAAAAATAAAAAATAAAAAACACTAGGGGGCACAGTCAACCACTGTGGCACAAGCCTGTAATCCCACTTACTTGGAAGGCCAAGGCGGGAA